>NC_000017.11:78137620-78438030 GCF_000001405.40 Homo sapiens | reverse complement strand
TAGGGTGGACAGGTGAGGGGTGGGGCAGTGCCAGCACCAGGCAAGTGTGGGGTGCTGGCAGAAGAGCCCTGCCCTCACCAGGGAACATAGCCACGTGCCAGTCTCTCCTCGTGGGCCAGGAGCTGGGCAAAGTGTGTAACCAGCCTCTAGTCTTGGCTGCAGAATATCCACCTGGTGGCCCGGTGGCTGGGAACACTGGACAAGAAGCTGGAGCACTACAGCACGGGCAGCCATGAGGACTACCGGGTGTTCATCAGCGCGGAGCCTGCCCCCAGCCCCGAGACCCACATCATCCCCCAGGGCATTCTGGAGAACGCCATCAAGATCACCAACGAGCCCCCCACGGGCATGCACGCCAACTTGCACAAGGCCCTGGACCTGTTCACCCAGGTAGGGCCACGCCTGCTCGGGCTGCCTCCCCATCCCATGCCACGGCCTGGCATCCATCCCTTGGGGCCCCGAGGACCACTGAGGACCGCTCTGAACTCTGGGGACACCTCCCCTCTGGGCTTCCCCTGTCCACACACCCCTCGCAGTCAAAATCAATGTATTTCTAAAAGACGGAAAAATGCAAATAATTTAAGGTGCTCTGGCACTATTTATTACTTAAAGCTGTAGATGCAGAAACACATAGTTTTTAATCAGTTCTATGAACCTGCAAATGAGGGCTGGTAGATGCTGTCCATTGTGTTTAAAGAGCATGGAACACGTCATGACTGGTCCTTGGAAATGGGGCCAAGCTCCGTGGGGTACTCCCTGGAGGCTGGTCAGCTTTCCTGGGAGTACAGAGCCCCACTGCTGGAGGCTATGGGCAACCAGGGTAGATGGGGTTGCTGTACTCGCTGAGGCTCTGGATCTGTGACCAGGTTTCCTTGCCTTCAGCCCCCCTCTGACCCACCATCAGCAGGAACAGCTGGCAAAACACAGCTAGCTAGGGAGCCCGGTCCTCCTCTGCTAACAGCTGTAGTGGCTGCTGGTTGCCTCCAGGACGGAGGGTGAGGGCCTGCCTGGCACCTGGGGCTCGAGGACCCTCCTTGGCTGGGATCCCACTTCTGCATCTGCCTGGGGTCTGTCCTCACCTGACTCTTCCCTCACAGACCTCAAGGCTTCCCCCAGATGCAGCCTTCTCCACAGCCTTCCTGGCCACGTGTTTGTTTGTTTGTTTGTTTGTTTGTTTGTTTGTTTGGAGATGGAGTCTCACTCTGTCACCCAGGCTGGAGTGCAATGGTGTAATCTCGGCTCACTGCAACCTCTGCCTCCCGAGTTCAAGCAATTCTTGTGCCTCAGACTCCCGAGTAGCTGGGATTACAGGCATGCACCACCACACCCAGCTAATATTTTGGATTTTTGGTAGAGATGAGATTTCGCTATGTTGGCCAGGCTGGTCTCAAACTCCTGACCTCAGGTGATCCACCTGCCTCAGGCTCCCAAATCTTGGCCACTCTTGTCCTCGGGGGTGCTCCTGCCTCTGCAGGTCCTCATGTCGATATTTCTCCTTTTGGCACCTCAGCATTTTCTCTGTCTAGAACTTTTTGTGTGCACAAACTTGATCTCCCAAGTGGAGCCTAGAACTTTTTTGAGGTTTGACACCCTATTTTTTTGGAGATGGAGTTTCGCTCTTATTGCCCAGGCTGGAGTGCAAGGGCACAACCTCGGCTGACTGCCACCTCTGCCTCCTGGGTTCAAGTGATTCTGCTGCCTCAGGCTCCCAAGTAGCTGGGATTACAGACACCCACCACCACTCCTGGCTAGTTTTTTGTATTTTTAGTAGAGATGGGGTTTCACCATGTTGGCCACGCTGGCCTTAAACTCCTCACCTCAGGTGATCCACCCACCTCGGCCTCCCAAATAGCTGGGATTACAGGCGTGAGCCACCACGCCCGGCCAACACCCTGTATCATTCTATAACACTTAACAAAGATCTACTTATGGGGTGTATCGGTCCATGAATGTGTGGCTTCCATGCCTGATACATTTTTAAAAACTACTTATATGGAAATATCAGAGTCACCCATTAACAATTCCCAACCAGCTTTTAAAGGACACACCCTTGTCAAAGTGTGAAAGTAAAAGAAAAAGCAGAAAAACAAATGTTTAAAATAGGTCCCCCGTTCTATTAACCAATCAATCAATACCACACGCCTCCTGCCTTGGCCTGCACCCTGCTGAGGGGCGCGAGGATACGTTCTGGAAGCAGCACCCTAGTGTGATGAGTGCGTGGGGTACACACGGTGCTATGGGGCCATGCAGCTCACAGCAGCCCTGAGGTCAGCACCAGTCCTGGAACGGTTTCTGCCAGTCTGTATGAGATCAGCGCAGAAATCCAGGAGGCACTCAACAAACTCTGCAGCGACCCGACACTTGTGAATCCAAGCACAGGGGCAGTTCTTCCTTTGGTGTTTCGTTTTATTGTATTTTGCAAAGTGTCAGTCAGCGACAGACAGGGATCGGGGCACTGAGGCAGGGACTGGGCCTTCACTTCCAGCCAGCGTGGAGCCCTGCCAGCCAGCACACGGGAGTGGCACCTCATCCCATCTCTGGTTGGGGAGGTGGGTAGCCAGGGAGTGACAGCTGAGACCTGTGGGTAAGGAGACCCTTCACAAGTTCAGGGACCAGTTGCCTCGGAGGGGCTGTGGGCCTCTGAAAACAAGGGCCCACAGGAAGAAGCGGTGGTGGGTGGAACCTGTATGTCCACGATGCCCCAGACCTGAGTGCGGGTAGGCTGGTGAAAAGCACCGGATCGGATGGACTCTGGAGGATGGATGGACGGTGACACCCGCCAGGCCTTCCCTTGTCCTTGGGGGCTGGTGAGTCTCCCATTGGCTGGTGTCACTCTGGCTCTCCACGTGTTCACTGCCAGCGCCCTCCCCAGGGAGCTGAGGTCTGAAAGGGACTGGCCAGGCCAGTCTCCTGGGCCCATCGTCTCTGTCCCAGGCAGCCAGGAGGGGATACTCGAGTGATGGAACCCCAGCTGCTCCCCTTCTTGTCCATGTTGCCAGAGGGGCCTGTGCCAGGCTTTCCATGATGCCCAGGACAGGGCCCTGCTCTTGATCCACCCAGTACACTTCCCCTGGCACTTATCTGTCCCTCCCCAGCGGGATCCTCGGCCACTGTGCCTGAAGCCCTCCCCCCACACAGAGTGCCTGGCCCCAGAGGTGCTCCGTCAGCCGCTGAGTAGAGCAGGTGGAGCACAGCTTGGCTTCCAGAAGCCTCTGTGTGTTCAGGAGTCACTACGTAGCAAAGGTTAATGAGTAAAAGCTCACAAATCCAGAGACGTAGGAGTCACAATTTAGGCTCAGTTTTCCCTTCCCTGGAGCCAGATAAAAAGAAAGGGTTTGAGAAGCGACCCCATCCCATCCCCCATCCTCTATCCCATCCCCCATCCTCTATCCCATCCCCCATCCTGATGGAACTTTACCAGTTGTTTTTAGAGTTTGGGATACTGTGCATAAGTGATGAGGAATGTTGATAATTACAAAGGAACATTATTTCGTATTAAAGTAGTCCCGAAATGTCCAGGATTTGGGAAGATATTAGGAAGCAGTATCAATAATTCAACTTGTAGTTAAGTACTTAAAAGGGATAAAATTGCATTTCTGAAAGGAACAAGAAGATCGTACTCAGCCATGACAGCCCAGCTTTCCTTGCAGCGGGTCTGATAGAGACCTGCACAGCCCACAGCTTTGTACCCCCCACCGCCCCCACCCTAGCAAAGCATCTGGCAAGGGCTGGACGCTGGTCACCCTCAGGGGCATTTCTGTGTAAACTTCT
Source organism: Homo sapiens (assembly GCF_000001405.40). NCBI lineage: Eukaryota > Metazoa > Chordata > Mammalia > Primates > Hominidae > Homo > Homo sapiens. The sequence continues at coordinate 78,434,259 of NC_000017.11, read as the reverse complement.
CCCTCTCCCTAATACCTGACCGGAGCGTGTGCCCCACAGGACACCCTGGAGATGTGCACCAAGGAGATGGAGTTCAAGTGCATGCTCTTCGCCCTGTGCTACTTCCACGCTGTGGTGGCAGAGAGGCGCAAGTTCGGCGCCCAGGGCTGGAACCGGTCGTACCCCTTCAACAACGGGGACCTCACCATCTCCATCAACGTGCTCTACAACTACCTGGAGGCCAACCCCAAGGTGAGGGGCTGTGTGTGCCCTGTACTTGGACATATCCCTCCCTCTTTCCCTCCTTCCCTCCCTCCTTCCCTCCCTCCTTCCCTCCCTCCTTCCCTCCCTCCTTCCTTCCCTCCCTTTCCTTTTGGTCTTTGTCTTAGGCTTAAAAGACATCAAGTAGGTTTCACAAACCAAAGAGAACTTGAAAGGCAGCACCATCTGTGATCTCTCCAGCCTGCTGTAATTAAGATGGTCCAGTCCTTTGCCCCCACCTCCTGCAGGAGCCGGCTTTTGGACAGCTCTTCTGCTTGTTAGCACACTCCACGCCACCTGCCCCTCTTGCACCTGGATGAGGATTCCCCCAGAATCCTGCCACCACAGGGTGTGAGCTGGGACTCAGTGGGGAGGACAAGCAGGGCTTCCCGGGCTGCAGGCCTCACCACGGCTCTGTCAGTGTCTGGAGAGAACCCAGGTTTGGAGCAGGAGGGACAAAAAACCTCCCCGGATAGAAGGGAGTGCTGTGTCCATTATGAGAATGCATAAAGGCGCATGCAGACTGCCACAGAGGACTGAGTAGAAAGCCACACATCCTCCGTAAACGGTCTGCAGCAGGAGGCACAGGTCGGGGCACAGAGCAAGGTGCACAGCAGAGGGCACAGGTTTGGGACCAGATGGTAGCGTATGAATCCCAGACCTGCTATTCGCTGGAGGGGGCCCTCTGTAAGCAGCACGTACCCTGCTAGGCCCTGCAGCCCCATCTACGGTCTCCTAAGGCTTGGCCACCCCAACCATAAACTGGAGAGAGCGGTAGTGCTCACCACGCACGGTTCTTACGAAGCTTTGACTCAGGCTAAGCCTGGCACAGGCCCAGGAGCCCCTCGCCCAGAAGGCAGAGGGCGGTGCACACCCCTATAAACCCTGGGTCCTCCTCCTCACTCTCGGCCTCCAAATCAATAGCGACATGGACCCTGGCTCAGAGAGAGCAAGGTCCGGGCACCCTCTTACAGACTGGGAGGGGGATGGGAAGAAAGCTGCACTCAGCTGCCCAGGAGGGCTGCTGCCTACGTGGGGCCTCGGGGTTGGAGGACTCCCAGGGCCTGGATGTGACATGGTGAGAAACGGTGCTGGCACCGGGGTCGGGGGGGGGGGGCACGTTTGAAGCCTGCTCTGCTACTCATTCACTGAGACCTCCAGCAAGTCACTGGACCGCTAAGCCTGCTTCCTCATGGGCCTCCACCTCAGGGCCTGGGGGTTCAATGAGGGAAGCCTGGCCTGGCAATGCCAGTCTCAGGAACCCCCTCCTTTTTTCCATCTCCTTGTAATAAAGCTCAAGACCTGGGCCACTAAGCCCCAGGCATGCACGGCACACGTGCTCCCATTGGGTGTCCTGAGAAGGCCCCCAGGAGGTGACCTCTGATGTCAAGCACCTGGCCTGGGAGGCTGTGACAGAGCCTCCTCACCAAGACTGGAGGACAACGACCTCCCAGGATCGCTGCTGGCGAAGGCTGGGCCTGGAACTTGGTATGCTTAGTTCCCTGGGAGGCACACCAGCCCTGGAGTAGCAGGGAGCAGAACTGGGCCGGGACTTGGCTCCCTGTGCTCCCTGGCAATGGGCCACCATGGGCCATAGATGCCACTGGGGAAAGGCAGCCTCTGCTGTCTGCCGGTCGATGGGGCAGGGTGCCGGCCGGACATTTCACCCAGAACAAGACCCGGATCTGAAAACACTCCCAGAGGCACCCAAGATGTTCAAAGGGACTTTCAGCACGGAGAGACGGCCAAACCACGCAGAGACTAGTTTGGGAGAAACAGTCTGGCTAGAATTTTTTTTTTAATTTTTATTTATTTTATTTATTTATTTATTTATTTATTTTTGAGACAGGGCCTCACTGTTAACTGGGGCAGGAGTGCAGTGGCACAATCACAGCTCACTGCAGCCTTAACCTCCTGGGCTCAGGTGATCCTCCCACCCCAGCCTCTCAAGTAGCTGGGACTACAGCGGCCACAATGCCAGGTTTTTTTTGTTTTTGTTTTGTTTTGTTCTGTAAAGACGGGGTTTTACCATGTTGCCTAAGCTGGTCTCAAACTCCTGGGCTCAAGTCATCCGCCCACCTCGGCCTCCCAAAGTGCTAGGATTACAGGCGTGAGCCACCGCACCTGGCCAGGTTAGGATTTTTAAGACATTTCCTTAGCCGTTGCCCATTGACACACGCTGGGCAGCTTCTAAGCTGCTGAGAAGCCGCGCGAGTACCATGTACATCAGCGGCTGCCACATCCTGAGGAGCTGTGTCCTGATGTGGCCTGCGCTGGCCAACCTTCCCTCTGTCCTCAGGCCTCCCTCCCCCTCCACAGACTCCCCACCGGCTCCCATATTCCCTTCATGGCACAGGTCATGCTACACGCTGAGTGACCACCGGGAATGATGTCATCTGTGTCCACGGCCTGTTTAGCCGTCTGGGCTCTGAGGAAATAGATCAGGGATTCCCATGCGAACGGAACACAAAAGTCTGATGGAACGTTGCTTTGAAACACAGAGCAACCTGCAGGGACTCCCAGGGAGGGGCCTGAGAGCTACAGCTCCCCCAGGAGTCTCGGGGTGGGGGGTTCCCTCAGCAGGTACGGGAAATGCAGACAGCACTCACCCCCACCCCCTGCGGGAAGCAACCCTCCTGAGGAGCGTGTGGGGCCAGGAGGGGGAGAGGGGCACAGGTCTTCCTGCCTCTCGGGAGACACAGACGCTGCCTCCAAAGCTGCTAAGCAAGATGCAGGAAAAGCAGCCCGCAAACAGTTGTGATGACCAGACAGAGAAGGTTGTAAGTCGCTAATGATAATGTGGAAAACATTAACGTTTTGAGTAAAAAAGTCATGAGACTAAGCCGAGTGCAGTGGCCCAAGCCTGTAATCCCAGCACTGTGGGAGGCCGAGGCAGGAGGACTGCTTGAGCCCAGGAGTTCAAGACCAGCCTGGCCAACACAGCAAGACCCTGTCTCTACAAAAAATAAAAAAATTAGTCTGGCATGGTGGTGTGACTGTAGGCCCAGCTACTTGGGAGGCTGAAGTGGGAGGGTCGCTTGAACCCAGGAGATCAAGGCTGCAGTGAGCCATGTTTGTACCACTGCACTCCAGCCTGGGACATGGAACAAGATCCTGTCTAAAAAACATATACATATGGGCTGGGCACAGTGGCTCACACCAGTAATCCCAGCACTTTGGGAGGCTGAGGCAGGCAGATCCCCTGAGGTCAGGAGTTCGAGACCAGCCTGGCCAACACAGTGAAATCTCATCTCTACTAAAAATCCAAAATATTAGCTGGCTATGGTGGTGTGCACCTGTAATCCCAGCTACTCAGAAGGCTGAGGCAGGAGAATTGCTTGAACCCAGGAGGCAGAAGTTTCAGTGAGCAGAGACTGCACCATTGCACTCCAGCCTGGGCAACAGAGCGAGACTCCATCTCAAAAATAAGCAACCTAAAAAATATATACATATGTATATAAATTCATGAGACCAAATCAGATGATTGATTCATCAACTGATTCTTATTCAATGAACTCCCACTGGTATTTGATGACAGCTCTTCCGGCCAGCGCACAGTGGAAGTGATGTTATGAAAACATCTGCCTCGCCCTTCAGGAGCTGCAAACTTCAGGGAAAGAACAGGTGTGCGGAAGCAGGAAGAAGCTGACTGTGAGCGGCAGGATTTCACATGCTGGGTACCAAAAAAGAATCAATTATCTTATTTTTATCCCAATTACATGTTGGAATGATCTCTTTTAAAGTGGCTGCCACAAAATTTAAAATGACACATGTGGCCTCAATCCGTGGCTCCCACCGTCCTTCTGCTGAACTGCGCTGTGCAGGAGAAAGAGGCTCCAAAACGGGCACATGGAGGCGGGAAGAACAAGGGCCTGGCTTCATGGCGAGGCCGCCCATGAGCCAGGCTTTGTAGGAAGAAGAATGTTCCAGAGCAAAGGTGTGACGTGAGACTGCAAGGAAGCATGAAGGGAGTGGGAACGGCGGCGGGGTGGGAAGCGTGTGGTCGCCTGGCGTGTGCTCTGGTCCACACTGCCGAGTTTGGTCTTCGTTCCCTAAGGCCCGGGCAGCCTAGGTCAGATAAGTCACTTGCTCAAACCCTCTATGTGACTGCAAAGACCCTGGAGGCACGGGAGCTACTGGAAGGATGAGAACCAGGAAGGACTCTACTTCCACAGGGTGGAAGGGAGACTCACCAGATGCATCTGAAGACATGACTAACGACTTCGTGGCCAAAAGGTTGACGGCACTGGAGTCAATCCTTGAGCCACACAGAATCAAACCACTTGTGTTGAAATTGGACCGTGAAGGGCAGAGTCTCAGATGGTAACACAGAGTGGGAGAGGCAGAGGGAGCGAGTTCCGATTCAGCCCTGTGGCCTCTGAGGCACAGTGAGGCACAGCAGAAACACCTGCCCCACGGGAGGTGCAGAGCATGCCGGCTGTGGAAGCGCTGTCCAAGGTGGAGGGAGGTGCCACACAGCCCCTTGTGAGAGAAGCCAAAGGGGCCGGACATTGGCGTCTGGTGGCGCGGAATGGAAAGAAAGGTGGCCCTGGGGCCTGGTGACCCTGAAGGTAAATGGCCAGGAGGCTGACCTGGAGGGCGAGAAGGACACAGCACCAATGGCTGGGTTCCCACGCCCTGCCTGCCTGAGCCTGACCCTCTCATGGCAGAGAAGGGGCACAGGGGCACTTTCCCCTACCCGCTGTCATCCTTCCTCAGGTGCCCTGGGACGATCTCCGCTACCTTTTTGGTGAAATCATGTATGGCGGCCACATCACAGATGACTGGGACCGTCGGCTGTGCAGGACCTACCTGGCTGAATACATCCGGACGGAGATGCTGGAGGGAGACGTCCTGCTGGCCCCCGGCTTTCAGATCCCCCCCAACCTGGACTACAAGGTAAGGATGACAAGTTAAACAGGAGCTCAACGTAATGAAGGCTCGTGCCTCCCGGTGAGAGCCTGCCAGCACAAATGGAGTGTCAATAATTGAGCAAGAACCCAGGCAGCCAAAATAAGAGAGGATGAGAAATGCGTCTCACTTGGAAGAAGCACAAGGCTAATACAAACAACCTTTTTTTTTTTTTTTTTTTTTTAAAGAAAGAAATGCAGCCTCAGGGAAGGGGGAATGGAATTTTCCTTTATGTCGCTGGGAGCACAGGGGGCAGCCCACAAAGGGGGCTGGGAAACAAGTGGGATCTGTACAGACAGCAAGGTGTGGGTGAACGTTCTGGCAAGGAATGCTTAACCAACAGGACATGGGTTTCAGCCTGCACAGCTTTGCCTCTGCTTACAAACTGCCCTCTTTTTCAGGGTTACCACGAATACATCGATGAGAACCTGCCCCCTGAGAGTCCCTATCTGTATGGCCTGCACCCCAACGCAGAGATTGGCTTTCTGACGGTCACCTCAGAGAAGCTGTTCCGCACTGTCCTGGAAATGCAGCCAAAAGAGACGGACTCGGGGGCAGGCACGGGAGTGTCCCGCGAGGAGAAGGCAGGATCTTTGAAACTGCTCCCAAGCGAGAGGAAGGGGGAGGATCTAGAACTGAGGAGGGGGTCACAGGGACTGGCGGCAGTACAGGGGAACTTGCTGGTGAGGTACACTCTGCCCCAGCCTTGGGCTTGGGTATCAGAAACACTGGGGTATGGCCCGCAGGCTGGTCAGCAGGTCCTCAGACGTGGCAGCTGCAGGCTTCGGGTGAGCGTACGGGCCCAGACAAAAGGGATCCTTGGGGGTGTGGATGCGGCTCCAAGAGCATCCCAGCCCTCCACCCTGCAGTCTTCCAGCTTCCCTAGCTGAGCGCCAGGAAGGGCACCGACCATTCCCCACCCTGGCCTGGCCAGCACAACAGCAGTAGCAGCTCGCACCGGGCAGCCGGATGTGCAGGCAGGTACTCCAGAGCCGCTCAGTGGCCACAATGGCAGGTCCTGTTACTGCTCAAAGGATTAGAAGAGTTCAGGGGATGCCAGTGTTCTGAACAAATTCTCGCTTGTCTGGGTGGCTCTGTGCTGCCTCCTGGGTACCTCCACTTTTTTTTTTTTTTTTTTTTTTGAGACGGAGTTTTGCTCTCGTTGCCCAGGCTGGAGTGCAATGGCACGATCTCGGCTCACTGCAACCTCCGCCTCCCAGGTTCAAGCGATTCTCCTGGCTCAGCCTCCCAGGCTGGGATTACAGGCGCCTGCCACCACACCTGGCTAATTTTGTATTTGTGGTAGAGACAGTTTCACCATGTTGGCCAGGCTGGTTTTGAACTCCTGATCTCAGGTGACCATCCCGCCTCGGCCTCCTAAAGTGCTGGGGTTACAGGCGTGAGCCACTGTACCTGGCCTGTACTTCTTAATAGAATGTGGAAAGGCTCTATTACGTACTAGCTAAGTACAGGACTTCCCGGTAAAGACTGAATTCTTGATGTGAGACCCTTATTCCTATTAGGTCCAGGACTTTCTCTTAGTCTAATGACTGAAATCAGGAATTGGCTGACAGACGGTGGTGCAGGTGACCACTGCACTGTGTGGGCCACTCCTTAACAGGGTGTGACCAGCATGGTCCCTACAGAAAGCCCACGTAAAGGACAAAGTCGCAATCCCTCAACCGCTGGCTACATTTGACCAGAGGCTGGTGCGTGGGAATGAACAAATGAGGCACCGAGCCAGGTGGCCTGATGCGCTCATGGCCGCGGCTGCAGGGACTTGTAGTGAGATCAGAATGCTCGGAGCCGCTGGCCAAGGCTCCCTCTCCTCATCAAATGTGTGGCTGCACCCATGACCCTGCATTTCTGGCAACTCTACTTGCCTCTTCCCTCCTCTCCAGGACTTGGGGCTGGGAACATTTTGGGCAGGCTCCCTGACCCTGCAGTGGGTGGGGTGGGCTCTTTGCAGTGACAGGGGCTGTCCGGGGACTGGCTTCCAGGTGAAGGCCGTGCTGGACGACATCCTGGAGAAGATTCCGGAGACTTTCAACATGGCTGAGATCATGGCAAAGGCAGCGGAAAAGACCCCCTACGTGGTAGTCGCCTTTCAAGAATGTGAAAGAATGAACATCCTGACCAACGAAATGCGCCGTTCGCTCAAGGAGCTGAACCTGGGGCTGAAGGTAAACATGGGTCAGCCCGGCCCCAGGGACGTGGCTGGATGGTGAAACCAGCAGAAACCCAGGCCTCTGGCAACCCAGGCCTAGCACAGGCCCCGGATCAGCATGGTACTGCTCCCTCTCCAGAGCTCTGGCAGTTCCAGAACAAGCCCCGGGAGCTCATCTAGACCGTTCCTTAGCAGGAAGCGCTTGCGTGGCCCTGATGCAGGGCGTCTCCAGAGGCGCAGCACAAAGCCACACTGTGTTGACAACTCATGACACGCACTGGGGCTGGTGCTCTCCCAGGCCCCAGCTCAGGGCTCCCCACACCCATCTGTGTGTCTCCTAGGGAGAACTGACCATCACGACCGACGTGGAAGATCTGTCCACGGCTCTCTTCTATGACACCGTGCCTGATACGTGGGTGGCCCGGGCCTACCCCTCCATGATGGGCCTGGCGGCCTGGTACGCAGACCTGCTGCTCCGCATCAGGGTAAGTGCCGTTTTCTCTGAGAGGCTTCCTAAGACTCGGGGACCGAGTGCCCAGAGCTCGGCACACCCCACACCCTAGAGCCTGCAGGAGCATGGCCAGGAGGCTCCTGGGGGCCTGTCCTCTGTCAGATCAGGGCCAGAAGGGCCTAGCCCATGCCCCTCCCACACCCTGACAGTGCAGCCATTTCCTCCCAAAGGAGGAAAACAAGCCAGGCCGCAGAGCAGCTTCCATCAGCTCCTCCTCAAGCGACCCTCAAAGGGTAAGCCGTCCTCTATAAGGAGCGAGGCAATGAAGGCAAGAGCCTCTTTGGGCTCCTAAATTATCCACAAACAGGAAGCCATTTTCTTCCTGACCCTTCTCTACCTGTTCCCTTGTTTAAAATGGAGCAAACAGCAGCTGGACACGGTGGTTCACACCTGTAATCCCAGCACTTTGGGAGACCAAGGCAGGCAGATCACTTGAAGCCAGGAGTTCGAGACCAGCCTGGCCAACATGGCGAAACCCCATCTCTAAAAATACAAAAATAAGCTGGGCATGGTGGCCTGCACCTGTAATCCCAGCTACTCTGGAAGCTGAGGCAGGAGAATTGCTTGAACCCGGGAGGCGGAGGTTGCGTTGAGCCAAGATTGCACCACTGCACTCCAGCCTGGGTGACAGAGCGATACTTCATCTCAAAAAAAAAAAAAAAAAAAAAAAAAAAGCAGACACCAAAGTTGCGTCATGGTAGGTGGCTGGGCTCCATGGCCCCTACTCTGTCCAGCACTTCTAGCTCGCTGAGTGGCCCGTGGAAGGTTCTGGCGTGACCCCTGCTCAGAACGGCCAAGGCCCGGTCGTTCCCATGTCATTCTATGTCCTCTCCTCCTAGCGGCTCGTGTGTCCTTGCAGGAACTCGAGGCCTGGACGACAGACTTTGCCCTGCCCACCACCGTGTGGCTGGCCGGCTTCTTCAACCCCCAGTCGTTCCTCACGGCCATCATGCAGTCCATGGCCAGGAAGAACGAGTGGCCCCTGGACAAGATGTGTCTGTCTGTCGAGGTGACCAAGAAAAACCGAGAGGACATGACCGCTCCTCCGCGAGAGGGCTCCTACGTGTACGGACTCTTCATGGAAGGTAAGGAGGGCTCTTGTCTGTCTGCAGAAGCTTCCAGAGCCAGTGCTACTTGCCAAGACAAGATAAAACTAGCTCTTGGCAAAGACAGGCTGTTCAAGAGCTGTGGGGACAGGCAGGAGAGAGGTGCTCTCAGGGGGCATCAGCCTGCAGGTCAGAGCCACGCTGACCCTAGAGAGGGTTGAGAGGATTCAGGGAATGTGCAGGGTCTGGAGGAGACCAAAAACACCCCAGTCACCTGGCCTCTGCTTTAATGAAAACAGCAGAGCTTGTGAGAGAGCAGCTCCGACGTGATGAAAAGCGCTGAAAAGCCCAGGCTTTCCCTGCCACGGAGCAGTCAGCCCAGGGCAGAAGTGCGTTTTGTGGCTGCACTGAGACTCCAGGTCATGCTGGCTGGCCCAGTCTCACCCACTCCCCAGCTGCTGCCACTCCTGGAACACAGGGTTCAAGGGAAAAGAGGCTGGGGCACCTGTTAGAAGTCCGCCCCCACATCACCCCTGTCCTGCTACACAGAAGAGGTCAGCCAGGACACCGAGGCCGGCCATCTTCTCAGCCCGCCTCTGAGTTGAGCAGCAATGCCACCACCACATACCTGTCCCCTTCAACAGCTGACGTCACCCCATTACCTGTGGGGTGGCAGGGTTGGGCCAGCAACGGCTCAGGCACCCCATTTCCCACACAACCAAAGATAAGCTCTCCATGTTTGTTTATTTTGAGATTTCAGACAGGAAATAAAAACACCATTAAATAGGGCGAGTAGAAATAATAGCAGTCTGGTTAAAGGCAATATTTATATGCACAGATGTATAATTATATTGTGTATGTACACATAGGGCAGACATTACACATTAAGAATCAGGGAACTTTACTCTGTAATTTTTAGCTGGAGTTATGACTTCCTGCCACTGACATTAAGGCTGACAGATGAGGCTCTGAAAATGCCACAGATTTAAACGGATGGAACCCGAGGGCTTTAGCTGAGCTGTTCCTTGAGCCCAGCGGGACGGGGTAGTTACAACATGCAGGCCATCACCTACGAAGGCCTCTGCTTCCAGCCGTGGCAGCTGGCCTGAAGCCTTTTGGGGTAGAGCCCAGCTCTGCAGAGGGCGGGGAGTGTGAGGACCCCACCCTTCCTGCCAGCCCCTCCCTCACTTACTGGCAGCACACCTGACCCTCAGCCATACTGTCCCTGCAGGGGCTCGCTGGGACACCCAGACTGGAGTCATCGCTGAAGCGCGGCTGAAAGAGCTGACCCCGGCCATGCCTGTCATCTTCATCAAGGCCATTCCTGTGGACCGCATGGAGACCAAGAACATCTATGAGTGTCCCGTGTACAAAACACGCATCCGCGGCCCCACCTATGTCTGGACCTTTAACTTGAAGACCAAAGAGAAGGCAGCGAAGTGGATCCTGGCAGCCGTGGCGCTGCTCCTACAGGTTTAGCTCGCTCCTGCCTCACAGCCCACACTCCCTGGGGCTGGACCACAACTCAGCCCTTCACCTGTGCACCTGTGACTTATTCTTTACAGGAACTGGTGGTGGTTTTTCGTTCTCTTAAATAATCAGGTGCTTTGTAACCAAGCACATCGGAACCAGAGGGTGGAGGTTGGTGTGGAAGAGGTGGGGCAGATTAAAGCCAGTGGAGCCACTCAGCTGTGCCCATCCATTCTGTGCCTGATGGCCACTGTGAGGCCTGGTTCAGGCTTTGGGGAAAGGCCCCAATTCCCAGCAGCCAGAGGCAAGCATTCCAGGAAGTAAATCCCAAATCCTGACTTCCCGGGGGGGTCAGTGGAGTTTGCTTTTAACAGGAGCAGCATGTGGGGTGAGGGCTTGGCACTCACACCCTCTGGCCTGATGCTTCATGCAAACCACCTGCCAATGAGGGGACAGGGCGTTACCCCATACCAGGAGCTGCCGCCTCCACACAGCGTCTCATCCGCCATTACTCCCTGCTCCCAAAAACAACAGGACCTTTTACAAGTAAGGAAACACACCCAAGCCCCCGCCCCCAGAGTCTAGAAGAACAAGCCGTTCCCACAAGCAAGCCCCGGACCTGTAGGACTCTGTGGCTGGGCTGATGCAGGACACGGCAGTGAGGTGGCCAGGCTAGCTAGGGCAGCAGGGTGCAGGCACGAGGGGAGAGAATTAACTAGCAACCTGGGGGATGAGGGGAGACAGCGGCAAACGTCAGAAAAGACGGATCCCAGGGGGACCAAGACAGGATCAACATTTTTTTTTTTTTTCGAGGGAGAGTGAGAGTTTCACTCTTGTCGCCCAGGCTGGAGTGCAATGACGCAATCTCGGCTCACGTTGCAACCTCCACCTCCTGGGCTCAAGCGATTCTCCTGCCTCAACCTCCCAAGTAGCTGGGGTTACAGGCACCCACCACCACACGCAGCTAATTTTTTTATTTTTAGTAGAGATGGGGTTTCACCATGTTGGCCAGGCTGGTCTCAAACTTCTAACCTCAGGTGATTCACCAACCTCGGCCTCCCAAAGCGCCAGGATTACAGGTGTCAACCACTGTGCCCGGCCCTCAACATTTCTCAGGCTTCAAAGAAAAGCAGGCCGCTGCAGCAGCTCACGCCTCTAATCCCAGGACGGCAATCTTACTTGAGCCCAGGAGTTTAAGACCAGCCTGGGCAACGTGGCAAAACCATCTCTATCAATCAAAAATACAAAAAATTAGCTGGGAATGTTGTATGTGCCTGTGGTCCCAGCTACTCAGGAGGCTGAGGCAGGAGGGTCGCTTGAGCCCATGAGGTCAAGTACGCAGCGAGGCATGATCATGCCACTCACTCCAGCCTGGGTGACAGAGTGAGACCCTGTCTCAAAAGGGGGAAAAAAGGCAAACACACCCATTAGGAATATCGTTCTACGTTCAGCTTGATCATCAAGTTTTGCAAAAACATTTTTCCAAGTTTACTCACCTAAATCATGGGTTAAGAAGCATCTAGAAAGTCCAAATTCTGAGGGTAATGATTCACAACAATCTTAGCGCCCAGTAGGGCTATCGGAGGGAAAAGAAAAATCCTCCCCTCCTGGCGCCCAAGGAATCCAGCCCTTTGTGGCTGCAGAGAAGGGAAGCAGTTTCAGCCTCCCCCAGCCTGGCTGGGCCAATACCTCTGCTGGCCAGGAGGGGTCACTGCAGCCCTTCAGGTGACCAGGGGAGCTAAAGCCACCAGGGGCCACCGGGCAACTCACTTCAGTCCCTGGTAATAACCACAAAATGTGACGTTTTTCCATTTTGCCTTTAGATCCTGAAATAAGAAAGTAATCTAGTCCACACATACATATTGTGGGTAGTTGACAAAATTATCTCTAAACTTTCCAAGAAATGATTCGCACTTAAGCTGCACTCCAGCGACGGGGAACACAGGGACTGGAACACGACAGCCCCGCGCACCTAGAAAGCCGGGAGGACTGCGGCGGCCGCCGCCCGCCGCCCGCTGCTCTCTGTTGCTCCGGCTGCTTTGCAGAGTTAGGGAGGCTTGGTGTGGGGAGCTCCTCAGGGAGAACCTGCCTAGGACAGCCTCGAAGGTCATCAGCAGAGACAGAGGGAGCAGTGTGCGCTGCGGGAACGGCACTGCAGATAGATTGCTTAAGCCTGGCTGTGGCATAATGATATTTACTCTGGTCCCACAGAATCTGGAGGAATGCGAACTCTGTTTACCGAGAGCCTCTCTCCAAACAGAAACCCAGTGCCCCTGCACATTCCTTTGGCTCCTCCAGTCTAATTGTCCCACAGGACACCGTAATAACTAGTTGGAAGGCAAACAGTGTTAACTGATGTGATGTGCTGCTGTCCAGGGCACTGTGGCCAGGCCGCCGCTCCACCTATCCCCAGCCACTCAAACTGCAGGTCTGCCTGGTGCGGAAGCTGCAACTGTCCTTGTCTAAGACCAGGTGAGCCTATGCAACCTTTCAGACCCCATGAAGGGTGACAGTGACTCCTGCCAGCCCTCGGGAGGGAAAGGCGAGAAGCTGCTTCTAGAGAGGCAAAGTGCAGGGACTAAATCTAATCTCACTCCCCGAAAGGACAGGCTGCCATGCCCTGTAGCCCAGGAAGCTTCTCTCTGTGCAAGGGTCAAGCACCTGAAGATGATAAAGAGATCAGGCAGTGAGGTCACAAAAGCAGCTCCTGGAGACACTGGGGGATATGGAGAGCTGGCTTTATAAACACACATGACATGTATTCAAAATCCCCTGCTACTAGGTGACACAAAAATGTTTTAAGTAGATCCAATAAAAATAAAGTTCATTCTTCAAAAAATAAATTGCTAGGGAAAAAACAATCACAAGGTGTAGTCCTTAATTGGACTTCAAGTCAAATAATCGAAAAAATTAATTTTAAGGCAAGTGGAATTGTGAACACCATTTAGGTATTTGATGATACTAAGACATTCTTGGTAATTTTTGTTTCAGGAGTGACACTGGTGCTGTTTTGGTTAAGTACACATTTTGGGGGAAGACAGCAGGATATGCACGTTATTTAGAAATACGGACACGTGTGCACATCAGAAGAAACAAGCCAAGAGTGGCTGCCTGGGGGAAGGGAGGGCAGGAAATGGCCGCAGTATTGTTTTACTCTCTACATTTGCACACACTATTCAAATAAAATGAAAAGTAATTAAAATAACTAGGAAAAGCTGCAGATAAACTACACATTTTTAAACAATGAGACTTAGCAGAGCACTAAGGTGCCAGGCACTAAGGGAGCCCACGCTGCACACATGAGATGCCGGCACTAGCGCATGTGCCGGCCACATGGGTCCTGGCTCATCTTTGACTCCTCACCGTCCCTTCCCCACAAGCCACCATCCAAAGGCCCAGCCATCCAAAGCAACAGAACTACCCACAACATCCAGAACCAGAGAGCAGGGGCCTCGGGAGCCTGACCCCACCCGGAGTGCAGTCCAGGCCCTGAGGGATCCAGGACACAAAAGGTCACTCAGCAAAGACCCCACCTTTAATGGCAGCCACCCCCTGCCCGGACCTCTAGGCGTCAAGACAGTCCAGGGGTACCTCAGGTGACTGTGGGACCCCACTGGTGCCTCTGGTGAAGCGGCAGGCCCCTCCTGGGTGGGCAGAGCAGGTCCTGTTACTCAACTTCCAGAGTCTAGAAGGGCGCAGCTCTGTAACCGCAGCACAGGGATGTCAGCGAGGCGTCCAGGCAGCAGCCCACGGTCTGGCTCTACCGACGCCCCACCCTGTGCACTACAGCCGGCCAGGGCAGCAAGCCAGAGCCACTCTCACGAGCAAACGTGCTCCCCTCCTCCCACGTCTACATCTCCTGCACCAGTGTGCTCAGCTTGGAGGGGCTCAATCTGCCTTTCTGCCCCCTCATCCCTGAGCCCTTGCCCCAGGGCTTCTTCAGGACCCCCTGGGAAGGGAGAGCAGAAGGGGACTACAGGCTGCCACTGCCGACCCCAGCACAGGCGCCTTGGGACTTAGTGGAGTGGGTACCAGATGGAAAGTGAACAGACTGCCTAATTTAGCATCCAGCTTCTAACTTTGAGGACAGCTGCCATACCCCTGAAGATGCTGCTCTGTGTTTAACTGAGAAAGGGATCAAAGAGCCCTCTGGAAGCTCTGGTTGAGTCAGAACAACCACCTGCCCCACCTGTGAACTCTCGGGAAAATCGTGCTGAGAGGTGATGCTAGAGACAGCACCTGTCTGTCCTCAGAAGAAGTTCTTGATCAGTGGAGTCACCATCTTCACCCACAGCTTCACCTGGCGACTCGGCTGCTCGAAGGTGGCAGAGGACACCACACCTGACCTCAGGTAGAGCTGCTCTTGCTCCTGAGGAAGAGGAACAGACAGGAATAGTGAGGAGTCCCCTCCAGCACCACACCACATGGCCGGCTGGCCCCAGCCCAGCCCCTCAGGCCAGCCCAGAAAACCCTGACTTCCCATGTCTACCTGGCCCAGAGATTCCCAGGGTGCTCTGGTGGCAGGCAAGGCCAGGCCCTACAAGTTGCCACTGTCAAACATTCCTTAGAAAAGCTAAGAAGCCGTGTTCCTAAAGACTTTTAAGGGCTGGGCACAGTGGCTAAAGCCTATAATCCCAACACTTTTGGAGGCTGAGACAGGAGGATCGCTTGAGCTCAGGAGTCTGAGGCCACCCTGGGCAACACAGGGAAGACATCATCTCTATGAAAAAATTCTAAAAATTAGCCGGGTATGGTGGTGTGTGCCTGTAGCCCCAGCAACTTGGGAGGCTGAGGTAGGCAAGGGTTTCAGCCCGGGAGGTCAAAGCTGCATGAGCTGTGATGCTGCCACTGCAATCCAGCCTGGGTGGCAAAGTGAGACCTTGTCTCAAAAAAAAAACCCAAAAGGCTTTTAAGACCAAGACATGTAAAGGACTCTAAATTTCTTCAATTTAGAGTTGAAGAAATATAACTGGTGGAAAAAATATTTTAAATGTTCACCCTCACTAAACGAGGTAATGCATATTAAAATGAGGTATTTTTTAAATGAGACACAGTTTTTCTTCTATCAAATTGGCACAAAGCCAATTTGTGCCAATGACATCTGTGATGTCATTATCCCCCACACTGATGAACGCTTAGTGCTGAGGGCAAGGGGGACAAGTCATCCTCTAGAGTGAGCTCTGGCAACAGGTATCAAGAACCTTATAAAGCTCCCTTTGCAAGAGCTTACCCCAAGAAAATCACTATGCGCTAAGATTTTTATATACAGATATTTATCACAATATTTATAACAAGGAAAAACTGGAAACCACCTAAATGTCCAACAGTCAACTTATTAACAACTCATATGACAAACCAGCATTCACCACGAACTTATTAACAACTCATATGACAAACCAGTTTTCGCCATGAGAAGAGTGTTGACCTAATCATATGGGAAAGTGCCCAGAAATCGGCAGGCAAAGGAAGCTGGACACGAAATACACACACACGACAGAATCGTCATCTGATGCTTAAAGCTGTGCCTCCGTGCGCTGTACACAGAAGGCAGGCGGCCAATCATCACAATGGCTTCAGTGGTTTTCCCTACAGAAAGGGTTAGTTTCTTTCCGTTTTTCTTAATTTTTATAGTGAACACATGTTAATTTCATATTTAAAAACAGGTTTAAAAACATTTATATATGCGGCCGGGCGCGGTGGCTCACACCTGTAATCCCAGCACTTTGGGAGGCCAAGGTGGGAGGATCACTTGAGGTCAGGAGTTCGAGACCAGCCTGGCCAACGTGATTAAACCCCATCTCTACCAAAAATACAAACATTAGCCGGGCGTGATGGCATGCACCCATAATCCCAGCTACTCAGGAGGCTGAGGCAGGAGAATCGCTTGAACCCGGGAGGCAGAGGTTACAGTGAGCCGAGATCGTGCCACTGCACTCCAGCCTGGGCGACAGAACAAGACTCCATTAAAAAAAAAAAAAAAAAAAAATTTATATATGCTTTGTCCGAAATGGTGTTTGGGATCTTTGAAAAGCTTCTCTTGTAAGAGTCTGCCCTCCAAGTGCTCTCTCCTCAGTGTCCTCAGTGGGGCGCCTGGCAGCGCTCACACAGTTGCACCGCGACTCTAGCCCTCTCTCCTCCACTGAGTCTCCAGCGCTCTCCACCGTAATGTCCGGGCCATACCTACATCCACACCGCCGTGAGGACCACAGGTGATGACCACAGAAGCACAGTGCCAACCGCAGGACAGCAGCAGCGGTGGCCTGTGCCACTCAAAGTGGCACACTCCCTGCTCAGGAGGCCGGGAGGGAGGACACAGCCCTGGCAACTCCTCTGCCCCGGGGGGTCAGGAAGGGGTCACCCCACACTCCAGAACCCTACAGAATGTGGCCTTGGCTTTTCCCATCAAGAGCTGGGGAAAGCCAGGCCCCGACTTCATTACCCCCTGCCCCCGTCCCATGCTCAGTGGGCCCCATCGTGGGTCCATGCCACACTCCCAACTGAGCAGCCCCGCAGCCCCGCGTGTCACAGACATGGGGCCTCCTAATTGCTGCTGAGGTCCCAATCCCTGGCTGGACGTGCCTGATGGAAGAGCCAGCTCTGGTCTCAGGGGGCTGGTTTGCAGGAGTCTCCACAGACCTGGCTCCAGCTTTGTGTCTTCAAATGAATACCCGGCCAAGATTGCAACTAAATTACCAGAAACACTTAGGTTTCCTCACAGACTCCACAACAGGGATGGAGAAGGAAGTCAGCTGACGAGGTTACGACGCTGTTCGAGGGAGTCTTTCTTGGGTCACAAGTGGTAAACTGTGTTCCCTGAACAAAACCAGGAAGCTTTCAGTGTTTATTGTATGTACTAAGTGGAGGGAGGGGCTTCAGATTCTGATAAAAATATCTCCCCATTCCCAGTGCCCAATGTGACATGAATAGGAGGGCCCCTCCCTGAATTCCCAAGCAGATCTCCAGAGACAGCTTCAGAGAGCAGGGAGCCCACGGTGGCTGGGGCTTTAGGGACTTTCTGGGTTGTGGGGAGGCTAGAGGCTGGGCAGTCCCAGCAGGATTTGGCCTCTAGGGACCGGGCACTGTAGGGCTCAGGAGAGCAGCTGCCGTCCCAGTATATAAGCATAGGTGGAATTATCTGGAAACATATTTCTGCGTTTCACAGGCAGAGAAATCAGTCTATCCCTAAAGAATGGAAGAGCTACAGTAGCAGACCTACCACCCTCCACCCTCCCACAGGCAAAAGCCCCTGAGATTCAGGTTTGGGAAGAAAAAGAAAATATCCCAAATATGTCATTTGAGAAAGCAGCTGCTAACCACAGGCGGCCCCAGCTTTTCTCAAGATCCAGGATGTGGGTTCAGTGCCCTTACTAGGGCAGTGGGGGAGGACGGTCAGTACCAGGACCCCAGGCACAGGCCTGGAGGACTTGCTCCCCCAAGCAACTCAGATCCACGCAGAACCCATCCTGGCCCCTGGCCAAAGTCACCAAGGACTCTCTACCGCCCTGGCACAGAGCTACAGTGGAAGTCTCTGCGAACGGCTCTCTGCAATTGAAGTAGAAGTCCAGGAAAGCCCGCTGTTGAAAGCTGCAGGCTCAGGTCTTTCCCACTAGCCTGGCTCCAAGGCCAGCTTGTCACCCTATTACTGGAATCTCTCAGCTTGTGGGGGCTTCCTCAGTCATTTGCTGTAAACCTCACTGTAGGAAGAAACCTGAGCAAACCCATTACCCCACTGGCCCACCCAGAGGATGACCGCTTCACTTCCTCTTGCGCCTGTCGTGGTCGTGAAGCCTTTCCTGGCACCAAGGCCCCAATCAATCAGTCACTGACAAGATTCCCAGGCTGCAGGAGGACAGATCCCAGGGAACACATCAGTGACCATTTCCTCGTCCATCAACAAAGGCTCTGACAATTTTGCAACAGTTATTCCCAAACCCTGGAGCATAAAAGCTTCACAAAGTTACCGTCCGATGCCTCTGGGCTCTGGCCTGCGGCAGTGTTATCTGCATCTCCAGGAATGGAAAAGGGAAGTTGGTGCCTTCCATGGAAAAGTGTTATTGCAAAGGTCACGAATTCATGAGCCCAAGGCACCATCGAGGTCTCAGACAAAAGGGTAACACGCTCCCATTTCAAAAGTCTAACCACACTGTCACAGGTCATCAAATAGAGGGTCATCCCGAAGCATTCACCAACTCCTGGTAACCTTCTTTTATCTCCCTCAAAGAGAAAATGGGCTACTATTATCAAACGAGGGCCGAAACCACTGTTGAACCCTTTTATTTTTTGAGACAGAGTTTCGCTCTTGTTGCCCAGGCTGGAGTGCAATGGCACGATCTTGGCTCACTGCAACCTCTGCTTCCTAGGTTCAAGCGATTCTCCTGCCTCAGCCTCCCGAGTAGCTGGGATTACAGGCACCCGCCACCATGCCCGGCTACTTTCTTGCATTTTTAGTAAAGGTGGGGTTTCACCATGTTGGCCAGGCTGGTCTTGAACTCCTGACCTCAGGCGACCCACCTGCCTCGACCTCCCAAAGTGCTGGGATTACAGGCATGAGCCACCACACCCAGCCCCAATGCCGAACCTTTAACAGTTGACCCTTTGTCTTAAAAGGAAAAGGTCCCAGGGAGAAAATGGTGGTCTCCCCTAGTGCAGAGAAAGAAAAAGTCCCCAGGACGTGGGGTGCAACGCGTCTGGGAAGTCACAGGCATGATCTTCCAAGGCTCAGCCACCCATCACTGCACTCTTGGAGACCCAGAGTCTTTCTTGCTCTGCTCTGAGTCTCACTCGTTGCCTCAGGAAACAGCTCTCAGGGCAGCCCCACAGCACGGGTGAGCCTGGGCCCCCAGCCACACCCTCAGCGCCCTGGGAAATCCCACTTGCTGCGACCAACCTGGTGAAGCTGCTGCTGCAGGGCCTGGTTCTCCGTCACGATCGCAATCTGGGCCTCCAGGTCCCGGTGAACTGACCTGTACCCAAAATTAGGAGAGCCAATCAGCGTGAGACAGGGCAGGCTGCTCCCTGCCAGGTACAGCCAGAGGCCTGCGGGGAAAAGGAAACGTGCAGACAGGAAATGAGCACAGCATCTACCAAAGTCCTCTCCACACGCTGCTGCAATCTAAGAGAAAGGCGGCCTGCCCTGGGTGCCTGGACACGAGGGGCTGCTGCAGAGCGGCGGACAGGCCACACCAGGACTCACTCTTCCACCCCCACCCCGGCGCGGCAGGAAGCAGGGACCCAGGATCAGGGCGCAGCCTCAGCTCAACTGCTGGTCTTTGCTTTCACCATTCACACTGTGGCCTTGTGTCCCAAGCAGGACGAGAAGCAGGCTTTCCCAGAGGGAACATGGTGACGCCACCTGCCGACCTGCTCTCATACACCCCTGCCCAGCTGCCCACTGAGCCTCTCCCCAGAGAGCTCAGGGCCTCGAACCCCACTCTGAACTGCCTCTGCACATCCAGACCTGCTGACCCTGCCTGCTAAGCTCAGAGCCTGCACTGGCCATCCCTTCCTGTGAGCACTGAGAATCAGCTCACGCGTGCTTCTCAGAAGCAGCCACCTCAGCGCGCAACACGGCAGATGGTGAAGGACAACCACGCGACCCAAGCCAGCAGATGTGGGGTTGTCACGCGGGGTGGCAAAAGTGGCTGGTAAGAACAGGTCTGCCTTGAAGGCTGGCTGCCTTACAGGTCCTGGGTAGGCCGTCTGTGCCCTTCTGACTGAGGAACATGTAGTGAGTCTCCCTGACCCAGCCTCCCTATTTCAAGTTGCTGATGCACCAAAACCCTGTGAGGACAAAGGGGGTCCAGGCCTGGGACCTCTGCCATCACTGCCCACAGGGCCCAGGGACTTCCTGGCTGGAAAAGACAATGGAGGAGAAAGCTAAAGGGCCCTGTAAGTTTCTGTCACACCCAGAGAACAATATCCCCCTTTTTGCTGGGAAATGAGCCAGTCAGTATCACAGTTGGAGAAAAAGCAGGGCACGGGGTGCCACTGTGTGGCAGGGGGGGCCACACTACGAGGCCATTTCTGTAACAAGGCCACAGGCGTCCTCAGAATACTGACGTGTTACCTGAGATGACAAGCACAGTTTTGCGCCCCGTTCCACAACTTCCCGAGGTCCAGGGCCGACTCCCGCAGCCCAGCACCCATCAGAACTACTTCTAAAAAGACTGTTACCAAGACCTAGCATCCCAAGGACACGTGCTGCCTGAGACGCCCTTCCTCCCACAGGGCACCCAGGCTCGGCCTGAGCTCAAGACTTCTCTCCGTGCTGCCCTTCACCAGCACCAAGAATGCTTCCTGCCTGATGTCAGTGTGAGCAGGTGTGAGTGGGGGTGAGAAGGTAATGAGAGTGAGCAGGTGTGAGGGAGGGGGAGCAGGTGTGAGCAAGAGCGAGTGGCTGTGGGCAAGAGCAAGCAGGTGTGATCAAGTTTAAGTGGTGTGAGCAGCTGTGAGTGAGGGCAAGCAGGTGGCCACGGGCTCCTCTGGGGTGCCCTGCACTCATCCCAGCATCCCCGAGTTGCCCCTCCCCATGGGGTGTCAAGTTCTCCCCCACTGACACACCCCTTTCAAAGGACCCACACAACTGTCATGGGCGAGTCAACACAGTATGTAACATACACCAGGCTCCTAAAATAGAAGACGGTTTCCTAATCTTCACTCAGAGCAAGAGCATTTCCAAGAACATCTTGGGTAAGAGGTGACGAGGCCCTACGCCTGTTCCTGTAATGGGCTCGTCTCCACCCCTCCAAGGGCCACATCAAAGCCACTTGCTGGCCTGTGTGCATTGTGCCATAAACAGTACCGCTCCGCTGGGCCACTGGCCGTGCAGGCCGTTCACAGGACCACAGGTGTGGGCAGGCTGCCCCCTTCCCCTGGTGGCTCTGATCCAGATGGCTCACGCTGCCCAGGTTGGTCCAAGCCGAACAGCACTCATGGCCCCTCGTACACAGAGCCCCCCTCCCACCCCCTCTTCCCCAGAGCATGGAGCTGGCAAGACAAGGTGCAAGGCAGGCGTCCGCCAGCCTCAGACCTGAGACAGGAGCTTCCTCCCACCTGCCATTGCTCATTCCAACTTTTCTGATGACAAGATCAGCCTCTTAAAACAGTGGGTCTGTTCAGTGTGGCTTGTCCAGCTGGATCTCCTGAGCCCACTGAGGGAAGACTGACAGTGATGAGTAGGAAGGCCACACGCCCACATGGGTGACGAGGGTCAGGCTGCTCTGTGTCACGCCACCATGACTCGGTGTCCACCCCACAGCTCCTAGACCACAGAATCTGGTGGGGAAGGCTGGAGGTGCGTGGTTCTACACATGCTTTTTATTTGCCAAATCCACCTAAGCACTGGCTCGGTTCTTTATGAGGCCACCTAGAGGCCAGCGCTGAGGCAGACAGGCCACCTCCAGTGCACAACTTCATCATACGCACAACCGCTTCTCCATCTATTGCTCATTCCTGACCCCAAGATAGACTGTATACGTATCTGTAGACAGTCTCTATGTCTATCTATGTTTCCCATATAGAAAGAATAAGGGTTTTTCAGCAGGTGAGTGCTCAGGATTTGAGAGGTAGCTCACGTTTTCAACATACCTGAGACTGCCCAACAACTTCCCCGCCAGAATTATTTGCACTGCAATCTTTCTCCATCAGAAAGAAAATAACGACCACAGGCCAGTCTGATGCCCTCTGGGGAGCCCTAAGTAGACAGCATGAGTCAAGCACCTGCCAGGTCCAGAGATGCCACGGGGTGCTGCTGTGAGATGCCCACACCCCAGCATGCCCCACAGGCCAGGGCAGCTGGGAACAATGGTTTTTCAAGATTTCAGCTCACAAGTCAGTTTTAGCCATTGGTCTGTGCCCTGAGGACAACTGGGAAGTTTCCAACGGGAGAAGGGGAATCTAAAAGCCCTTACAGAGGTCAAGCCTGCAGTGAGCTAAGATTACCCCCACTGCACTCCAGCCTGGGCAACAGAGAGAAACCCTATCTCAAAAAAAAAAAAAAAAAAAAAAAAAAAAGCAGGAGCCCTTTAGTTCTGTTTCATCTCCCTCGCTCTAGGCCTGAGCGGTCTGGAGCTCCGGTCAGACCCGCACCACCAGTCAGGATGTCAGGCTGTGTATACACAGGGCTAAGACTATCAGGCCTGGGACTCGCTGTCGGGAAATCTGTTTCCCAGTCCAAGGCTGTAAACTGGTTATCACGCCCGACTCTTCATCCCAGGGCCTGACCTTTGGGCCTGACATCTTTACTATTCCAGGAACCATCAGATGAGGGAGACGTGCAGCAGGAACGATAGCCTGGGGAGGGAGGAAGCAGCCCTCTGCGGACCAAGTGCTTTTGGGAAGGGACTGACTGCTGGCAGTTCATGGGGCAGAGATAAATACTGCAGCCCTGGGTGCCAGAGAGGGCAGGGTGCAGGGGAAGCAGAGGCGGCTGCTACTCCACACTCACTCACTATAAATCAAGTGTCGCGGGGACACCAGAGGAGGACCTGGAGTTGGGACTGCTGCTGCCTCCCAGCTCTGGGCCTCCTCTTCAGAAAGGACGCCTGCCCCTGCTCTTCTGCACAGTCATACTGCCCTGCGGAAGGCTGATCCAGGCCTCGGCACTCCTGGCCTCCATGGCAGCGTGCCATGGCTTCTGGGCCCTTTCCAATAGGCCCTGCCCACCCTCCAATCTCAGTGCCCACCACTCCCAGTGCCCCTGCTGTTCTGCAAGCCCCATGTGGTCGAGGAGGCTCCTCATTTCTCTCCCCTCTGCCAGGAAACTCCGGCCCCAGACGGTGGCATGGATGCTCCCTCTTCACTCAGGCCAACTGCCCGAGTGTCTACTCCTCAGCGAGGCCCTCCCTGAGCCCCCTTGTAACAGATCCTGCAGCAGCCTGGAGCCTTCTCTTGCTCTGCTCTTCGTAGCTCGTTCCGATATTTGTAGAGACGCATCTGCTTATTATCTGCTTTCCATCAAAGTATAAGCCTTAGGAGGGCAGGGAGTTAGTCTGTCTGGTACCCAGTGACCCATTCCCAATGTCCCGAATGATGCCTGGGACACAGCTGGTATTTGTTAGATATCTGTTTGAATGAAATAAACAAACTGAGAGTAATAATGTCTCTCCCAAAAAAGGTCAAATTAAGTGTAAAAAAAGCTCTGACGGCCAGGCGCAGTGGCTCAACCCCGTAATCCCAGGACTTTGGGGGGCCAAGGCGGGCAGATCACAAGGTCAGGAGTTCAAAACCAGCCTGGCCATCATGGTGAAACCCCATCTCTACTAAAAATACAAAAACTAGCTGGGCATTCTGGTGCGTGCCTGTAATCCCAGCTACTGGGGAGGCTGAAGCAGAAGAATGGCTTAAACCCAGGAGGCGGAGGTTGCAGTGAGCCAAGACCACGCCACTGCATTCCAGCCTGGGTGACAGAGCAAGACTCCGTCCCAAAAAAAAAAAAAAAAAAAAAAAAAAAAAGCTCTGAAGTTTTGGTTTTGTTTTATTTTATTTTGAGACAGAGTTTCGTCTTGTCACCCAGGCTGGAATGCAATGGCGCGATCTTGGCTCACTGCAACCTCCGGCTCCTGGGTTCAAGCGATTCTCCCACCTCAGCCTCCTGAGTAGCTGAGATTACAGGCGGCTGTAACCATGCCCAGCTAATTTTTGTATTTTTAGTAGAGACGGGGTTTCACCATGTTGGCCAGGCTGGGTCTCAAACTCCTGACCTCAGGTGATCCACCCGCCTCTGCCTCCCAAAGTGCTGGGATTACAGGCGTAAGTCACAACTGCACCTGGCCTATTTTGTTTTTCTGTTTTGTTTTGTTTTGTTTTGTTTTTGAGACGGAGTCTCACCCACACTGGGGTACAGTGGCACGAGCTCAGCTCACTGCAACCTCCGTCTCCCAGGTTCAAGTGATTCTCATGCCTCAACCTCCCGAGTAGCCGGGATTACAGACATGCACCACCACACCCGGCTAATTTTTGTATTTTTAGTAGAGACACAGTTTCACTATGTTGGCCAGATTGGTCTCAAACTTCTGGCCTCAGGTGATCCGCCTACCTTGGCCTCCCAAAGTGCTGGGATTATAGGTGTGAGCCACCACGCCAGGCCTTTGCAGTTCTAAGGCAGAAGTGTATGAACATTTTAAGAGTACATGCATGAACACATACTCCTCCCTCAAGCACTCCCACAGTATTCTGCAATAAATCTTACAGGGTTCTCAGACTCCAGTAAAAACACGGAGGGGACAGAAGACATCACAGGCTTATCCTTACAGGATAAGCACTCACCTGCTCTGACATTAGTACAGCTCTGAGAAACTGTAAGGGCCCACAGGCTGGTGTGTGTGCTCAGCCTGAAGCAAGCAATTTGCACGGGCACAGCACCCCTACCACACCCACTGGGTGCCCAGGGGAGAGCCGCCTCACGTGTGGCCTAGGCAAACAGGGTGGGGCTGCCCGCCTCTCACCATCAGTTCACCTTTGGGCAGAACGCCAATTGGCCTATCAGGAAGGCAATAAAAATAGTGACATTCTCACAACCATTAACAGATTTCCCTGTCAGCATGAGCCAGAAATCTCTTAATCCAACACCTGCTCCGCCCTAGCCACCCACATTGTGTTGTTAGTGCTAGAATACTGCGTCCAGAAGAAATGGAAGTCAACATGCTAAAACTCACTTTCTGATCTTCCTCATGAAATGCACGCCGGAGGGCAGAGCCCATGTCCCAGCAGATGGACACAGCCTGGCTCAGCACAGCATGGTTCCTGCCTGAATGTGATAATGGGATGGGCACCACTCACTCTGTCCCTCACCTCCATGGAGCAGAAAGATGAAGAGAGACATAAGAACTGGCTTGACACGGTTCATACTCAGCCTCCCCTGCACTGCCTCTCAAGACCTCGAAGCGAGCTTACTGGCAACCCAGCAGATACCACACTTTCAACGGCTGACAAGGCCGGGCTGCTCCTGCCTGTACCCCACCCCCGATCAGGACCAGGCTTGGGAAGGAAAGCTCAGCACCCATCCAGATGTGTCTGCGGCAGCACGAGGCACTTCCCGTTAAGAGTCCAAATTCTACCCCAGCTCCCAGAACCTTGTCCCACCACACCTACTGGGCGAGGAGCGAGGGCCAGGCAACAGGAAACTGACAACCATGAATCAGAGGAACTGCCACCTGCCTGAGATCCAACCCAGATGCCCACTCAGCCCCACCTCCCAAAGCCAAGGCGATGCAGGTGAAGCGGCCTGGCAGCACCTTCCTTCACGACCGAATCAGCGCAACAGAACTACAGGGAGCAAGGCCAGAGACACGGCACCAAGGGATCCAAGGCCCCCACCCCACTCCCTTCTGCCAATCTATTCGCTCAGGGACGCGCAGCAGCCCTCGGCCCCCAGTGTGATTTCAACCTCCACGCGCCCCACCAAGGTGCCTCACCTGGCCTAGGAACCATACGGTTATTTTATAGAAAGTCAAATATCAGCCCTGTTCCCCGTGTCCTCCTGACAATCTAGAGCCATCCCCCCGACTGCACAGGAAAGAGGTTAAGCCAGGCCCCTCAGCTGTGGCCACAGGTAAATGTGGACTCAGAACCAGGCTTCTAGACTTCAAGTCTAGTAATCCCTATGCCAAATCACACTTGCATGGCTTCTCCTGAGTATTCTGAATAGGCACCCTTTACAAAAATCCAAATAAGAATGAAATAGATAAACCATATTGCAAAAGAAGTCTCTAGTGCATGCCTTTAAATAGTTGAGTGTTCCTCTGGTTCTTTGAAACAGCTCAATTTATTGAAATGTGATAGAGATACATGATAGACTGATTGACTGATTGATAGATAAAATATGTTAAGAAATCAGCATAGTATGCAAAAGAGGTGTATCAGGCTGTTGAACGATCGGCAAATGGTTATCACACAAGAATCTTTCCAACAAGGCATCTAAGCAACTGCCAGACAGTCCTGGCAATACTTGACAACACAGAAAACCCTTAAGAATAAAGGCCAGCCCTCTGAATTTTCTGTCACCAGACTGCACTGAAATCCACTGGCAGCTGCTGAGCCACGGGGTCATTTTACATGAGAAGGTGCCTCTTCCCCCCACGCTGCTCTTCCTTGCATCACCACACTCATGGGGCCACCAGCAAGTTCAACACAGTCACTCCGTGAAGCCTCTTGTTGCCTGGCTCCCAGAGAGTGCTGTGCTGACAGCAGAGTGCTGTCTGAGGGGCAAGGATCTAGAATCCACAGAGTCCTGGCTACCTGTCTCTGCCCAAGGGCTTCTGGGAGCAGGAGGAGCTGAGATCAGCCCAGGCCTGTCCTACAGGACCTGAGTAAGGGAGTGGAGGTATCAGTGCATAGCCACCGGCAGGAATTTTCTGGGGCCCAAACACAGACACACCCAAGGAGGCACAGAGCCTGTACCCAGCAAGTGCCTTGCAAAGGGCAGACAGTCAGGAAATGAATGGTCCACTGGGCCAGCCATCGAAATCCACAAGCACCCTGCGGCTGCCCACTCATCTCTCACCTGACACACGCTGCCCTGGAGGAAGTGACCATCAAAAGATGGGCCTGAAGAGGTGCTGACTTAAGATCCCACTGGGGACACAACCACTGAGCAGGGAAGGACCCTCGCCTCTCACTTCAGCATCAAGTGACCTCTGACCTCTGGTTCCTGGCTTTAGGGTGAAGCCCCTCTGCTCAGCAGCAGCCCCCTCCACACACCATCCATCCCTCACCCACCTCTGCCAACTCTCCCCCAATCCCATCCCCCACATGGGCACGTGCCCTGGGATCCAGCTGTAAGATCATCCCCAATTTCCCACTCATCCAGCACTCCTGGGTTGCAGGGCACCCCCCGCCCCGACCCAACACCACCCACACCAGGGCAGGAGAGAGGGAGTGGCAGAAGCACATCAGTCCGGGAAAAGGCAAGACGCCCCAGAAAAGCAGGTTGGGTGTTTCTGTTTCAGCGGTAACTGGGGAGTCAGCTCACGTTTATCAAAGCCACTTCAGGGAAATAACCCGTGGCAGAGTCAGAAGCCACAGGCCAGGAGCCTCCCACCCTCCAGGCTGAGTTAAGGGGCCTCCTCATCGTTCCAGCACAGTGCAGTTGAGGAGAGCGACGCCTAGCCACTCCTCTGCACCTCTCCAGCACACGACAGTGTGGGTCTGAGGCCTCCCCAAAGGTCAAAGCTGCCCCACTGGCCAACTCTTTCAATACCCCATCCCTGGGTACTGCTGTTATTCCCAGAAGTAACGCCAATCCAAAAATACTTTCCACACCCGCCACGGGCTGGGGCCACCTGCCCTGAGACACTGACCACCAGCCTGGTTCAGCCACAACACATGCCAGGATGGGTCCTGCAGGACAGTGTGGCAGTCACTTCCCACACCAAACAATGCCACCTGCCTAGACAGGCCTGTGGGCCTCAAAGCAGCACGTGGGATGCCCTGGACATGCCAGAAGCTTCCCATTCCAAGCTGGGACAGTGGTTCTTAAGGCTAGGCTAGGCATCAGAATCTCCTAGGGGCGTTTTTTAAACACCATGGTGGGTTCAATCCCCACAGAGGTGGATGAAAGTCTAGGGGAACCTGGGCTTCAGTTTTTTTTTTCTTTTTTTGAGACAGAGTCTCGCTCTGTTGCCCAGGCTGGAATGCAGTGGCACGATCTCAGCTCACTGCAAGCTCCACCTCCCGGGTTCACGCCATTCTCCTGCCTCAGCCTCCCAAGTGGCTGGGACTACAGGCGCCCGCCACCACGCCCCGCTAATTTTTTGTATTTTTTTAGTAGAAACAGGGTTTCACCGTGTTAGCCAGAATGGTCTGGATCTCCTGACCTCATGATCTGCCTGCCTCAGCCTCCTAAAGTGCTGGGATTACAGGCGTGAGCCACCGCGCCTGGCCGGCTTCAGTATTTCTTACAACGCATCCCCCAATTGAAAAACATTGGTTTAAAGAAAACAAAAACAAAAACAAACCACCTGAGCACCGGAAGATGCCTCGAGTCTCAACAACACAGCTGTGTGCCTACTGCAGTCCACAGCCTAGATTCCCCATCCATGGAGGCCCCCCACTCACTCAGCTCTTCCGAAAGCCACTAGAACCAGGACAAGAGAAGGAGCAAAACAGGCCTCTGGACTGCCCAGGGAGAAGCCAGAAAAGCCGTGGGATGTACTCATGGCACAGGGGCCTCCAGGCACCATTTCCCCTTCTCTAGACAGACTAGCTCCAGGATTGGGGGTCCCCAGCGTCAGAAAGGAGTCATGGTCCCGCTGCTAGAGGCGGGCACCCTCCCAGCATTAAGAGGCCATGCAGTAAGCCCACTGCTAAGCACAGGGTTTCCAGCATGTTATACCCATGTCTTAGAGAGCTGCCCCTGGGATTCTGCCCCATTTCGGCTGCTCCGCCAGATGCCTGAGAGGGATAAACATGCATTGCAGAGTGTGACCCTCTTCCTACCACCCCCACCAGCAAGACTGTGCACAGAGCCTCCATTTCCTCAGCTATGGGGAAAAAAGGCAGACATTGGCATATAGGGAAAAAAACAATAGCAATAGTGAGGAAAAGACAAGAAAACTGGGCTGCTGATGCCAAAACAAATGATCCCTAATGAATCTTCTTTCTCCCTGAGAAAGGCATTGCCAGCCGGGCGCAGTGGCTCACGCCTGTAATCCCAGCACTGTGGAAGGCTGAGACAAGTGGCTCACAAGGTCAGGCATTCGAGACCAGCCTGGCCAACATGGTGGAACCCCATCTCTACTAAAAATACAAAAATTAGCCAGGCGTAATGGTGCATGCCTGTAATCTCAGCTACTAGGGAGGCTGAGGCACAAGAATCATTTGAACCCGGGAGGCAGAGGTAGCAGTGAGCTGAGATCGTGCCACTGCACTCCAGCCTGGGCAACAGAGCAAGACTCTGTCTCAAAAAAAAAAAAAGTTGCCAACAAGCAGGAACTCTGACAATCAACACAAGGCTAAGGGCCGGGCGTGGTGGCTCACACCTGTAATCCCAGCACTTTGGGAGGCCAAGGCAGGTGGATCACCTCAAGTCAGGAGTTCAAGGCCAGCCTGACCAACATGGAGAAACCCAATCTCTACTAAAAATAAAAAATTAGTCAGGCGTGGTGGTACAGGCCTGTAATCCCATCTACTCGGAAGGCTGAGGCAGGAGAATCGCTTGAACCCAGGAGGAGGAGGTTGCGGTGAGCCAAGATCGCACCATTGCACTCCAGCCTGAGCGACAAGAGTGACATTCCATCTCACAGCTAAGGCATGTTCCTCTCCATCTCTTAGGAGAGGTTATGTCACCACATCTTTACCACAGCCACCAAATAATGTGACCATATACAGTCTTTGATGCATAAAAGAGACGGATTTTACACAACTGAAATTCACTTCTTGGGAGGCAAGGCAGGCAGACCACTTGAGCTCCGGAGTTCAAAACCAGCCTGGGCAACATGGTAAAATCCCATCTCTACAAAAATACAAAAATTAGCCAGACATGGTGGCACGCGCCTGTAGTCCCAGCTACTCAGGAGGCTACGGTGGGAGGACTGCTTGAACCGGGAAGTGGAGGTTGCGGTGAACTGAGATCATGCTACTGCAGTCCAGCCTGGGAAACAGAGCAAGACTGTCACAAAAAAAAAAAAAAAAAAAAAATTCCCTTGAGGAGATGAATGCTCGCCTCTCCCCAAGTCATGGGACAGCTATGATGTGCCTGCAAGGGCTGCTGGGAAGGTAGGAAGGGAGAAGTACAGCACTCTAACAGGTAGGCGCCAGGGCTCCCCACCCCCTGCCCATGTTTGTGGCTGTCCCACACTGGAACGTCCTCCAGCCAGCCGCTGCGCACCTTTGGCGTGGAACGTCCAGCCCCTCCGCCAGTACTCCTGAAGCTGGACCCGCTCCTGCTGTCCCAGGCTGCACACCTCACTGAAGAACTGTCGCTCGATGTGCACATAGGCCGCTGGGATGGCGCCGGCCACCCCCTTGGCCCCAAAGAAGCCATTCACCTCTGGTGAGGCCAGCAGGATCTGGTACTCAGCCCGAGTGCCCAAGACCAGGTCCATGTAGGCCTGGGTCAGGTTGAAATAGCCAGTGGTGAGGTAGACCTTTGCCCCGCGCTCCGCCTCAGTCAACAGGGTCTCAGTGACAATCTCATCGATTTGAATCTCGAAGGGCTTCATCTGAATCAGCGGATAAATCCAGGTGTCAGGGGCTGGTCTGCGATCCCCAGCAGCTGCTGCATCTTCCTGGGTCAAAAGAGAGTTGCTGTGGAAGGTCTGGGCATGCAGCATCTGCTGGCGGGTCCTGGCTGAGTTGATCACATCCATGACCCTCTTATTGGCTGCCTTGCAGTACTCGGCCCGGTCCCCTGGGGAAGACGTGAAAGAAGAGTGAAGGGAAGAGAAATGGAGGGTCTGGACTCTGCCCAGCTCAGGGGACAGGGCATGTGATAGGCAAGTGCAGACGCTACAACTGGATGTTCACTGAACACTCGCTGAGTGGGCCCAGGACCCCAAGCCCAGAGCGAGGCTCCTCTGGGGATATAGTTTGCCCAAGACAAGGGCCTGGTCCACAGTAGCCCACACTCAGGCAGAAGTGAAAGGCATGTCGACGTATCATTCCAATTACAAACAAGCTCAAAACCAGGCAAGACAAACTGACAGGGAGAGAAATCAGGATAGTGGTTACCTTTGGGATAATTCCTTGGGGGGGACATACGGGGGGCCTCCAGGAAGCAGGTCCACTAGCAGCAGGTTCATGGCTGTACACCTGCGACTGGTGCTCGGGGTGCATGTTCTACTTCAATAAGGAAGCTCAGTCAAATAAAGACATGCAAGTATAACCAAAAAAGGAGCATGCGTATTCCACAGATGGGGTCACAGGGCAAGCCATCACCTTGGATAAGCACATCACCATGTGGGAAAGCTTCCCACAGCAGTGACAGTGCCTGAGAGAGAGGAAGAACGGGCAGGCTCAGGCTCTGCATGGGGTGCCTTTTGTATTCGGACAAGACACTGGTGACAGGTGACCATGCAGACACACTGAAGGGAAAGATGCTATTATCAGACAAGACAAAGCTGAAAATTAATGAGTTAAGCATCCAACTCAGGAAGACAGGGGAAAGAAACAACAGAATAAAACCAAGAATACAGTATAGGGAAGCAAAAAATAAAAATAAGAACAGGCCGGGCACAGTGGCTCACGCCTATAATCCCAGCACAGCACTTACGGAGGCAGGAGCGGGCAGATCACCTGAGGCCAGGAGTTTGAGACCAGCCTGACCAACATGGTGAAACCCTGTCTCTACCAAGAGTACAAACATTAGCCAGGTGTGGTGTTGTGTGCCTGTAACCCCAGCTACTCGGGCAGCTGAGGCTGGAGAATCACTTGAACCTCGGAGGCAGAGGTTGCAGTGAGCTGAGATCGTGCCACCACACTCCAGCCTGGGTGACGAGAGCAAAAACTCCATCTCAAAAATATATACATACATATGTGTGTGTGTGTGTGTATATATATATATATATATATATATATATATGAATAGAAATTACTAGAATGAAAATGATACAAAAATGGAGAATATCAACTGTCCAAAGTTGATTGTCTGATAAACGATTGATAAAACAACAAGGCTTTGGCAAGGCTGATCAGGGAAGTGAAACAGGGAAGGAGGGCTGTCCCAGGTCATCCTTGCTGGCTTGCATGGTCTGAGCTGGGGGCAGGAACAGACACTCAGTGCCTTTCAGGGCTGGGCTACAGAACAAAGAGAAGGACCATCCCATGCAGGAGTCTAGCCTGTTGATGCCAACACCCTCCAGGGGAGAAAGGAGTCACACTGCCACATGCTGGACAGGGCTGCCGGAGGGAGGAGCACCGGGGGGCCCTGCGCACACCCTGAGCCTCTCTGTGGACTCATTCTCCCAAGCACAGCTGGGCTCGAGTCTCCCCGCTCCTGCTCGGAGCGTGCTGGCTCTCATCCTGGCCTAAGCATGGCCTGTTTTCTCTCATATCCATGCCTGGCCCGTTACATTAGACCAGGGATCCACACACATTTTCTTTAAGGGTCAGATGGTAAATATTTTAGGCTTTCTGGGCCAAAAGGCAAAGCTGAGGATGCTAGGTAGGCACTCAGCAAGAGAGATACAGAGCTCCACAAGCTCTTTACAGATGAAATTCAAAATACAACAGTAGGAACAGTGCATGGCGGCAGGCAGAGCATCACACCATCACGGTCGGGGTCTGAGGCCCAGGGCTCCCCTGACACAAGGACAGGGCTTCCACCAGACGGCCCACTGAAATGCTTCCATTCTAGGTCCACAAGACGCAGAGAGCTCTTCTCCCAACAAGTTCCAACTTCAGCTCCTCCTCCCCAAGTTCAGACACTGCTGCAAATCCAGCAGCAGCTCTCTAAAGGCCATGGGGGAGCCACAGCCGCAGGAATCACAGGAATGCAAATGCCCCAGAACACTCACGCCAGAACCTGCCTGGTTCCAGTGGGCAGAGCTGAGAGCTCTTCCACTTCATTTTCCAGGCAGGGGGCCACAGAGCTCAAGGGAGCTGGGAGCCACAGGCCCAGGTGATAGGCTTGGGGAAATGGGCCCTAGGCGAACAGCTGCTGGCCTGGTTGCTTCCTGTGATGCAGGGCAGGCTTCTGGGTCACTCGCCCAGGCACACGTGTTCATTGCTGAGTAGCTATTTGTTAACTGCGTCCTGACCTGAGTTTGTCACCCCCCTGCTAGTTCACCTGAGACCTGGGTCACTAGGACACGCTGCTGCATACCCTTGCCTGAGTCCTCCTCACCTGCGTCTTCCCTCCCTGTAGTGCAAACCTGAGTGACTCCGCCTCAAGGAGTAGGAGTCCCAAGCCCAAGCTCCCACCTTTCTGGGCTGGCTCTCTCACCCACAGAGCATGACTGATGGTCAGTGAGTCACATCTGTCTGGCTTCAAGGACAAAAGCAGAATGAAGCCTTGCCACCCAAGTCCCCTATGCCTGTGGCAGAACCACCTAGAGTTGTGCTCTCCCGGGCCCTCACTCCACCCCACCCACAGCCATAGAAGGGTGTCAGCGGCAGCCCCTACCTTTGTAAGGATGCACCATCCCATCCACCACCTGCACCGTGTCGTCCCCCTGCAGCTGCAGGGACACATCCCCCACCGCGTCCACCAGCTCCGTGAAGAAGTCGGCAATCTCCGCACAGTCCTGCAGGAACACGTAGCGGTCCTGGCGGTTGGTGAAGTAGGAGTCACTCAGGTTTGCACTACAGGGAGGGAAGATGCAGGTGAGGAGGACTCAGGCAAGGGTATGCAGCAGCGTGTCCTGGTGACCCAGGTCTCAGGTGAACTAGCAGGGGGGTGACAAACTCAGGTCAAGATGCAGTTAACAAATAGCTACTCAGCAATGAACACGTGCAAAAGACAAAGCCAGAGTTGATCCAAGGTGACACAGCAAAGTGACCCACAGCCTCCTCCTCTCAAGGAGCCGACAGTGTAGCTGAGAAGAGGAGATGCAGACACAGAAAGTCAACTAACCACACAGGGCTTTTTTTTTTTTTGAGACAATCTCATTCTGTCGCCCAGGCTGGAGTGCAGTGGCATGATCTTGGCTCCCTGCAGCCTCCGCCTCCCAGGTTCAAGTGATCCTCCTGCCTCAGCCTCCCGAGTAGCTGGGATTACAGGTGTGTGCCACCACACCCAGCTAATTTTTGTATTTTTAGTAGAGACGGGGCTTCACCATGTTGTCCAGGCTGGTCTTGAACTTCTAACGTCAGGTGATCCCTCTGCCTCAGCCTCCCAAAATGTGGGATTACAGGCGTGAGCCACTGCGCCCGGCCCATGCAGGGCTATTTATCAGCGCCCATGTTTGTTTGTTCTCTCTGTCCCACTAAGTGACAGCTGCCACTGGTACAGTCCCAGAGCAAGGATGCAATCAAGGGCTTTCTCTCAGCACCAGCAACCCAATCCTGGCCCCACTGCCGAGGGGAGGGCCTGTGAAAGGGCCCATATTTATCAGCCTAAGGACCTGGACTTCCAGGTCTGACTCTTGTTTATTTTTCTGGCTCTGTCTACCTGACAAAGTGACTCATCCTCTCTGATCTGTTTCCACATGTACACAGTGAGGAAAATACTACAGAGGGTCACTGAGGGTGGAAACAGACAACATACCTGAGTGGCCAGCACAGACTAAGTGCCCTGTCAACAGTGGCTTCCAGTCAGCCCCCGGGGAATTCTAGCCTCAGTGGCAGAGACAGTGTCGGGGAGGTGCCGCGGGTGCACAGCAGCCAGACCTACAAGCAGGTTCTCCAAGACTGAGGGGAACGGGTTTCCCACTGTTCCTATTCCACTGCCCTCCAGCCTGCAGAGCAGGAGGGCAAAAGCACTGACGGTGGGAAGCACTCACCCGCTCAAGATGACGCTGTTGTCGAAGAGGTACACCTTAATGTGCTGGAGGCCGATGGTCTCGTTGAAGCGCTCAGGGATGAGGAGCCGAAGCAGCCCACGGAGGTGCGGCGTGTGAAAGAGGGAGACTCGGACCTGCTCTGGGAACCTCCGCAGGAGTGGGAGCAGCATTGTGCGGGAGTTCTTCCGGCCTGAACACGGACAGAGAAAACGGCACCTGACTCACAACAGGAAGGCGTCCTGCCCCCAATGAGGAGCCACCTCCACGTGGCCTCGCCTTCACCTGTGCCGTCCACCTGAATCAGTCACACCAGCTGGGGCTACTCCTAGCCAGAGGACTTCCAGGCCAACCTCTGTCCTGCATGCTGGCCATGTCTCAGGCCTGAAGTCCTCAGCGTGGCAGACGCCTGCTCTTCTTGCCACACAGCACCCATTCACCCTTCTCCTGGTAACTGCACCCAACCTTCTCCTGGGGCACTACCCCACCCACTCGCAGCATTTCTGCTCTGGGTGAAGACGACCCTACCCACCTTGCCCCTCACCCCCAGCTCCATGAGGGAGCACGCAGGCCTGGGCTGGGCTACTCGGCACACTCCAAGCTCCCAGCTGGGCATGCCACCGTCAGGCCAGTCAGGAGCTTTGACCCGATTCTCATGGAATCAGACTCTTCCAAAAGACAAGGTGTCATGGGGAGACAAGCCTAAGCCACCAGGGGCCACCACACAGAGCCTGAGAAGGAAGCCAGCCCAAAGGAAACAGCTAGGGGATGAATCCTGGTGACACGGCCAAACCCCAAATCACAAGCCACCCAAAGCAGATCAGTCACAGGAGTCCACAAAAAGTCTTTTTGCCTAAGGCAGTTTTTCATGAGACAAAGTCTGGCTATGTTGCCCAGGCTGGACTCAAACTCCTGGCTCAAGCAATCCTCCCACCTCAGCCTCCCACGCAAGTGGGACTACAGGGCATGCCACTGCACTCGGCTCCTGCCTAAGCTGTTTTTAGT
Organism: Homo sapiens; assembly: GCF_000001405.40. Classification (NCBI taxonomy): domain Eukaryota; kingdom Metazoa; phylum Chordata; class Mammalia; order Primates; family Hominidae; genus Homo; species Homo sapiens. Next base: position 78,398,535 of record NC_000017.11, on the reverse strand, counting down.
TGGGCTTTCAGTCACTTGCTGAAGAAAAAAATCCTAACTCACACAATCAGGCAGCCCTGGGCCAGCTTGGATGATCTTCAAATAGCCTTGACTCTGCCTGGGGATGAGGGGGTGACAGTAACCCCTCTTGGGACTGAGGATCTGACACAGGAAGCAGGAGGGGCCAGGCTTGCATGCCACCTACCTCGTGAGCCCCGCGTGAAGTCTAAGAGAATGGAGACCTTGAGATTTGAAGGAAACTTTGCTTGGAGTGACTTTTCTAGAGTACTTTCCAGGCAGTCCACCTACCAAGAAAGAACACAGAAAAGAAGATTAAGACCCAAAGAGGTGTGTGTATTTAAAGAAAAACAAATCGCCCCATCGGCTAGTGCCCTCGTCATCTTCTCCAAAGATAGGTTTGTGCCATCAGCACTCGGACACCAACACCACAAAAGCTATCTGTCTGAGAGCACCTTCATGATCATCAGAAGAAGCACCCAGGGGCCTGATCGGCCCAGGCCTCCAGGAATGGAAAGGGACCTGCAGGCAGAGGCGTGCTGCCTGACAGCCAGCCCGTGCCACCCTGGAAACGCTACGACACCAGGTCTCACGTACATTTCAACACAGACAATCCTCACAGACACAACCAACAGTGCCCTCCTCGTAAAGAGTGCTTAGTAAATATTTGGCAGATGAATGAATCCAAGACACGGCCTGCCCACTGGCCACTCTCCGCAGTGCGGACATTCCATTCTTCTCCCATGAGAACACACAGGCTTCCAGGCTTGGAGTGGAGGGTATATCCTAAAAATAGAGGGAGGCGGCCGGGCGCAGTGGCTCAGGCCTCTAATCCCAGCACTTTGGGAGGCCAAGGTGGGCACATCACCCAAGGTCAGGAGTTTAAGACCAGCCTGACCAACATGGAGAAACCCCGTCTCTACTAAAAATACAAAATTAGCTGGGGGGGTGGCGCATGCCTGTAATCCCAACTACTCGGGAGGCTGAGACAGGAGAATCGCTTCAACCCAGGAGGCGGAGGTTGCGGCAAGCCGAGATCGCGCCATTGCACTCCAGCCTGGGCAACAAGAGCAAAACTCCGTCTCAAAAAAAAAAAAGAGGGAGGCCTCCTTCCTAGGAGAGGCAGAAAGGGGAGGTGTGAACCCACTGCACCTCCCTCTCCACACTCCAATCCCTATAGCTCCCACCAGTAACTCTGAACAAGGACAGACCAAGAAACGGCACTAACTCTGGGCAATGGGCCCGTCTGTTTCACTATACCGAGCGGAAAGCAATCCCAGGAGACCCAAGAGAAAGCAGTGATCTCATTCACAGACTCACTTCAGCTGAGCCTCAGATCCCGCCATGCACCAGAACCTGCGCTGGCCCCAACACCTCATATAAACCTGGTGACTGCTGGCTCCTTCCCACCCACCTATCTCACTGTAAGTGACAAGTGTGGCACAACAGCAAGTCCGAGGGAAACAAGGCTGGCCGCAGCCCTGGCACTTGACACCAGCCCTTGGCAGAACGAGCCAGCCAGCCCAACTTGCACTCAGGTCCGTTTGTCTAGTACAGGGTCAGAAAGCCTTTTGTGTAAACGGCCAGAGAGTAAATATTTGGAGCTTTACGGGCCAAATGGGCACTGTCACAACTACCCCGTTCTGCCACTGCAGCATGAAAGTGACCACAGACAATACACAAATGAATGAGTGTGGCTGTGTTCCAACAAAAGTTTGTTTACCAATACAGAAATTTAAAGTTTTCATAAGTCACAAAATATTATTTTTTCTCTTCCCCAATTATTTGAAAATGTAAAAACCATTCTTTCTTAGCTCACAGTCTACACCATAACAGGTGGCAGGCCACAGTCGGCCAAGCCCTGAACTGGCAGACAGAGCTGCCTGGGGCCCTGTGTGGGTAGGAGGACACTGCCAGTGAGGCCTAGAAGGCCCAGACCAGACCTCTTCAAGCTCTCCTCACCAGGCCCTCCCCCATGCTCTCCTCACCAGGCCCTCCTGACATGCCCATATCTGGGGCAACAAAAACAAGAGCTGGCTCTGACATGGAGGCCAAGGAAAGGCAGCTCCACACCAACTGCATGGCACAAAAAGCTGTGGCATGTTGGGGCCCATTCACTATTGCTGCCACAACCATCTCCCCATAAACCTTACCAGCTCCTGTTCCAAAGGACCTGTCCCCAGGTAGAGGGATGCCATCACGACCCGCCTCTTGGCTACTCTTATCTGCCCCTGAGAGAGGAGAAAAATTCAAAATTCAAATTCATCATTTTCATGGTTCACTAAGAAAACAGAACCCTTTGACCTGGGAGGCAAATCCCACTCCAAGCTGAACTATCCTATGTCTTCACCAATTAATATTTAAAGCAAGCTCGAAACGTGTATGGTAACCTCCCAAATAAGGTCCCACAATCCTAAATGAAAATACTCAGCCTGAAAAGTAAAGCTCAGTCTAGGCCAACTATAAAATGCAACACGGCCATTAAGAAGAATGAAGGCAGGCTGGGTGTAGTGGCTCACGCCTATAATCCCAGCACTTTCGGAGGCCGAGGCAGGCAGATCACTTGAAGCCAGGAGTTTGAGACCAGCCTGGCCAACATGGCGAAACCCTGTCTCTACTAAAAACATAAAGATTAGCCACGCCATGGTGGCGCGTGCCTGTAATCCCAGCTACCTGGGAGGCTGAGGCAGAAGAGTCACTTGAACCCAGGAGGCAGAGGTTGCAATGAGCTGTGATCACACCACTGCACTCCAGCCTGGGCAACAGAGCAAGATTCTGTCTCAAACCTGCCCTCTTTACCTTCTACCCATCTGCAGTTTCCAATGTCCATACTGGGCACGAATCACTCTTGAAACATAGATGGACAGGTATATAGACACATGAGCAGAACACATCAGTGCCCCAAGATGATACCCCAAATCAGTCCTAACAGCCAGGGGGCCTCTCCCTAGCAGCTCCACCCCAGAGAAGGAGGCAGGGGTACAAAGAATGGCAGTGCTACCATAGGTCAAACCCCCAAAAGATACATAGGAGACCCAGGTGAGAGGGAGGCAGCTTCACATCTACCTGCTTCCCTATGAGAAGGAACAACACAGCCCACCCTGCATTGTCAACACAGGAAGACAGGCAACTTGACTAGACAGAAACATGAACAATCACTAGGAAAGGCTTCCGGACAAGGAAAAAACAAAGCAACTTCCCAAGGTTGCTATTTCCTTTGTTTTGTTACCAATTAAAACAGATGTTTGTGGGGGTGATGATTATAAAGAAAGGGAAAAAATAAATAAGGCATAAGACAATTTAGTTCAGGCAACCGAAGCATATCTGACTGTTTACTACAGGACACCAGGCCCCACAGCTATAATGAAGACATGGGGACCAGGCAGAAACCAGCACTGTCCTCCCTTCTCGCTGTGCGCCCTGGGAAGAAACACGTGCTACTCGGTGTGACACAAACCAGAAGAATCTGCCCACACTTCAGCCCAGATGGCAGGGAAAGGAGGCCCTGGGGTCTTCTCGGCCTGCTGAGGCAAGCCTCTCTGCCCCTTCCTGCTCTCTGCAAGCCCACCCTCCTCAGGCAGGGCCCGACCTCCTGGCCAGGGGATCACTATGTGGAGACAGTCAGTCATCCTCCCAGAGTCAATTAGGACAGAGAAAACTGCCTTTGAAAAACCTGTTTCTTCAGGCTGGGCACGGTGGCTAATGCCTGTAATCCCAGCACTTTGGGAGGCCGAGGTAGGCGGATCACCTGAAGTCGGGAGTTCGAGACCAGCCTGGCCAACATGGAGAAACCCTGTCTCTACTAAAAATATAAAATTAGCCAGGCATGGTGGTGCATGCCTGTAATCCCAGCTACTAAGGAGGCTGAGGCAGGAGAATCACTTGAACCCAGGAGGCAGAGGTTGTGATGAGCCGAGATCGTGCCATTGCACTCCAGCCTGGGCAACGAGAGCGAAACTCCGTCTTAAAAAAAAAAGAAAAGAAAAGAAAAGAAAAACCTGTTTCTTCAAGCCAAGGAGAAAATCAATTAGGAGCAAAGAGCCAACAGTTGCAGCATCATTCGGTACAAACAAGGACAGGTGAGCAGAGCAGGGAGGCAGGTGAGAGGGGAGAACAAAAGGACACGCCTGTGTGCACACAAAGAATGCACTCTGAATGAGCCAGTCAAGCTAAGCGTGGATCAACAAACAGAACAAAAGCGCAAAAGGAGAGAAAATGGGCAGGCACTCAAATGAGTGAGTTCATTTTCTGCACAAAGGTGAAAGGGGAGTCTCTACCCAGATTTCCTATTGTCTCTCAGCATTCTACCTGCTTGCCTGGCCCCATCAGACCTTCATTCTTTTTTTTTTTTTTTTTTTTTTTTTTGGGAGATAGAGTCTCGCTCTGTTGCCCAGGCTGGAGTGCAATGGCGCGATCTTGGCTTACTGCAACCTCCACCTCCCGGGTTCAAGCGATTCTCCTGCCTCAGCCTCCTGACTAGCTAGGACCACAGGTGTGTGCCACCCTTCCGTATTTTTGGTAGAGACAGGGTTTCACCACGTTGACGAGGCTGTTCTCGAACTCCTGACCTCAGGTGATCCACCGGCCTCAGCCTCCCAAAGTGCTGGGATTACAGGCATAGGCCCCACCACGCCTGGCCTAGACCTTCATTCTAATATCACTGCTAATACAAACTCAGAGTTCATGCTGTTAAAAATCAGTGTTGATTAGTGTTCATTCCAATGAGCAGTTTAACCAGAATAACCAGATGTGGCATGTAAACCTGAGTAACATGTTGAAAGCTGAACCCCCCAAATGCAAAACTTACATCACTACCAGGAGAGGAAAGGCACACACTTAAGACAGAGTCCCTAAAGAACCAAGACTACAAGCCTTAGACCCAGGATGTCTAGATTCCCAGTTACTTTGAAAGGCCTCTTCATGCATATCAAATCGCACCCACGAGTTTTTACTTCCTACTACATCTACCAAGATGACACTACTGTGTTTGGAGATGATTCCCGGGTTAGGGGTCCATCATACACAGACTAGATAAAGATGCCCTCCTCCCCTGTCACCTTTAGCAAGGACATACCCATGTGACCCACGGGTCCTCAGTCCTCACCAACCTCCCTTCCCGTGGTCCACAACTTCACCATGGAGGAAAAGGAATCAGTGCGCCCATAAGAATCAAAGTCTAGGCCGGGCGCGGTGGCTCATGCCTGTAATCCCAGCACTTTGGGAGGCCGAGGCGGGTGGATCACGAGGTCAGGAGATCGAGACCATCCTGGCTAACACAGTGAAACCCCATCTCTACTAAAAATACAAAAAATTAGCTGGGCGTGGTGGCAGGCGCCTGTAGTCCCAGCTATGCGGGAGGCTGAGGCAGGAGAATGGCGTGAACCCGAGAGGCGGAGCTTGCAGTGAGCCAAGATTGAGCCACTGCACTCTAGCCTGGGTGACAGAGCGAGACTCCATCTCAAAAAAAAAAAAAAAGAATCGAAGTCTAGGCCCGTGGCCGCACACAGTGGCCAGTACTTTGGGAGGCCGAGGCAGGGGGATCACTTGAGCCCAGTGGTTCAAGACCCATCTGGGTAACATAGTGAGACCCCCTTCTCAAAAATAACAAAATTAGTAAATAAAAATAAGGTCTAGGTCCTTGTTCTCACTGTTGCCTTCTCAGAGCTTCTCCACCTGAGACGCTGGCCCCACAGGCAAGTTTCTGACTGTGGCTCAGCTCAACCATCTATGAAGCTGAAACCTGACAGGTAAAACCCAGAAGGAATAAGCTTGAGCAGCTATCCAAAGTTTCTAGACTAGAAAGCACTCAGGACTCACCAACCTGATCCCCCAAAAGCTCTAACTCAAACTTCTTTCCTTTAGATACCACTTACCTTCATGAGCTCGAAAAACTCTGCCGGGGAAGAAAGCACCCTAACGTGAGAACTGGAGACTCCAAATTCTGGAACCAGGTTTCTGATCCACTGGAACCGGTGCACGCCTTCTGGACACAGGCAGCAAGGTGGGGAGGTGACCTGGGGAACAGCTGGGGACAGCAAGGGAGCCAATAACAGCCATGGTGACCTGGTTAAAGAAATATGCAACTGGGTCACACCTCAAATACCTCAAATACTTCTGCAGAAGCCCCCCTCAGTTACTGGGGAGTGAAGAGGGGCTGGGAGATGGGTGCGTTGCTTGTGTTATGAATGTCAGATTTTCTAGAACATTTTAAAAAGTGAGCCCAACTCAAGCTCTGCTAAAGGATTTTTCCTTCAGCCCCCTTTCCTCTTATTCCTTAAAGAGCCTACTAACTGAGCAACTTGAGAAGTGTCAATACCTATAGATAAATCCCAAACTTTAATTCCAAACAACTCAGGAACCAAATTTAGAGCATCCACAAGTAAACTCATAAAAGCTACCACATGGTTAGCTACCACATGGCAACGTTCTAATGAATCTACCTCAAAAATATTTGCCTGCAGCCACCACTAAAAGACACCTAGCAGAAGGGTAAGTCTGGCAGAAGTCTGATGATTACAGCCCAGATGCCCCGCTTTATGACTCATGAGATAAACAAGATTTCTATTCAAGGAAGCACCCAGAAAAAGAAACTTTTCTCTTTAAAAATCCAATTTATGCCGAGCATGGTGGCTCAGGCCTATAATCCTAGCACTTTGGGAGGCCAAGGCAGGACGAATGCTTGAGTCAAGGAGCTCAGGACCAGCCTGAGCAATATAGCAGGACCCAGTGTCTACAAAAAATTGTTTAAAATTAGCTGGGCAGGCTGGGTGCAGTGGCTCACACCTGTAATCCCAGCACTTTGGGAGGCCGAGGCAGGTAGACAACCTAAGGTCAGGTGTTTGAGACTAGCCTGACCAATATGGTGAAACCCCCTCTCTACTAAAAATACAAAAATTAGCCGGGCGTGGTGGTATGTGACTGTAGTCCCAGCTACTTGGGAGGCTAAGGCAGGAGAATTGCTTGAACCAGGGAGGTGGAGGTTGCAGTGAGGCGAGATCGCACCACTGCACCCCAGCCTGGGTGACAGAACGAGACTCTGTCTCAAAAAAAAGTTACCTGGGCATGGTAGCACAAACCTGTAGTCCCAGCTACTCAAGAGGCTGAGGCAGGAGGATCTCCTGAGCCCAAGAGTTCAAGGCTGTTCTCCCAGCTATGATCATGCCATTGCATTCCAGCCTGGGTGGCACAGCGAGACCCTGTCTCAATCAATCAAAATCAGACTCGGAAAGAAAAGCTGGAGCAGGGAGAGACGGGAGCAAATGAGCTCCTCTCAAGAGTGATGATGAGCCGTGGCCGCGCACGGTGGCTCACGCCTGTAATCCCACCACTTTGGGAGGCCGAGGCGTGCAGATTACCTGAGGTCAGTAGTTCAAGATAAGCCTAGCCAACATGGTGAAACCCCATCTCTACTAAAAATAAAAATACAAAAAAATTAGCCGGGCATGATGCAGATGCCTGTTATCCCAACTACTCAGGAGCCTGAGGCAGGAGAATCGCTTAAACCTGGGAGGCGGAGATTGCAGTGAGCTGAGATGGTGCCACTGCACTCCAGCCTGGGCAACAGAGCAAGACTCCATCTCAAAGAAGAAAAAAAAAAGAGTGATGATGAGCCATACTCATTCACCATCAGACACATCCTGTTTGGTGGGGTCACACACCATTTCTGGCCAGTGTTAGCTCGACCACATAAAGCTGCACCCCAGCGGACTCCACACTCCACTGAGGCCAAGGCTGAAGGAGATGAATTTCTGCCCACAGAACTTCATTTCTGCTGCTCAATGACTAAAAACCTGCGGGAGATGGGGGTGGAGGGACCGCACACCCAGAGCCCCACACAGACCTGACCTACTATGAATCCTAGTCCTGCAAACAGCAGCAGGAAAATCCTCTTCAGTGTGTGACCTCAAGAGGGACGTGGGGGAGAGGATGCTCAAACATCCCAAGGCCTGAATGGCCACAAATTCCAGGAAGATGATTTCACTCACTTGCTTCATGATAAAGCCCTCAATCTTCCCAGGCTTCGTAAATGTCCCTGCACAGACAACAGATGGCCCACAGCTGCACTTCCCAGAAAGCCCACCGGTCTGTCACTGCCGATTCACTGCCAAGAAAACCTTAGTCAACAGCAGAAGGTGCTGCCTCTGTGGATCCTGGAAGTCTGCGACTGGCCGTGGCCACCCAGTGCAGAGGTGGGAAACAGCTGTTCCTCCCCCACCCCCGTCTCTAGAGGGGGTGATGACACTCACAGGCATCAGCTTGCAGATGAAGGGCCTAGATGTGTAACGCAGGGCTCGCTGCCTGGGTTTCCCAAATCCTGGGCCACCCTCCTGCAAAGCTCAAGAGAGGAGAGCGAAGGACCCTTCAGTGCAGCAGAAACCACCGGACAATGGGAAAGGTGCACAGCAACCCATCAACCCGAGGCCCCAAGGGGCCTAGAGTCTCATATTCACTAATGAAACATGGTCGGGGGCGGGGGAACAGGCAACAGCAGCATAAAATCAATGTCTCCCCTGCCTCACAGCATTTCTGCCATCTCTCAGACCATCCAAAAATCAGGTGCCGCTGTACTGCTCCAGGTCATGTGGTCAGTCCACACGCGGCCTTCAAAGAAGCTGAGAGCCGCAGCCCAGCACAGTGGCTCATGCCTATAATCTTAGCACTTTGGGAGGCCAAGGCGGGAAGAAAACTTGAGGTCAGGAGTTCAAAACCAGCCTGGCCAATATGGTGAAACCCCGTCTCTACTAAAAACACAAAAAAATTAGTTGGGTGTGGTGGTACATGCCTGTAATCCCAGCTACTTGGAAGGCTGAAGCAGGAGAATCGCTTGAACCCAGGAGGCGGAGGTTGCAGTGAGCCAAGATTGCACCACTGCATGCCAGCCTGAGTGACAGAGTGAGACTTCGTCTCAAAAAAAAAGGGGCCGAGCACGGTGGCTCACGCCTATAATTCCAGTACTTTGGGAGGCCGAGGCAGGTGGATCACCTGAGGTCAGGAGTCCAAGACCAGCCTGGCCAACACGATGAAACCCCGCCTCTACTAAAAATACAAAAATTGGGCCGGGCATGGTGGCTCATGCTTGTAATCTCAGCACTTTGGGAGGCCAAGGCGGGCAGATCATGAGGTTAGCAGTTCGAGAACAGCCTGGCCAATATGGTGAAACCCTGTCTCTCTAAAAATACAAAAATTAGCCGGGCATGGTGGCGCACACACCTGTAGTCCCAGCTACTCAGGAGGCTGAGGCAGAAGAATCACTCGAACTGGGAGGCGGAGGTTGCAGTGAGCTGAGATGCTGCCGCTGCACTCCAGCCTAGGCAACAGAGCGACACTCCGTCTCAAAAAAAAAAAATTAGCCGCCCGTGGCTGAGGCAGAACTGCTTGAACCTGGGCGCCAGAGGTTGCAGTGAGCCGAGATCACACCATTGCACTCCAACCTGGGTGAGAGAGGAAGACTCTGTCCCCCCGCAAAAAAAAAAAAAAAAAAAAAAGGAAGAAGAGGAAACACTCCTTGGCACATAGCAACCCAGGAGAGGGCAAGTTCAACTTGTTCAACTTAACCCTCAACAAAGCCATCATGTAAGCACATATGACATACCATGGAGGGTACAAATGAAGAACCAGGCAGTCTCTGCCTCCCACAACCTTGGTAGCCTCACAGACTTACACACCTGACATCATCTAAGAACACAAGAAAAGATGCTAAAATTAAATCAATGTCCAAATAGTGCATGTGCTTCAAGGCATCAAAAAGGGGAACTGGTGATGCCTGGGCTACTGGGAAGGTTCTGCAGCATTCTCCTCCAGTGGCCTCAAAAAGCTGGTAGGATTCAAACAAGGAACTCAGAGGGGAGGGTGTTTCAGGCAGGAAGTGTGAAGGGACGTAAGCAGAAGAAACTGGGCTGGGTGCAGTGGCTCACACTTGTAATCCCAGCACTCTGGAGTCTAAGGCAGGAGAATCACTTGACACCAGGAGCTCCAGACCAGCCTAGGCAACATAGCAAGACCCTGTCTCTACAAAAAATAAAAAATAAAAAAAAAAAATTAGCCAGGCGTGGAGGCATGTGCCTGTAGTCCCAGCTACTCGGGAGATTGAGGGGGACGATCGCGTGACCCTAGAGGTCAAGTGCAGAAAGAAAGAAACAGGAACAAGACCACTTTCAGCAGAAAAACCCAAGAGGGCCTCAGTAGTCCAGAGAAAACACACATACACAGAGCCTACACAGGTGTCAGGGTTCACCTATCACCTCCGTCCTACCTGCGGAGACCCACTTTGGCAGGTACAGGGCTGATGAGCCCAGAGCCCCTGGAGTTATCCTAGGCAGGTCTCCTCCTTACCAGGCAGCTCTCACTGGGAATGTTCCACGAGGGCCTCAGGCCAAGAGTTCTTGAAGGCTTTTTTATGCTGGCTTCCTGTTTAATCTGTGTACTGACAGGTTTATTTTTGTTAGAGAGGAAAAGGAGCTGAAAGCCAACTACGTTTCATGGATACATTATGGAGGAGACTCAACCTTCAAGTGGCAATTTTAAATACCCAAAAAAGGAAGGTGCATAAAAAAGGAGCTGAGTGTTTTACACAGGTCGCCACAATGACAACATATGCCAAGGAGACCACATCTGGACTAGTGTCACTCAAAAAAACTAAATGGCCAGGCACGGTAGCATGTGCCTATAATCCCAGTGCTTTAGGAGGCTGAGGCAGGAGGATCACTTGAGGCCAGGAGATCGAGACCAACTTGGGCAACATAGAGAAACCCCCTCTCTAGAAAAATTAAAAGTTAGCCAGGCATGGTGGCGTGCACCTGTAGTCCCAGCTACCAGGGAGGCTGAGGCAGGAAGACTGCTTAAACCCAGGTGTTCGAAGCTGCAGTGAGCCAAGATTGTGCCACTGCACTCCAGCCTGGGCGACAGAGCGAAACTCCACCTCAAAAAAAAAAAAAAAAAAAGGCTGGGCGCGATGGCTCACACCTGTAATCCCAACACTTTGGGAGGCCAAGGCGGGCATATCACCTGAGGTCAGGAGTTCAAGACCAGCCTGACCAACATGGAGAAACCCCATCTCTACTAAAAATACAAAATTAGCCGGGCCTGGTGGCACATGCCTGTAATCCCAGCTACTCGGGAGGCTGAGGAAGGAGACTCACTTGAACCCGGGAGGCGGAGGTTGCAGTGAGCCCAGATCGCGCCACTGTGCACCAGCCTGGGCAACAAGAGGAAAAACTCCGTCTCAAAAAAAAAAAAGGCTGGGCGCAGTGGCTCTCACCTGTAATCCCAACATTTTGGTAGGCCTGCACAGTCAGATCACCTGAGGCCAGGAGATCGAGACCAGCCTAGCCAACATGGCAAAACCCCATCTCTACTAAAAATACAAAAATTAGCTGGGCATGGTGGCGCACGCCTATAGTCCCAGCTACTCGGGAGGCTGAGTCAGGAGAATTGGTTGAACCTGGAAGATGGAGGTTGCAGAGGTCACACCACTGCACTCCAGGCTGCGTGATGGAGAGAGACTGTGTCTCAAAAATGCTAATCATCATCACCATCATCATCATCATCACCATCATCACCATCATCATCATCATCATCATCATCACCATCATCACCATCTAACTGCAACACATCAGCCAGGACAGAAGGAGCCAGTTCTTGCTCTGAAACTATACTGCTCGCTGCTCAGGGACCTATTTTTTTCTTTCACATCAGACAGAACCCCATGGGGGTCAGTTCCCGGCTTTCCACAATGTAACTCCTGGGAATTTGCTCAGAAAAGGTTTATCCCCATGCTAAAGCAGCCCCCACTGCATAATAATCCCAGCCTCCAGGGGCTGACCACCTGCGCAAGCTCAATTCCCCCATCCCAGGGAGGCTTACTTACCAAGAAAGCACATGGCCCAGTCCCAAAGCCCCAAGAGACGTGAGGAGGCAGAGGCTGTGGTTATTTTACCAAAAAAGTCTAGTTACATGTCACATTCACCATTTAGAGAACTAAACCAGTACACACACAATTTCCACATCAAGACCTGGGCTCCCCTGAATCATCTCTTTCTAGACACCATCTAGCGCCCAGTTCTAGTTATGGGAAGGAGGAAGTGGTGGGGGCTGGGGAGTCAGATAATAACCTTCTGCCACCCTTGCCTCTCTGAAGGCCACTCCTTTACCCTGGAATATTGGAGAAGTTTAGAGAGCAGGACCAGGGCAAGAGCCAGTGATATCCCCTAGCACCAGTGCTCCAGCATTCAAAATCAAACCAGCCGTACTACATCACCACACCAACCTCAGCAACAACCAAAACAAATGACAGACAATGCAAAACAATCCTCAGCCTGCCACTCTAAAGGTGAAATGAGACCAGCATCTTCTCAGAGGACCAGCCCGTGGCCCGGCTCCAGCCACCACCCCAGGAAGCCTGACTCAGGAGAAAGGTTCAGTCACCTGATTTAAGGCTTCCCGTGGAATCTGCAGGCAAATTCCCTGAACTGAGGAATGGGCTGGGCCTAAGTGCTGAGGACCCCTGACTGAGAGAGGTCCTCAGCAGGGTGCCTTGGGGAGGGGAGGAAAGTTTCTTCCCATCATCTTGAGGAAGACCCACATCTGAACCGCTCTGACCAAGCGGCGAGCCAGGACTGAGGCCGCCACCAAGCAAGGAGAGGGAAGCCTGCTTAGCCACCCAGGCAGCCCCAGGCAGGACAACGCGCCCTGCACACACTTGCCCCCATGAGAGGCCTCAGTGGGAACTGAGCTCACAATAATCAGCCAAACTGAAACAGTGAGAGCAGGAAGCAGCTGAGAAGCTATGGAACACACCTGTTTACAAAAGAAACCCGGGGGCCGGGCACAGTGGCTCACGGCTGTAATCCCAGCACTTTCAGAGGCCGAGCAGGCAGATGATGAGGTCAGGAGTTCAAGACCAGCCTGGCCAACACAGTGAAACCCCATCTCTACTAAAAATACAAAAATTAGGCCAGGCACAGCGGCTCACGCCTGTAATCCCAACACTTTGGGAGGCCGAAGCAGGCGGATCACGACGTCAGGAGATCGAGACCATCCTGGCTAACATGGTGAAACCCCATCTCTACTAAAAATTACAAAAAATTAGCCGGGCCTGGTGGCAGGCACCTGCAGTCCCAGCTACTCGGGAGGCTGAGGCAGGAGAATGGCATGAACTCGGCAGGCAGAGCTTGTAGTGAGGCAAGATCATGCCACTGCACTCTGACCTGGGCGAAAGTACGAGACTCCATCTCAAAAAAAAAAAAATACAAAAATTAGCCGGGCATGGTAGCAGGCACCTGCAATCCCAGCTACTTGGGAGGTTGAGGCACGAAAATGGCTTGAACCCAGGAGGCAGAGGTTGCAGTGAGCCGAGATTGCGCCACTGCACTCCAGCCTGGGCGACAGAGCAAGACTCCATCTCAGAAAAAGAAAGAAAGAAAGAAACCTGGGGAAAACAGAAGGCATTTCTCCCTTTTGGAGGAGACGGTTTTCCACTTCACCGTTCTGCAGCTGCGCGTGCTCTGCTTCATGGAAAACACTGGCACCCCTCGCCTTTCTCCTCAGCGCGTGTCAACAGCGCCTGGAGGCCCTACCGGGCGCCCGCTTCTCAGAGAAGGGATGCCACTGAAGACAAGCAAACACCAGGGAATTACACCGCGGTCTACACTGCACCTTTAGACGTCCCTTCCACATCTTCTCCCGGTGTCAGAGAACACGTGTTTCCCCCTAGAGCTGCAGTACTGACTGTCACCCACTACCAATGGGACACATGTAACAGGCCAACTTCTTGGGGTTTTTTCAAAACAGGGTATGTAGGACTTTGATGAAAGAGTACGGTAAAGCTGGAGGGCTGTCCTCACTGAACAGGGCAGAAGTTGCGCTCTCCATACCAAACACAGGTCGGTAATTCAGTGTCCCTCAGAGGCGTGGTCTGAAGGTCCAGGGGCCCTTCTTTAACCGTAAGGTACATTCACGGTACAGACTCTGTGGCCTGGAGCCCATCCAAATCTGTACAAAACCATGAAAAAAGAAGTTTTTAAAAGAAACTGAGCTCTCTGGATTGCAATATTTTCAGAAACTACTTTTTGAGAACAACTCACCCTACCCTCTCAGTCACAGATATTTAAATGTAAAAAAGTGAACTGATGAGAAAAAGCAACAGTCATAACACTTCCTGAGAAAGGCTCCAGAAACTACAAGAAGGTACCGTACTTCCTGCAACCCTGGCAGCAGGCGGCCCTTCCTGACTAATGCAAGACCTAACCCCGAGTAAGGGAAATGAGTGTGGATTCCCGTAGGTTACAAAAGACCAACGGCCTGCTGAACTCCCATAACAAGTCCGGCACGAGAGGCCCAGGCTGCCAGCATGCAGCTACATGCTGACTAGATGACTCTCCCCTTGGCTTAGCCAAAAGGAAGTCGATTACATTGGGGGCCAGAAATCCAAAATATATTTATAACCCACAATACAGCCTGGGTGGCCAAATGCACCAGGCACATCAAAGTGCCTGACGAGAACCAATCGCATGTTCTATGACTCCAAAGGGCTTCAGTCAGCCTGACTCCCAGCACCCTCAAAATCGACCCGTTTACATAAATCAGATCACGCTATTACAAAGGGATTATCATTCAGACCATTTTAATCCCAGGCTGGGTTCTATTTGCCTACCAGCAGACAACTGATTGAGTCTAATTCATCACCAACTATAACGTGCTCAGGGATACTCACATTAATATTCACTTAAAGCTACAATTGAGAAAGTCAGTCCGTTGTAAATCTTTTAATTCACTGCAAAATCAAATCTGAATTATTTGGCAAAACTATGCTTTGATTCTAAATATCCCCTTCCCAGCCATTATACTGCTATAAACAAACGAAGAGATGGTTATACTAAACTCTGAAGAGTAAGGAAGACCGAATCCCATCACAAAGTTCAAAGAAAAGTAACTTCTGGAAATCTGGTGGTCCCTCAGAGTAAAAACTACTTACACGTTGAACAAGTGACCTGCCACTACAATGTAAGAAAGTCTAGGCCGGGCACGGTGGCTCACCCCTGTAATCCCAGCACTTTGGGAGGCTGAGGTGGGCGGACCACCTGAGGTCAGGAGTTCAAAACCAGCCTGACCAACATGGAGAAACCGCGTCTCTACTAAAAATACAAAATTAGATGGGCGTGGTGGCACATGCCTGTAATCCCAGCTACTCGAGAGGCTGAGGCAGGAGAATCGCTTGAAGCCAGGAGGCAGAGGTTGCGGCACCTCAGCCTGGGCATCAAGAGTGAAACTCCGTCTCAAAAAAAAAAAAAGGAAAGAAAATCTAATTGAAAACAATCTGCTGGACACCTGTTTCCCTCTTATAACTCAGAGAAGTTAAGAACCCCTAACCCATCCAACACACACACTCACAAGCTCCTCAAATTGTGAAAAAGTTTCAAACATAAAGATGATTCTGCATGTATAGCTAAAACTTAAAAATAGTTTAAAAAGGAAAAAAAGTAAGCCACAGATAAATATTTCCTTGTATAGTAGGCAAGTTCAAGATTAGGAACTAATGCCTTCATGATACATTTCCCACTTGGTCTCATCTACTCCAAGTAACAAGGCCATTCTGTGGGCCGGGCACGGTGGCTCACGCCTATAATCCCAGCACTTTGGGAGGCCGAGGCGGGGGGATCACGAGGTCAGGAGATCGAGACCATCCTAGCTAACATGGTGAAACCCCGTCTCTACTAAAATTACAAAAAAAAATTAGCCGGGGGTGGTGGCGGGCACCTGTATTCCCAGCTACTCCGGAGGCTGAGGCAGGAGAATCGCTTGAACCCGGGAGGCGGAGCTTGCAGTGAGCCGAGATCGTGCCATTGCACTCCAGCCTGGGCGACAGAGTGGGACTCCATCTCAAAAAAAAAAAAAAAAAAAAAAAACCATTCTGTGTAGCCGGATGACTCAAAAAAACCCTATCTGAAGCATCTGTCTCCCTCTCCTGAGCTCCAGTTCTGCCACAGTCAACTGGACACTGAACACATCACCTAGAGGAACCTGGATACTGATTAACATAACCCAAATGCACTTTACCATCATCCCCAAAACCTGAGCCTCTTCTTTACTCCGTTTTCGTGAAATGTACCAACATCCATGTGCCCCATCAAGACTGATTCTCACTCAGCCCTCTTTTCTGCTCCCACTGCCCCGACTTCATATAAAAGCCCCCACCATCTCAGGCTGAACCAGAATCAAAAGAAATCATACATGGAATCTCAGAACTTGTCTTCCTGGGTCTCTGGCCCAGACTGGCTTGCTCCTAGCTCCTCTTCTTCCCTCCCTCCATCCCCTACTCGGTACCCCTAGTCAGCTCCTGGAAATGGTTTCAGTATTGGTGGGACCTCAGAATTGCCTTTCGCTGCAGTCCATGTCACTATCACTTCTTGAACATCCACTCCCCCTCTTCTTCACCGAGCCTAACTACTCCGACCCCTCCTTCAAAACAGCTCTGAGCCACTGCACCAGGAAGCCTTCCATGACCTCTCCAAGGTACTGCCATGACCTTCTACCTACTTCTTGTAATTGTTTATGGGTCTGAGCGTCTTGGAGGTGGGGCTGTGTCTTTATCTTTGCTTCCTGAGTACCTAGCACAGCACAGCAGTGCTCAATACACACATGATGAATAAATTAACGGATCCAGCAGTTCCTAATGATAATGAGTCAGATGCTAGCTTAAGAGGAAATGACAGTGCTTCTAAATCATTAACAGAAGTAATTTTAAGTAGAGTTCTCTGTCTCTCTGGCTGTCTCTATGCCTGAAAGGAAACCGCGGCAGTAAAAGGAACGTCCCCTCACGAGGGTTCACTGGCCCTCCAACAGCTGACTCAGATCGACAAGCTAAAACCTAAAATAATTCAAGCTCATGACTGCACAGAACTATTATCAATGAATCAATGATCAGCGAGTTACAAGAAACCACATCATTCGGGGAATGAGAAATTGGGAGGTGCAACTGAATAATGGAGAAGAAAGCAAAGTCAGCAGCTAATAAAGGGTAAGCAGCCACAACAAACATGAATAACTCGAACACCAAGGCCACAACGAATCAGAAAAGAACTGCAAACCGAATAAGGCAAAGAAAGGCTCAGAAACCTACACTACCACTCAATACCGGTCAAAGCATTTATCCTCAGTCCTACCATAGGCATTATTTCCGAGGATTACAAAGCAAAAACTTCTGTCTTAATGCCCAAGAAACTGAGTTGCTGGTTGAACTGTTGTCCCAGAGAAACAATCATCTCTCTCAGCTTAATGAAGGATGAAGGCACACAAACTGCATCCACTCACACAATTTACAAAAAAAAGAGATTAGAAAGTCAATTTAGACTATCTCCACTGCCACACTGCCCCTCCCACCACCAAAAAACAAAAAAGTGGCTGGGCGCAGTGGCTCACACCTGTAATCCCAGCACTGTGGGAGGCCGAGGTGGGCAGGTTACAAGGTCAGGAGATCGAGGCCAGCCTGGCCAACATGGTGAAACCCTGTCTCTACTAAAGATACAAAAATTAGCCGGACGTGGTGGCATGTGTCTGTAGACCCAGCTACTCTGGAGGCTGAGGCAGGAGAATCACTTGAACCCACGAGGTAGAGGTTGCACTGAGCCGAGATCAGACCACTGCACTCCAGCCTGAGTGACAGAACAAGACTCTGTCTCAAAAAAAAAAAGAAAAAGAAAAAGAAAAAAAGCACACTCATGAGAGATTTCTTTTTTAAAATATTTGTGTCAACTGCCCCAACATCCTTTAGTAATCAATTCCAATGTTGAACAATGATTTATAATGAAGTGTTTTTCATATAGTTTAAACATATAGAGGGAAATGACAAAGTCACCTAAATCTTGTCTTCAAGGGTAGAACATTTTTTTGAAACTGTAAACCAAATCTCAGTGGTTTGATGCCAGGACGTAGAAGTCATCTGACTTCGTCACCCAGAGATGAGCAGGTCTTTTGTTAAACACTGAAAAAATGAAAATGCAAAAAATGCAGAGGCCATTTCTTTTACAGCCCCAGTCCTGCTGGGTTCACCAACGTGAAACCTAGCAGGTTTCCAAGAGCGCCATCCTGCCCTGATTCTATCACCTAAAAATTCCCCTAAATCAAACTTGAGTTTTCGATGAAAATCTTCCACCATAGATCACCATGAAGCAAGCTCTTTTCTGTACCTAGAATCAGTACACATGACTGGACCCCAGATCTCTGTACTAGATGTCTGACCCCAGGAGGTCAAATCTCACCCGAGGAGTACACGTACAGATAGAAAATCTAACACAATGCAACCTCAACTAAAGGAAGCAGTTCTAAGATTTTTTTTTTTAAAGATCAAGTGTAAGACTCAATTAAGAAACCTATTTGCAGCCGGGCACGGTGGCTCACGCCTGTAATCCCAGCACTTTGGGAGGCCGAGGCAGGTGGATCAACTGAGGCTGGGAGTTAGAGACCAGCCTGACCAACATGGAAAAACCCTGTCTCTACTAAAAATACAAAATTAGCCGGGTGTGGTGGCTTATGTCTGTAATCCCAGCTACTCGGGAGGCTGAGGCAGGAGAATCGCTTGAACCTGGAAGGTGGAGATTGAGGTGAGCCAAGATTGCGCCATTGCACTCCAGTCTGGGCAACGAGTGAAACTCCGTCTCAAAAAAAAAAGAAAAGAAAAGAAAACTATTTGCACACAAGAGAATTTTTTTTTTTTGAAACAGAGTTTTGCTCTTGTTGCCTAGGCTGGAGTGCAATGAGGCAATCTTGGCTCACTGCAAACTCCACCTCCTGGGTTCAAGCGATTCTCCTGCCTCAGGGTCAGCCTCCCAAGTAGCTGGGATTACAGCCATGCACCACCATGCCCAGCTAATTTTGTATTTTTAGTAGAGACGGTTTCACCATGTTGGTCAGGCTGGTCTTAAACTCCTGACCTCAGGTGATCCACCTGCCTCGGCCTCCCAAAGTGCTGGAATTACAGGCGTGAGCCACCACACCCGGCCAAGAATTATTTATCCCCTTTTTTTTAATATTAGCAAGCCTCAGGTCAGCATGTTCTTGGCAAATGTTTATTTTAAAAGACCACTGCCTGAACAAATTGCTCCAAAGCCTACTTCATCATTTACATAACTTCAGTACTTTTCCAGAACACAGGCCCTTTGAAATGTGTAAAAAGTGTTTCGAGTGGCTCCTCTTCCCATGCCTGAGTGTTACTAAGGATTGCTTCACAGCTTTTTCTGGCAGGATGTGAGAAACGCTCTATACACAAAATCCCAGCAACGGTGATTCACTCACAGCCAGGCTTACCTAAGGAAAAGACCCCTCTGAACTCTCCGACACTCACATCCTGGGGCCGAAACCATGATATAAACAGCCTCTGGAGCTTGACCGAAGCTCCCTGAACGCACACACAGTCCCTCTTTTAACGTGTAAGTGCACGGTGGCCGGGGCTCGCCAACAAGCACGGTGTAGACGGGGAGCAAGGACTGGCCGGGCTGCGCAGGAGGCCCGCCGGCTGGACCCGGCCGATAATGGAGCACGAGCCGCCCACCCTCCCTCAAGAAGGCCAGTGAAGAAGCACATAGGTCAGGCGCCGAGCCCCGGGAGGCAGAAATGGGCCCGGAAACCGGGGAGGGACTCGCTGCGGATGCCCAGGACGCTGGGGCCGGGAGTTTGAGCGCCGGGGGGCCGGGCTGCAGCCGCGAGGGCTGCACTCTCATCCCGGCCGCCCCTCTCACCTCCTGCGCTGGCGGTCCCGGTTCCTGCCGAGGCGGTCGGACAGGCGTCCCAGGAGCGCGGCCAGCCCTGGGCGGCCAGGCAGGAGGCCCAGCAGTCGCCTCCAGAACACGGGTCCCGCCGCAGCTGCCGCCGCCACCGCCATGGAGACTCGCCGCTTCCGCTTCCGCTCCCGGCGGGCGCGAACTTTATTGACAAAGGCGAGCGCGGACACGGCTCAGGCGCGCAGGCGCGGAACCCCTGGCTCGGGGAGGGCGGCGCTGCACCGCCCCCAAGCCTCAGTTTCCCCTCTGGGGGACACAGGCGAGGAACAGTGGTCGCGCCGCAGGAGGGGGTCGGAAGCCGGCCCGTTAAATCCGTAAGGGCGCCAGGTGGCCTGCATTCCTGCAGTCACTCGTCACAGGTCGCGGAGGAAAGGATGCGGCGCAGGGGCTCTAGCACCGTCACGCTTGGCTCCAACTCACCAGCTGTCAAAAAAGCTTTTGTTTGTTTGTTTTGAGACAGAGTCTCGGTCTGTGTCCCAGGCTGGAGTGCAGTGGCGCGATCTTGGCGCATTGCAGCCTCGACCTCCCGGCCTCAGGGGATCCTCTCAAAGTGCTGGGACCACTCCCAAAGTGCTGGGACCACCAAAGTGCGTGTGCCACCATGCCCGGCTAATTCTTTACTTTTTTGTCGAGATGGGGGTCTCACTACGTTGCCCAGGCCGGTCTCGAGCTCCTGGGCTCAAGAGATCATCCAGCCTCAGCCTCCCAAAGTGTTGCCATTACAGACATGAGCCACCGAGCCTGACCACTGGCTGTCAAGATTGACTCCTCGGCCGGCGCAGTGGCTCACGCCTGTAATCCCTGCACTCTGGGAGGCAGAGGCGGGTGGATCACCTGAAGTCAGGAGTTCGAGACCAGCCTGGCCAACCTGATGAAACCCCGTCTCTACTAAAAATGCAAAAAATTAGCTGGGCGCAGTGGCCCATGCCTGTAATCCCAAACTACTCAGGAGGCTGAGGCAGGATAATCGCTTGAACCCAGGAGGTGGAGGTTGCAGTGAGCCAAGATCGAACCACTGTACTCCAGCCTGGGCAACAAGAGCAAAACTCCGTCAAAAAAAAAAAAAAAAAAAAAAAAAAAGGACTTCTCACTGATAAGTGAGGGAATTACTGTTTGAGGCTCTAATTGATAGGGTGTTCTTTAGACTTGTACAACACCCCTAAGGTGTTAAACTTGAACAAAGTCTGTTCTTGTACAAAGTCTTGTAACCTGGTTAACGCTGACTCACTAAGGTGCACAGAACCACGGAAAATCCCCACCAGACTGAGAGAGGAATCATTTTTCACCCTGTTAGCCCCAGAGGCTGCAGCTCCATGGCACAGAACAGCCTAAGCAAATCTGTGTGAGATGAACAGTCTTCCACCCTCCTGATATGCCCAAGTACACAGATATCACTGGCCCCTGGCAACACACAGTTCTATGCCCAAAAAGCTGACGGAGCACATCCTCATACACCAAGAACACTTTTTTTTTTTTTTTTTTTTTGAGGCAGGGTTTCACTCTTGTCACCCAGGCTGGAGTGCAATGGCGCAATCTTGGCTCACTGCAACCTCTGCCTCCTGGGATCAAGAGATTTTCCTGTCTCAGCCTCCGGAATAGCTGGGATTACAGGCGTGCGCCACCACGCCTGGCTAATTTTTGTATTTTTAGTAGAGACAGGGTTTCACCGTGTTGGCCAGGCTGGTCTCAAACTCCTGACCTCAAGTGATCCACCCAACTCGGCCTTCCAAAGTGCTGGGATTACAGGCGTGAGCCACCGCGCCCGGCCCAAGAACACTTTTTGCAGCTAATTTTAAAATGGAAAACTTTGTGGCATTCTGAAAGGCAGGAGAGGTGATCTCTGATCTGTAATATGCAGCTCCCTGGCTGACCCACATAGGCTGGGACCTGGAAACTGGAAAAGCTGTAGGACATAATCATAGTCTGCCGTGTTGTGAGGTTAAAATGATATGGACACGTGGGCCGGGCGCAGTGGCTCACACCTGTAATCCCAGCACTTTGGGAGGCCGAGGCGGGCGGATCATCTGAGGTCGGGAGTTCGAGACCAGCCTCACCAACATGGAGAAACCCTGTCTCTACTAAAAATACAAAATTAGACGGGCATGGTGGCACATGCCTGTAATCCTAGCTACTCAGGAAGGCTGAGGCAGGAGAATCGCTTGAACCCGGGAGGCGGAGGTTGCAGTGAGTCGAGATCGCGCCATTGCACTCCAGCCTGGGCAACAAGAGCGAAACTCAGTCTCAAAAAAAAAAGATATGGACACACTGAAAAAAACACTCCAAAGTCCACTTCCACAGATTATGCAGGGAAATCAACTACACATTCCCACAAGAATGTTCATCTCAGCCTTGTTCATGATATCGGAAGTGTGGAAGCAAATCTTCAGGGTAGGGGGGTTGGTTAAATAATGATACATCGGTATGTTGGAAGACCACACAATCATAAAAATAACATGTTCTGGAAGAATATTTAATGACATTAAGTGTAAAAGCCAAATTACCAAGGAGTAGCGTAGAGACCATCTCATTTCATTAAAGGAGAGGAAGAAAGAGGAAATGCGTGTATGTACACAGAAAGACTGAAAGTAAATACCCCCAAATGTTAATGTTGGTTATTTGGTGCCATTAAGGAGTTTCCAAATTGTTGACAATCAACAAGTATTTCAGATTGGCTTAAAGTTTTCTTTTGCGTTTAGATAGCTTTACTAATACTACATGGAATTTGATTCAACCCTTCCAAGTTAGAAATGGTGAATCATCAAATTTCCTAACTTCCAGTAACTAGAATGAGGCCATCCATTGCATGGTTCCACTTTTGCACTGTTCCTGGCCCACGGTTGTTGCAGAGTAAACACTTGCTGTATGGCTACACCGTCATGCTCAGCGGTGAGCGCCACATGGGCTATGGGAGCCTGGTTATCATCCTAGAAGGAGCTGGCAGCTTTTCTGCATGGGTGCTTTGCTGTGCGAGGTACTGAGACAAACAGCCATGGTACAGGCTCACTGGGAATTCCCAACCTTAAAGAAATGCTAGCAACAGACAGCAATATTGATAGCATGGTAAGTCACACTAATAAGTATTTACCCTAAGGATAACATCAAGGAATGACCCAGTCCCTTCTGAAACCACACATCGAGAGCCTCTGGCCTTCATGGCTAGTTTAAAACAGACAGAGCTATCACCAGAGTGAGGCAACCACGACTTTGCTGGGGACACATACATTTTGAGGTTGCAAAAATGTTAAATAATGGTTTTCAGAGATTGTGCAATTTTTAAATGATTCCATTTACAGGATGACAGCACATGCATTGTTCGTGTCAGGAGGTCTCATCTGGGCTAGTTACTGAAAACAAGTAGAGGAGATAAGACCCTCCCAGACAACAAAGGTGACCCAGAGAGCCTGCCTGGGAGCACTCAGGGTGTCCCAAAGCTGCGTGGCCGGCTCTCAATCTGGGTCAGACACTACTGCTGTGGATGGGGTTTCTGGATGCCCATCTCAATGACTGCGGGCGAGAAGACATCTGTCCTCTGAGTCCCCCTCGCCCTCCTGCCCTCACCCACTGCCTTCTCGTTAGTCGCACTCGCTCCTTCCCAGACAGGAGGTGCCAGGGTTAGAAAGACAGGGTCGACGGGATTGACGGCAGATCCCATGTCTTCCCAAACGGAAAAGGAAACCCATTCATTGGAGGGAGAGTTGACGTCAAGGAGTGGTGGGCTGCTGCCCCTGAGAGTGGGGCAGCTCTCCCAGGCAGGAAACACCAGGAAATCCTGAGCCAACAGCCCATGCCTCACTGCCTGTGATTCACTCCCTCAACCGAAAATCACAGTAACACAAGAGGAAGGCCCCTCCTCCTCTAGCTTGCTTGCCTAGAGAGGGTCTCTCCCAAACACAGGGCTGTTAGCAAATTCCAAAGGGAGGAAGTGGCTGTCCGGCCCACCTTCTGCCTCCAGAGATGAGAAACTGTCCCGAGGGGCTGTTCAGCTGTTTGTGAGGAGCCTGTTCTTTGTTAAAAGGAATGCAGCCTGCTTGCTGGAGATGGGATGAAACTGTAACTGCCCAATGGGTTCACCTTGCCTGCTGCCCAGACAGAACTGATTTATCAAGACAGAGGCATTGCAATGGAGAAAGAGTGATTCACGCAGAGCCCACTGTGCGGGAGACCAGAGTTTTATTATTACTCAAATCAGTCTCCCCAAGCATTCGGGGATCAGAGTTTTTAAAGAGAATTTGGCTAGTAAAGGAGCTTGGGAAGTGGGGAGTGCTGATTGGTCAGGTTGGAGATGGAATCGTAGAAGGTTGAAGTGAATTTTTCTTGCTATCTTCTATTCCTGGGTGGGATGGCAGAACTGGTTGAGCCAGATAACCGGTCTGGGTGGTGTCAGCTGATCCATGAATGCAGAGTCTGCAAAATATCTCACGCACTGATCTGCGGTTTTCCAATAGTGATGTTATCCCCAGGAGCAATTTGGGGAGGTTCAGATTCTTGGAGCCAGAGGCTGCATGACCCTAAACTTTTATTTCTAATCTTATAGCTAATTTGTTAGTCCTGCAAAGGCCGACTGGACCCCAGGCAAGAAGGGGGTCTTTTCGGGAAAGGGCTGTTGTCAATTTTGTTTCAGAGTCAAACCATGAACTGAATTCCTTCCCAAAGTTAGTTCGGCCTACACCCAGGAATCCACAAGGACTGCTTAAAGGCTAGAAGCAAGATGGGGGCTGGGTGTAGTGGCTTACACCTGTAATCCCAGTACTTTGGGAGGCCGAGGTGGTTGGATCATGAGGTCAGTAGATCGAGACCATCCTGGCTAACACGGTGAAACCCCATCTCTACTAAAAATACAAAAAAATTAGCCAGGCGGGGTGGCACATGCCTGTAGTCCCAGCTACCCAGGAGGCTGAGGCAGGAGAATCGCTTGAACCCGGGAGGCGGAGGTTGGAGTGAGCCGAGATCACGCCACTGTACTCCAGCCTGGGCGACAGAGCTAGACTCCATCTCAAAAAAAAAAAAAGAAGATGGAGTTGATTAGGTCTGATTTCTTTTACTGTCATAATTTCCTCAGTTACAATTTTGCAAAGACGGTTTCAGAGCCCACCTGGGAGTGGCTGCCTCCCTCTCCCTCTATTCTTCCCCTTGGTCATATGTCCAGCCTCACTGGCCTGGCCTTCTCTCAAGCCCGCATCCTCCTCAGCATCTTTTTTGTTGTTGTTGTTGAGATAAAGTTTTGCCCTTGTCACCCAGGCTGGAGTGCAATGGCACAATCTCGGCTCACTGCAACCTCTGCCTCGGGGGTTCAAGCAATTCTCCTGCCTCAGCCTCCCTGAGTAGCTGGGATTACAGGTGCCTGCCACCACCCCCAGCTATTTTTTTCGTATTCTTAGTAGAGACAAGGTTTCACCATGTTGGCCAGGCTGGTCTCGAACTCCTGACCTTGCCAAACTACTGGGATTACAGGTGTGAGCCACCGCGCCCGGCCTTCCTCAGCATCTTTACATTTGCTCTTCCCTCTGCTCAGAAGCACCTTCCCTCAGCTCATCTCATCCTGAGCTCTGTCCAAATGTCACCCTCCCCTAGAAACAGCTTTCCAACCCGGATAACAGGATTTTAGTTTCTTCCTCTTCCTTACAGTGACCTAATCGTTTGCTGTTGTGTGTTTTGTCTCTGCCCCATCAGAAGGCGAGCTCATGAATCTTTGTGTGCTCTGAGCACTGTGAATAGGATCTGGCCCCAGAACCGGGCTCCAGTGCTGGAGTGAGGAATGCACACAGGGCCAAAGGCAGTGAGCTCTGGGGCCTCCCGGCTGGAACAGGGAACCACTGTGGTCTTGCTTTTCCACCAATGGTGGGGACAAGGGTGGCCTGGCCTCCTGGGAAGACCTCTAACCTACTGTTTGCTATCAGTTTGCAAGGCTGAAAGCTCAGTCCACCTTTTGGGCCTGGCTTCCCTGAGCCCCCAGTCTCCCCACAGGCCCCAGCCCTTTTCCTGTCTTCATCCCCCTCCAACACCTCCCCAAGTTCTACTCTCCCTGCTAAGCTGTTACTCTGATCTTTCCCAACAGTCCCTGATACTGTTCCCACCAACACTAAGCCTTAACTCCAGCTCTCCCTGGCACAAGACAGACTTCTTTTCCCTCCAAGCAGGGCTCAGCATACGTTTTGGTTTTGTTTTGTTTTTTTGGAGACAGAGTCTCGCCCTGTCACTCAAACTGGAATGCAATGGTGCAATCACAATCTCAGCTCACTGCAACCTCCGCCTCCTGGGTTCAAGCGATTCTCCTGCCTCAGCCTCCCGAGTAGCTGGGACTACAGGTGCCCGCTACCACGTTCGGCTAATTTTTTGTATTTTTAGTAGAGACAGTATTTCGCCACATGGACCAGGCTGGTCTTGATCTACTGACCTCAGGTGATCCACCCACCCCAGCCTCCCAAAGTGCTGGGATCACAGGCATGAGCCACCAAGCCCAGCCAAGTTTTGTTTTGTTTTTTGAGACAGTCTCACTCTATCACCCGGGCTGGAATGCAGTGGCGTGATCTCCGCTTACTGCAAACTCCACCCTGAGTTTAAGAGATTCTCGGCCAGGCATGGTGGTGGCGGTGGCTCACGCCTGTAATCCCAGGACTTTGGGAGGCTGAGGCGGGTGGATCACAAGGTCAGGAGATTGAGACCATCCTGGCTAACACGGTGAAACCCCATCTCTACTAAAAATAAAAATAATAAAAAAAATTAGCAGGGCGTGGTGGTGGGCGCCTGCAGTCCCAGCTGGAGTCTGAGGCAGGAGAATGGCGTGAACCCAGGCGGCGGAGCTTGCAGTGAGCCGAGATTGTGCCACTGCACTCCAGCCTGGGTGACAGAGCGAGAGTCCATCTCAAAAAAAAAAAAAAAAGAGAGATTCTCGTGCCTCAGCCTCCAGCGTAGCTGGGATTACAGGCATGGACCACCATGCCCAGCTAATTTTTTTGTATTTCTGTAGAGACAGGGTTTCTCCATATTGGCCAGGCTGGTCTCGAACCCCTGACTTCAAACAATCTGCCCACCTCAGCCTCCCAAAGCGCTGGGATTACAAGCATGAGCCACCGCGCCCGGCCAGCATATGTTTTCTTAAAGGGCAAATAGTAAATATTTTAGGCCAGGAGCAGTGGCTCCCGCCTGTAATCCCAACACTTTGGGAGGCCAAGTGGGAAGATGGCTTCAGACCAGGAGTTTGAGACCAGCCTGGACAACATAGTGAAACCCCATTTCTACAAAAAAAAATTTTTTTTAATGAACTCAGCCTGGTGGCTCATGCCTGTGGTCCCAGTTACTTGGGAGGCTGAGGTGGGAGGATCACTTGGGCCTGGGAGGTGGAGGCTGCAGTGAGCCGTGATCACACCACTACACTCCAGCCTAGGTGACAGAGTGACACCCTGTCTCAAAAAAGCCAAACAAACAAACAAAAAGCCCACACAAATAAATAAATAAATATGTTCTACTTTGTAGGCCAGATGGTCTCGGTGGCAACTACTCAACTCTGGTGTGAAAGCAGCCGCAGACAATTTGAATGAGCCTGGCTGTGATTCAATAAAACCTTATTTCCAAAAATCGTCCTCCAGCACGTGCCCCATAGTTTGCCAACTCCTGGGTTAGAAAAGTTTTCTGCTGTGCACAGTGGCACGTGCCTATAGTCTCAGCTACTCGGGAGGCTGAGGCAGGAGGATCACCTGAGCCCAGGAATTCCGGCTGCAGTGCACTATGCCAATCAGGTGTTCGCACTAAATTCAGCATCAATATGGTGGCCTCCACCAGGTTGCCCAAGGAGGGGTGAACCGGCCCAGGTGGGAAAAGGGACAGGTGAAAATTCTCATGCAGGTCAGTAACGAGATCGCGCCTGTGAATAGCCACTTGCACTCCAGCCTGAGTGACAGAGTGAGACGCTGTGTTTTTTCTTTCTTCTTTTTTTTCTTTTTGAGAGAGGGTCTCACTCAGTTGCCCAGACTGGAGTGCAGTGGAATGATCTTGGCTCACTGCAGCCCCCATCTCCTGGGCTCAAGCCATCCTCCCACCTTAGCCTTCCAAGTAGCTGGGACTACAAGTGCACACCACCACGCCAGGCTAATTTTTGTATTTTTTCTAGAGACAGACTTTTGCCATGTTGCCCAGGCTGGTCTTGAACTCCTGAGCTCAAGCGATCCACCCATCTTGGCCTCCCAAAGTGCTGGGATTACAGGCATGAGCCACTGCACCCAGCCTGAGACCCTGTACTTAAAAAAAGAAACAACGACAAAAAACAGCTTTCCCCACAGCCGTAGCCATGTACCTGGCATGGGCTCTGCTAGACCTGTGTGGCCCTAAAACTGGAAGAGATGAGGATTTCTGGGACTAGGGTCCTGAGCCTGTTGGAGCCGAGGGGAGGTGCAAAAGAGCCGAAAGTTGTGAGGAACAAATTTGACAAACACAGAAGCTCGAATCAGCAACCTCCCTGTGCAGGGGTGGGAGCCATTCAAAGCTCTTCCATTCATCATTTAAACTTTTCAGTGTCGAAAATCTTGTCATCTGCAAAACAAAACACCCATGCTCAATGGCTCCCTCGCCACAAAGAAGCCCAGGACGTTCTGGCATTTGATCAACAAGAAGCCAGAGCCCAGATTTCTGGAAATGCCTTTTGGGCAGAGCATCCTGGTTTGTTTCTCTGTCACCAGTGAGAGATAAAAGCAGCTCTAGGTTTCAGGGGAATCTCAGCCTTTTGTGGCATGGCGGGTCGCCAGCGCCACCCGAGCAAGGAGCTGCAGGCCTCGAGATCCAGCAGCCCACAGCGTGGGGAACCCAGTGATGTCCCAGGGAATCCCAGGGTCCCCCGCCCCGCAGCTTCTCCCTGCCCAGCCCCCACAGTGAAGTAGAGGAAGAGGCCAAGCATACCTGCTTAAGATGAGGTCCAAGAGGGAAGGGCCAGTGGGACAGGAAGAGCTGGACTCCTCCTCCTGGCCAGGCTTGATTTATTTCCAGTCTCCTCGAATTTAGGAAAGAGACTCAAAATAAATGCCCCAAAGTCCATAGCCTTCCTTGCCCTTTAGCTTGGGAGAGGCAGAGGTCAGGCTGAGTTGCTGCCTCAATGCCTGCAGACCCTGGCAGGGAAGGGAAGGAAGGGGAGGGTGGTCACCCTGGAGGGTGGGCCTGTGCTGACCTGGGGAGCCCATGCCCCACCTGAAGGGCCAACGGGAATGTGCCAGAACGTGGTCCACTGCTACCAGTGTCCTGTTTTTCCAAGGAAAGCTCCAGATTCAAATGTAGATGTGAAATTTCCAGATTTTTTTAATGTTATCTCAAAAATTGTTTTAATTCTGTATAGGCCACACAGCTACTGCGTCTACAGACTGCATTCAGCCGTGCACATGCCACCACTCTGCATCTTTTTTTTTTTTTTTTGGCTGCTTCTTGCAGAGCAGGGCTAATTCATAGGCATTGTGCCCACAGTAGCCTGCATCTTCTGGTCTATAAAAAAGAAAAGAAAAAAAAATGCCCCAGGTGGCACAGGAAGCCAGGGAATAGGAGGGGAAGACTCTGGCTCAC
Source organism: Homo sapiens (assembly GCF_000001405.40). Classification (NCBI taxonomy): domain Eukaryota; kingdom Metazoa; phylum Chordata; class Mammalia; order Primates; family Hominidae; genus Homo; species Homo sapiens. The sequence goes on along the minus strand of NC_000017.11, from coordinate 78,369,226 downwards.
CTGATTGCACCTTTTGAATGCTGACCTATGGGGCTGTCTTAGGTATTCACAAACTATGTTTTCAATTTGCAAAGTTCCACAAATGCCTGAACCACCTCCCACAGGTAGAATTAAATGGGTTCTTTTCTCTCTTTTTTTTTTTTTTTTTTTTTTGAGACAGTCTCACTCTGTCCCCCAGGCTGGAATGCAGTGGCACTATCTCAGCTCCGCTGCAGCCTCTGTCTCCCCGATTCAAGAGATTCTTCCACCTCAGCCTCCTGAGTAGCTGGGACTACAGGTGCGCGCCACCACTCCCGGCTAATTTTTGTATTTTTAGTAGAGAAGGGGTCTCACCATGTTGGCCAGGCTGGTCTTAAACTCCTGACCTCACGTGATCCACCTGCCTCGGCCTTTCAAAGTGCTGGGATTACAGGCGTGAGGCACTCCTCCTGGCGAAGTGGGGTCTTCTTAGCTCAGCTCACAGCCACTTCAGCTTGAGCTGGAAGCAGGGGGCTAAGGCCTTTGGGGAGTGAGAGGGAGAGTGAAGTAGAAGTGAATGGGAAAAGACAGTGGGCAGCAGAGGCCCGGGCATGTGGCACCAGGAGAATGCCTGTCCCACCAGCAGGCCCTCCCTGCCTCTGCCAGCTCTCCATCCTCCCCTCCCCTGTGTATGCCACCGAGTGGCCTGGAGGGAGGCCAGACGAGCCTGTGTGTGGGGAAAGCCTGGGAGTCTAGTCAACCAACCTGGGCACCAGCTGGAGCTCTGCCACGATCTGACTGGGAGACCTCGCACCAGGCAGGGACCTCTCTAGACCTCAGCTTCCCATCAGCCTACGTGTGTTACTTCTTCAGGGAATCCCCCTTGGTTGTCCCCCCAATAGATTAGGTCTCCCCATAATAGGCTCACATAGCTCCTGGGACTTCTTCATAGTATGCAGCACAGTCAAAATTAATCAATCCCGATATAATTCTGGAAGAATCTTGTCCTTCTGGAAAAACATCTAAGCTCCATGAGATCCGAGACTGATAAATTTCTGGCACCTAACTCAATCCCTGACACATAGCAGGTGCTCAATAAATATCTACTCAAGGCCAGGTGTAGTGGCTCATGCCTGTAATCCCAGCACTTTGGGAGGCTGAGGTGGATGGATCAGAAGGTCAGGAGGCTAGCCAATATGGTGAAACCCCGTCTCTACTAAAAAATACAAAAATTAGCCGGGCGTGGTGGCAGACGCCTGTAGTCCCAGCTACTCAGGAGGCTGAGGCAGGAGAATCACTTGAACCGGGAGGCAGAGGTTGCAGTGAGCCAAGATTGTGCCACTGCACTCCAGCCTGGGCGACAGAGCAAGACTCTGTCTCAAATAAATAAATAAATAAATAACTACTCAAGGAATAAATGGTAGTATAAAATAAGTGTTATGGCTGGGCACAGTGGCTCACGCCTGTGATCCCAGCATTTTGGGAGAGCGAGGCCAGTGGATTGCCTGAGCTCAGGAGTTCGAGACAAGTCTGGGCAACATGGCAAACACCGTCTCTACCTAAAAATACAAAAAATTAACCAGGCGTGGTGGTGTGCACCTGTAATCCCAGCTACTCAGCAGGCTGAGGCAGAAGAATCGCTTGAACCCCAGAGGCAAAGGTTGCAGTGAGCTGAGATTGCGCCCCTGCACTCCAGCCTGGGCAACAGATTGATACTGTGTCAAACAAAAAACAAGTGTTGCAGGGGCAAGAAGTGACTCCAGGCAGGTCCTGCAGCCCCCAGGGGCCTGACCCTCCACCAGCATTTTGTTTGCAATTATCGGGGGAGTGGCTGTTGGGGGAGTATGAAACCTGGGAAGGGGCAGTTCACATGCTCCAGGTTAAGAAACTCTGAACAACACCAGCCTAAGGCCCAGTGAGTACAGTGCCGGCAAGGGGGAGGGAGGAAGGAACACGTGGGGATAGCTGCCCCAGTTTCACCTTAGACGCCTTAGAGTCTCACCTTCTTGTCCTTGGTGGAGGCTCCAACCCCACTTCTTCTAGCCCACTTCTCTGCCTTCAAAGTTGGTTCAGGATCTTGGGAGCCAGAGAGAGGGTATTATTTTCTTTTTTTCTTTTGCTTTTACATTTTTCTTTTTTTTGAGACGGAGTTTTGCTCTTGTCGCCCAGGCTGGAGCGCAATGGCACAATCTCAGCTCACTGTAAATCTCCACCTCCCAGTTTGAAGCGATTCTCCTGCCTCAGTCTCCTGAGGGGCTAGGATTACAGGCATGCGCCACTGCGCCCAGCTAATTTTGTATTTTTAGTAGAGACAGGGTTTCACCATGTTGGCCAGGCTGGTCTGGAACTCCTGACCTCAGGTGATCCACCAGCCTTGGCCTCCCAAAGTGCTGGGATTACGGGCGTGAGCCACCACACCCAGCCTATCATTTTCTATTTGAACTTGCCCAAGAATCAGTGCACGGCACAGTGCATACCAGGGGTGCTTCACACTGCGGAGGAGGCAGGGACTTCCCAGAGGGTGAGAGGCTCAGAAGGAAGCCTGCGCCCGGGCTGCAGGAGCTTGACCAGAGGCTGCAGGCACACCATGGTCATGAGGAGCACCTGCCCCAGAGCCCCAGGAGAGTCAGGGCACCTGACCGTGACCACTTGGCTCCAGCAGCCAGCCCAACTGCAGTATTGCAGGGCGAGCCGAACAGCTGCACTCAGCTGGTCCCCCACCAGCTCCTGCCTCTCCAAGGGCGCCTGGGCCCAGGACATCCCAAGAGGCACGTCTCCCAGAGACAGCATGGCCTCCTCGCCCCCTCCCGGGCTCTCCCCGTCCTGGGCACTGCCTCGTCTGCATTGCCGCCCAGATGGTTCACCACAGCCTCACTTCCCAGAACTGCCCTGCTGCCCTGATGTCTGTTCCCGCAGCTGCTTCAGGGCAAATAAAAACTCTTCCCACCCCAGCCTCGGACAGAGCAGCATTTGTCGGTTTGGGGTCAGAGGAGATATTGGCTAGGAGCTAACTCCTCACTCCCCACCCTCCAACTCCAAACTTGTAGCAGATGTGGATTCCTTTTTGACAAAGTGGGAAGAAACTTTCCTCCTCTTCTCACTGCGCCCCCAACATTTCATCCTCTCTGCACCCTCCTAGAGTCACCCCCCACTTACCCACTCTCACCCTCTCAACACTTCCCAGGGCCCCTCTGTGGGTGGAGGAATGGGCCCCCCAGGGCAGGGGTCCTGGCACTCCGGCCCAGCCCAATCCCCAGAGGGAACGAGGAATCCGAGAAGGCGGGCAGTGGGTAGGTGGGTGGGTCCCTCAAGTGTTTTCTTTCCCCTCCCCTCCTCGAAGTTTTTCTGGGAAATGCCAGAGGCCGGCTGGGCCTGGAATGTCAGGCTTGAAAGAACTCCTCCACTGCCTCTTAGACATCGGAGCCACAAACCTTTTTATTAGCTCCGGGGGCCCTCCTGGCGGGAACAAAGGCCTGCAAACAGGAATGCCATTGTCCCTGCCTCCCTTGGCCCGCCCCTATGCGAAGCAGGAAAGAGAGGGCTCGGGGTCAACCTGGTCTGAGACCTGTGAACTCTTCCCCTGCTCCGGAAAGGTCATCTGGGCCATAGTCCTGCAGGCTGCAAGGTTAGTCCCACGGGCCATCCCAGTGGGTAAGAAAAGAAGCCAGGGCTGCAGCCGAGGAGGGCTGGGGTGCGGCAGAGCTGAGCACCCCAGGTAGCCCAGCCCTAGGTTCCAGGCCTCAGCCCTGGGAGAGCCACACTGGAGCAGCAGGCAGGGCTTCCAGGAGGTCAGATGAGAGACAGGTCCCCCACCATCTCCTCCAAATTGGCCAAGAGAAAGGGGGACAGAAAAGAAGAGGCCTCCCTGCCTCCTCCCCTTGCCTCTAGACACCAACGCCGGACCTGAAGCTCTAGAAGGGAGGGAAGCTGATTGATTTCCCCACCGTGTATCCCCAGGTGTGGCAGGCTAGCTCACAGGCAGAAGACGCACAGTCAACGGCAGGCACTGGGCAGTCCAGCCCCAGCTGCCTCCTTGCGCTGTAGAATGCCCAGCAGTGTTAAAGACGGGGAGGCCTTGGGTTTGGCATTTAGCAACGCTGTGGTCTGAGGCCGGCATCCCGACCCGTCTACTGCAGATGCAGCCACCAACAATGGCAACCTCAGCATCCGCCCCCGGGTCGGCGAGCCTGTGTTCACCAAGCCATGCCACGGCTTCCCGCGACCACCCCGCGGCGCCAGGTTTCCTTCCCATCCATGAGATTTGGGGAAGGGCTCAGCATCTGTCACACACCATGAGTAAGTGGAGCCCTACAGGCAGCTGAAACCACTGTGTACTTCCCCTCCATCATGAATGAATATCTTTATTATCTTTATGACCAAGCACCTTTGCCTGGAAATGGGATTGTGACTTCGCAGAAATTCTGCAAAGGGAGAGATTAGGAAAAGGCAAAAGTCTCCTAAATCCCTTAGACGGGAAATCAGGAGGGCAGAGCAGAGGGGCCAGATCTCCCCTCGACCCCCCCAGCAGAGGGAAGATAAGAGCAAGCAAGCCTGCGACTCTCTGGCTCTGGCTTCTCTCAGCCGGGGTCCCTGCCTGGAAGCAGCTCTGGAGCGTACCCTGTAAAGGCCCAGGTGTCTCCACCCACATTTTCAGAAACGTTTTCGTCTTCATTCCTTTGTCTTCAGATTAACAGGCCTCTAATCTCCAGCGAGCCATGGATGGGGCTTCCCAGCACTCACACCCTCTATCCCATCTGTATAGCTCCTGAGCCCTGCATGGAAAACCAAAAAGTACTCTAGAAGAAAGCAGGTTGTGGTCTCTAAAAACAATGGAAAGAAGTCAACATCATCCTTGACTTAGAGATTCATTCTACGTACCAGGTTCCAGTCTTAAAAAGAAAAAAAAATCAAATATAGTCTGTTTCCCCAAGATCCTCACTGGAGATATAGTCAGAACATTTTGGTTAATGCAAAAAGAGCTACCTGGAAGTTTAGAGTGTCTGCCTTTTTCCGTCTTTTTTTTGGAGACAGAGTCTCACTCTGTCTTCCAGGCTGGAATGCTGCGGCACAATCATAGCTCACCGCAGGCTCTACCTGCTGGGCTCAAGCGATCCTCCCACCTCAGCCTCCTGAGTAGCTGGGACCACAGGCGCGCACCACCATGCCCGGCTAATTTTTAAAATTTTTTGTAGAGATGGAGTCTCCACTATGTTGCCCAAGCTGGTCTCAAACTCCTGAGCTCAAGCAATCCTCCCACCTCGGCCTCCCAAAGTGCTGGGATTACTGGCACGTGCCACCACGCCCAGCCCGTCTGCCAAATTTTAAAGGAAAAGTAGAAATCAGCCAAGGTGTGGAAGGTAGTTCCCTCCTTGTCCCCAGACAGGGAAGCAAATGTGCAGAAACCCAGGACTGAGGAACGTTACCTTCTGGACAGCTTGGAGCTCCATGTAGCTAGAGCACGAGGCACCAGTCGCTGAGGCAGTGGCAGCCGATGAAACTGACATGGAGCAGCGTGGGACACACACTGCACCGAGGAGTCTGGATTCATCCAGAAAGTGATGGGAAACCATGGGAGAGATTAGAATGCCAAAGGGAAGGCCAGGCACGATGGCTCATGCCCGTAATCCCAGCACTTTGGGAGGCCAAGGCAGGCGGATCACCTGAGGTCAGGAGTTCGAGACCAGCCTGGCCAACATAGCGAAACCCTGTCTCTACTAAAAATACAAAAAAATTAGCCAGGCATGGTGGCACATGCCTGTAATCCCAAGTACTCGGGAGACTGAGGCAAGAGAATCACTTAAACCTGGGAGGCGGAGGTTGCAGTGAGCCGAGATGGCACCACTGCACTCCAGCCTGGGTGACAGGTGGGACTCCGTCTCAAAAAAAAAAAAAAGAAGCTTGGTGGCTGGCTGACCTGTTTCAAGACAAGCAGCTTTTTGGAATGTATCTTCCATAGGAGATGTACGGTTCCCCAAAACAAGGCAGCTTACATCCATAGCCAACCCTATGAGCCCAAGCTGCAGCAGCTCAGCTCACTCCTCCCTCTCCTCAAAGCCTCCCCAGTGCTTTCAAAATCATGACAGTTAATATGCATTGAGCACTTCCTATGTGCAAGGCACCACTCTAAGCATTTTGCATGTGGGAGCTCCAGACAACTCAGTGAGGTAGGTACTACTCTCCAACCATTTTACAAATAAGGAAACCGAGGCACAGCTGGTAAGGCAGATTGCCTAAAGTCACACAGCTACTGGGTGATAGAGCCCGAACAGCAGTTGGATCTCCTGCTGAGATGAGCAGGCAGGGAGCCCCGCACCTCCCACCTCACTCATCACCTGGGGGCTCCATGCCGATTGCCTTGGCCATCTCCCCCTGCAGGATTCACCCAGCACTTCTGTCTTCCAGCACTTCGCCCTGTGCCTGGCAAAAGCAGGCTCTCGGCAGAGGTTTATGGAATGGATGAATGAACTTGACTTGTGTCAGAGCATTGTAATTTACAAAGCACTTTCTCATCCATTACCTCAAGGGCTATTCCTTGAGTCTTCTTTGTCTTCCACTGGGCTCTACCCAGAAGTGTATGGTCATGCAGCCACGTAACACTGAATGGATGAGAAAAAGAATGAACTGATTACAGAGAGAAGGAGAATCCATTTCATTACCCTGCAAGCATTGTGAGGGCAAAGACCAGGTCCTACTCATCATTATATATCAATGCCCAGCCCAGTGCCTGGTGCATGGAGCTCAATATTTGTGAAATGTGTTGAATAAACCAGTTTCCTCCTCTGCTCTCCTGATAGGCTGGAGGGAGAGTTGAACTAACTGGGTTACTTCTATTTCTATCACGCTTTGATGTGCAGAATCTTTTTTTTTTTTTAATTTCAAATCTCTTATGGCAAAAGGTTCTTTTTCTTTCTTCCTTTTCTTTTCTTTCTTTCTTTCTTTTTTTTTTTTTTTTTTTTTTTGAGACAGAGCTCTGTCGCCAGGTTGGAGTGCAATGGCGCGATCTCGGCTCACCACAACCTCTGACTCCCTGGTTCAAGCGATTCTCCTGCCTCAGCCTCTCAAGTAGCTGGGATTACAAGCATGTGCCACCACACTCAGCTAATTTTTGTATTTTTAGTAGAGACGAGGTTTCACCATGTTGGCCAGGATGGTCTCGATCTCCTGACCTCGTGATCCACCCGCCTCAGCCTCCCAAAGTGCTGGGATTACAGGCATGAGCCACCATGCCCGGCCCTTTTTATTTCATTTTATTATTATTTTTTTTAACAGGGTCTCACTCTGTTGCCCAGACTAAAGTGCAGTGGCACGATCATGGCTCACCGCAGCCTTGACCTCCCTGACTCAAGCGATCCTTCCACCTTGGCCTCCCAAGCAGCTGGGACTACAGGCACAGGCCACCACTCCTGGCTAACTTTTTTCTATTTTTTGCAGAGATGGGGGTGCTCACTTTGCTGCCCAGGCTGGTCTTGAATGTCCATGCTCAAGTGATCCTCTCGCCTCCGCCTGCCAAAGGGAAGGAAAAGGTTCTGGCTCCAGTTTTACAGGTGGCAAAACGGAAGCCCAGAGAAACTGTGTGTCTTGTCCAAATCTCACTGAGTCCCCAGCACATGCTGGGGAGAGGTGATGGCACGGACTGAGGATACAGTGGCAAAGGCAGTGCGCACCTATCAATTCCAGGGCCGGCAAAAGGGCCAGTTCTGGGTTCTGGCATCCCAAGCTCCCTGTCCCTGGCGGCAGTCTCTTCCTTCCCTTTCAGCACCTCATTATCCTGGTATCTAGGAAGAGCGCAGGGCCCCAGGCCCACAGCGTCTGCATCCCGAGAGGTGAAAATCTAAATGCCACTGAGGCAGCTCTCGGGTGTCCCCAGCACCACACAGCCCATTTGGGGACAAGATGACAAAACTTGCCATCCTTCATAAGGCTGGCCCCGGGTCTCCAAGCCCAAACTATCTACGTCAGTGCCAACGTGACCAGCAGCAAACCAATCTTTCACCTCAATCACTTCCTCTCCTCCCCTCTACCCCCTCCCCGCCAGTGATCAAGTCCTCCCCCACCCCAAGAGAGGCAGGGGGTCACATTCCAGGGGGTGTGGGCCATCTGGCAGTAGCCTGAACCCCGGAAAACTGCTTTCCGGAAATTCTCTCCTGCTAGAATTTTATTCCCAGGTCTGACCCCAGCCTGGGGTGTGAATGCCCCCTTCTCGGCCACCTTTCCAGCTCCGGAGACAGCCATTCCCGCAGATCCCTGGCGTGCCTATTCCAAGGCCTGGGCCGCGCAGCACCAAACTGCCCTCCCCTAGGAGACCCCAGGGCGCCCTCTGGCGGACGCGGGCCGTAGGTTGGGGCCATCGTTCCACCTCGAGCTCTCCAGCCCGGCCGAGAGCACCTGGCCCAACCCACACCGGACCAACCAGGTTTGCAGACCCCAGTGCATGAAAGCGTTTTCATAGGGGAGGGGAGGGGGGCTCCACACTCGCGTCAGGGTTGGCAAAGAACCTGGCAGTGGGCCGAGGCTGGGTAGCTGCCACGAAGGGGCGTCCCCTGCAGCCCTGGGTCTCCCCTCTGGAATCTGCCCGCAGGTGACTGTCGCACGTCTCCAACCTCCGGCTCCCGGGTCTGACCCCAGCCCCGCTGCCTGGCTGTGGGGTAGCCCCACTTCCCTTTCGGCTGGCCCGGGCCGCCTGACCCGCAGTTGGGCCCTCGGGGAGGCCCGGGTGGCGGCGAGGGGGTGTCCCCGCGGGGTCCGGGAAAAGGGGAAGGGGAACCGGGAGGCTCTCCAGGTCGGCCTCCTAGAACTGCCCGCTCTCCCGAAGCGGCGCCCCCGCCTCTGCCAGAAATCAGCCTTCTTAGAAGGGAGGGGGGTGGGGGGAAAGTGTGAATGAGAAGTTGGGGGCGGAGCGCGCGGCGGGGAGGGGCCGCTGCCAGGAACGCGCCGCCGGGGCTGGCGCCGCGCCCACCGGCCGCCTCGGCCGCCTCTCGTCGCGCTTTGTCTCCGCGCGCGTCCCTCCCGGTCCCTGCCCCTGCTCGCGGCCCGCCCTCGGCGCCCGCGGCCCCTCCCTCACCCTCCGCGCTCAGCCTTTCTCTGCTGCGAGTAGTGACTAAACATTACAAGAAGGCCGGCCGCGCAGTTCCAGGAATCGGGGGGCGGGGCGCGGCGGCCGCCTATATACCCGCGAGCGCGGCCTCCGCGGCGGCTCCGACTTGGACTCCCTGCTCCGCTGCTGCCGCTTCGGCCCCGCACGCAGCCAGCCGCCAGCCGCCCGCCCGGCCCAGCTCCCGCCGCGGCCCCTTGCCGCGGTCCCTCTCCTGGTCCCCTCCCGGTTGGTCCGGGGGTGCGCAGGGGGCAGGGCGGGCGCCCAGGGGAAGCTCGAGGGACGCGCGCGCGAAGGCTCCTTTGTGGACTTCACGGCCGCCAACATCTGGGCGCAGCGCGGGCCACCGCTGGCCGTCTCGCCGCCGCGTCGCCTTGGGGACCCGAGGGGGCTCAGCCCCAAGGACGGAGACTTCGATTCGGGACCAGGTAGGAAGGAGGAGCGCGGCGTGGGGAGGGGTCTCGCTCAGTCCCGGGAGCTTTTCCCGGTTTCCCCTCCCCTTCCCGGGTCATTCCCGGCAGGGAGGTGACGAGGTAGGGGCAGAGCGGATGGAAGCCGGAGATCCCAGGTTCCCGGAATACTCCGGCTGGGGCCTTCGGGCTTCTCCTGTCCCCTCCCTACCCCCGTGCCTCGGGTTTCTCCCTCCGTCCACACCGCCCGGGGCTACTGGACTGAGCGGCGCCCAGGCAGTCCCGGGGGCCCTTCTCCTGCTCCCCACCCGGCCACACTCCTGGAGACCTAACTTCCGCGCGCGAGTTTCCCACGCTGCGCCCTTGCAGTGCGCGCCTGGGAAGGGGCTGCCCGGGGCCACCCTGCCGGCAGGGGCGGGAGCCGTGCGGGCTCCGTGAGGCGCCTGGATCGGAGCGCGGGCCCAGGAGAGGGCCCCCGGGGCAGTGGGTGCCCCAGTCGCTCGGCGAAGGCAGGGGAGCCGGGGCGGGCCGGGCGCGCTGGAGGGTTCCGGGCACTCAACGCGCTCGCGCCTTCCTCTCCGCAGCCCCCCGGGATGCGGTAGCGGCCGCTGTGCGGAGGCCGCGAAGCAGCTGCAGCCGCCGCCGCGCAGATCCACGCTGGCTCCGTGCGCCATGGTCACCCACAGCAAGTTTCCCGCCGCCGGGATGAGCCGCCCCCTGGACACCAGCCTGCGCCTCAAGACCTTCAGCTCCAAGAGCGAGTACCAGCTGGTGGTGAACGCAGTGCGCAAGCTGCAGGAGAGCGGCTTCTACTGGAGCGCAGTGACCGGCGGCGAGGCGAACCTGCTGCTCAGTGCCGAGCCCGCCGGCACCTTTCTGATCCGCGACAGCTCGGACCAGCGCCACTTCTTCACGCTCAGCGTCAAGACCCAGTCTGGGACCAAGAACCTGCGCATCCAGTGTGAGGGGGGCAGCTTCTCTCTGCAGAGCGATCCCCGGAGCACGCAGCCCGTGCCCCGCTTCGACTGCGTGCTCAAGCTGGTGCACCACTACATGCCGCCCCCTGGAGCCCCCTCCTTCCCCTCGCCACCTACTGAACCCTCCTCCGAGGTGCCCGAGCAGCCGTCTGCCCAGCCACTCCCTGGGAGTCCCCCCAGAAGAGCCTATTACATCTACTCCGGGGGCGAGAAGATCCCCCTGGTGTTGAGCCGGCCCCTCTCCTCCAACGTGGCCACTCTTCAGCATCTCTGTCGGAAGACCGTCAACGGCCACCTGGACTCCTATGAGAAAGTCACCCAGCTGCCGGGGCCCATTCGGGAGTTCCTGGACCAGTACGATGCCCCGCTTTAAGGGGTAAAGGGCGCAAAGGGCATGGGTCGGGAGAGGGGACGCAGGCCCCTCTCCTCCGTGGCACATGGCACAAGCACAAGAAGCCAACCAGGAGAGAGTCCTGTAGCTCTGGGGGGAAAGAGGGCGGACAGGCCCCTCCCTCTGCCCTCTCCCTGCAGAATGTGGCAGGCGGACCTGGAATGTGTTGGAGGGAAGGGGGAGTACCACCTGAGTCTCCAGCTTCTCCGGAGGAGCCAGCTGTCCTGGTGGGACGATAGCAACCACAAGTGGATTCTCCTTCAATTCCTCAGCTTCCCCTCTGCCTCCAAACAGGGGACACTTCGGGAATGCTGAACTAATGAGAACTGCCAGGGAATCTTCAAACTTTCCAACGGAACTTGTTTGCTCTTTGATTTGGTTTAAACCTGAGCTGGTTGTGGAGCCTGGGAAAGGTGGAAGAGAGAGAGGTCCTGAGGGCCCCAGGGCTGCGGGCTGGCGAAGGAAATGGTCACACCCCCCGCCCACCCCAGGCGAGGATCCTGGTGACATGCTCCTCTCCCTGGCTCCGGGGAGAAGGGCTTGGGGTGACCTGAAGGGAACCATCCTGGTACCCCACATCCTCTCCTCCGGGACAGTCACCGAAAACACAGGTTCCAAAGTCTACCTGGTGCCTGAGAGCCCAGGGCCCTTCCTCCGTTTTAAGGGGGAAGCAACATTTGGAGGGGATGGATGGGCTGGTCAGCTGGTCTCCTTTTCCTACTCATACTATACCTTCCTGTACCTGGGTGGATGGAGCGGGAGGATGGAGGAGACGGGACATCTTTCACCTCAGGCTCCTGGTAGAGAAGACAGGGGATTCTACTCTGTGCCTCCTGACTATGTCTGGCTAAGAGATTCGCCTTAAATGCTCCCTGTCCCATGGAGAGGGACCCAGCATAGGAAAGCCACATACTCAGCCTGGATGGGTGGAGAGGCTGAGGGACTCACTGGAGGGCACCAAGCCAGCCCACAGCCAGGGAAGTGGGGAGGGGGGGCGGAAACCCATGCCTCCCAGCTGAGCACTGGGAATGTCAGCCCAGTAAGTATTGGCCAGTCAGGCGCCTCGTGGTCAGAGCAGAGCCACCAGGTCCCACTGCCCCGAGCCCTGCACAGCCCTCCCTCCTGCCTGGGTGGGGGAGGCTGGAGGTCATTGGAGAGGCTGGACTGCTGCCACCCCGGGTGCTCCCGCTCTGCCATAGCACTGATCAGTGACAATTTACAGGAATGTAGCAGCGATGGAATTACCTGGAACAGTTTTTTGTTTTTGTTTTTGTTTTTGTTTTTGTGGGGGGGGGCAACTAAACAAACACAAAGTATTCTGTGTCAGGTATTGGGCTGGACAGGGCAGTTGTGTGTTGGGGTGGTTTTTTTCTCTATTTTTTTGTTTGTTTCTTGTTTTTTAATAATGTTTACAATCTGCCTCAATCACTCTGTCTTTTATAAAGATTCCACCTCCAGTCCTCTCTCCTCCCCCCTACTCAGGCCCTTGAGGCTATTAGGAGATGCTTGAAGAACTCAACAAAATCCCAATCCAAGTCAAACTTTGCACATATTTATATTTATATTCAGAAAAGAAACATTTCAGTAATTTATAATAAAGAGCACTATTTTTTAATGAAAAACATGACTTGAGCCTTTTCTGCACCCCTGCCCCCCCGCCCCCCGCCCCGTGCCTTGCTTTCTCTTTCACCCACACCCACACTCTGCATCGGAGAGGAGGAAGAGAGCCGCAGAGGGTGGAATCGAATACGTCTCAGCCTTACGTCAGCACGCCTGCCTCGTGTGTCACTGACAAGCTAAGGCAGCCACCTAGACTTACCGAGAGGGGTAATTCCTGCAAGTCTGATTCAGATCTGACCAGAATATGCAAAGCAAGTTCGAAGGAAGCGCTTCAAAGGGCTTGCAGGGAGCAAGCTGAGCTGTGGTCAAAGCTTTTAGAGGCTCCAGGCTATTAGAGGCGCTCTGGTTCCTTGGCAGGGAGTCGTTCCGAGAAAGCCCAGACATGGGGTCCTAGTGGTGACCTATGACCTCAGTCTAGCCAGGTTCACTGGAAGTGGGGGGAGGGGTGGTCCTGAAGCAAATCTTGCATGCAGGTGGAGCCCCACCCCCTCCCCCACCACAGGACCCCAGGCATTCAGGGGCTTCCTGGCCACTGCTCCCCATGCCTGCTTCCCTTCCCCGTTCCTAGGGGCCCCAACCTGAGCAGCGGACAGGATCACCCTCCTCCCAAAAAGCACCCATCTATTCATCTCTCTCTTTTTTTGAAACAGGGTTCGCTATGTTGCCCAGGCTGGTCTCCAGCTCCCGGGCTGAAGGTATCCTCCCCTCAGCCCATCTATTTTTAGTCACTCTCATTTAAACACTAAGGGGCACTTAGAGGTTACCTGGATTAAGCATCCCACCTGCTCCCACAAGGCAGGCATTCTCATCCCCATGTTCTCAGACATGGCCACGTGCCCCATGTGAGCCAGGACTTGGACTGGTCACTTCTGGTGCCTAGATTGGTGCTCAGTAAATATTTGTCAACTAAGTAGGGGCAGCAACTCAGGTTCAGGGAGGTTAAGCAACCTGGCCAAGGGCACACCACTTGGGAATATGGGGAAAACAGGATTGGAACCCAGGAGCATTTGATTTCCAAAGCCCATGCCTCTCTGCCTCTCTATACACTCAGCATATACCTGCCCCCGGAGTGAGTCCCTCCTTAAAAGCCAAGAGGTTAGTACCCTTCCCCCCAACTCTGGGGTTTCAGCACTAGGGTTCTTCTAATAGCAAAAAACGTCTTCTCTCCTGTAATCCAGCACTTTGGGAGGTCGAGGTGGGCTAAGGGCTGGAGCCCAGAAGTTCAAGACCAGCCTGGGCAATATAGCGAGACCCTGTCTCCATTTAAAAAACAGAAACCAAAAACAAAAACAAAACCACCTTCTCTGAGGTATTCTCCTTTCATGCCTCCTTCTCTGATCCCCGTGACCTGACAGCTGGGAAATGAGTGTTAACCCCAAGTCAGGGGCCCTTATCTCTCTCAGATGACACAAATACCAGAGCCTCTTCCTGGCCCCCTTGCACCCAATATACTGCTCCAGGAATCGGGGTCCAAAAGGCAACAGAGAGTAAATAAACAAAGTCGTTTTTCTTTCCTATTTCCTGGGACTTTTGGAGAAAATGACCTGAAGTGACGAGAAGGGGCCAGGCCAGGCACGAGGCGGCTGAGGGGACAGAGCATATGGGAGCCACACCACAGGCATCATGAAGGAACTCCAGACTGGCAATGTAAACCCAGGTAGGGCCACCTTCCCAAAGCACAAGTGCAGGTGAGGGGGCCCAGTGGGGTGTGGCTCCCCAGTGCCTTCCAGAAGGATGATGAGTCTTCCTCGCCCTGGGGTCTGCTGGTCAGCCACCACTGCCTTCAGCTGCACAGAGTTCCCCTTTCACTGGAATAACAGCCATGAGGGAACCGTGAACCTGGGGTCCTTGTACTTTTTTGTTTTTTGAGACAGGGTCTCACTCTGTCACCCAGGTTGGAGTGCAGTGGCGCTATTATAGCTCACTGCAGGTTTGAACTCCCGGGTTTGGGTAAACCTCCCACGTCTGGGTAATCCTCCCACGTCAGCCTCCTGAGTAGCTGGGACTACAGGCACATTATCACCACGGCCAGTTATTTTTAATTTTTAATTTTTTTTTTGTATATTTCGTAGAGACAGGGTCTCGCCATGTTGCCCAGGCTGGTCTCGAACTCCTGAACTCAAGCAATCTGCCAGCCTCAGCCTCCCAAAGTGCTGGGATTACAGGCATGAGCCACTGTGCCCAGCCACTGGGTCCCTGTGCTTGACCCAGAAGGCAGCTGTTTAGCCAGGTTGTCCAGTGTTCACAGAATGCTAGCAAAAGAATTTGATCTTCTCTGGCCAGGGAGGAAGTAGTTCTCCCTGCCCACCCCAGGGAGGTTGAAACTTGGTTTTGTGGAGTTGCAAAGGCAAGAAGACTCATTTCCCTCCTCCAGACCACTGCCCATCCCAACCTTCCTCTGTCTTTCCACTTCTTCTTCTTCTTCTTTTTTTTTTTTTTTTTTTCAGATAGGGTCTAGCTCTGTCACCCAGGCTGGAGTGCAGTGGCAGGATCACAACTCACTGCAGCCTCAACTGCCAGAATACAAGCGATCCTCCCACCTCAGCCTCTTGAGTAGGTGGGACTACAGGCACACACCACCACACCTGGCTAAATTTTGTACTACTTGTAGAGATGGGATCTTGCTATGTTGCCCAGGCTGGTCTCTAACTCCCAAGCTCAAGCAATCCGCCCACCTCGTCCTCTTAAAGCGCTGGGATTTCATGCGTGAGCCACCGCGCCTGGTGTGTCTTTCCATTTCAGATCAGACTGGACCAACCCTTTGGGTTTGCAGACAAGGAAACCGAGACCCAGAGAAGGGAAGCAACATGCTCAAGCCCACACAACAAGCTGCTGGGAAGGCCAGGAAAGAATCTCTCCCCCAGATGACTCTGCTCAGCACCGGCTCCCTTCTCTCCTCATCCCATACCCCATAACAGAAGTCTTTCTGCACTTCTCAATCCTCAGAAGGGAAGACACCCTCCTCTAAGGGACTTAGTCGGGGGCCCTCTGGCCTGGCTGGGGGAGGAGGGGTATTCCTGGCTCCCAGATGTGCTGACAAGTGTCCTGCAGGCAGTGGGCAGCTTCTCCTGGCTTGGGCAGGCACTCGTGCCTCGGCCTGGTTAAAAACAAGGCTGAGGGTCCCCGGCCAACAGAAAGGGGAGAAATCCCCGCTCCCAGCCCTGTGCCCTATTACCTTGCTTCTAGAGCTGTAAGACTCCACCCCAAGAGGCCCTATCCTCTCTCCGGTGGTGCTGTTTTAGGGCAGGCCTCCTGAGGCTAGAGCCAAGAATGGGAAATCTAAGTCCTGCTCTGGGGGAGGGGGGGAAGGAGGCCTCAGACAGGGGAGCCAGCGATGGAAAATCAGCCTGCACGATGTGTCCTAGTCTTAGGAATGAGTAAGGATGTTTGGGAGGGGGCACCGCAAGGGTACCGGGCGGGGGTTGGGCGGAGAGGCAGTCGAGAGTCTATGGGAGTAAGGGACTCCGGTCCCAGGAGCGCGGGGCGGGATGATCGAGGCCGAGGGTGACAGGAGCCCCAGGGCTGGGAGCACCTTCTTGCGCCCCGCCCCCACTCCCCTCCAGATCTGGCGGCCGCCGGGCTGGCGGGCGGGCAGGCGCGTCGCCTCGAGGCCGCCCTCTGCCAGGAAGAGTCACTTCCCGGACACCGCGGGAGCCCTGGCGGAGCTATGCGAAGAATGTCCGCGCCGAGTACGGGGGGTGGCACCTCCCGGGCCCGCATCGCCGCGGCCGCAGCCGCCGCTGCGCCCTGCAGAGCTTGCGCCTCGGGTACGGCCCCGCCACGCCACGCCCCCGCCACGCCCCCGCCACGCCCCCGCCCGCGGAGCGCGGTCGCCGGGGCAACGGGATTACGGGCGGAGAGCGCTGTTTATTCTCAGCCCAGTGCCAGGAAATTCGGCCGGGAGGCTGCCAGGCGCACCTCCCTGGGGTGGGGGGCGGGAGAGGGAGGAGACAGGGTGGACCAGGCCGCGCTGGGCGCGTGGGGGAAGGGGGGAGTCAGGCGTTCGTCACCGGGGGTCACTGACCCCTCCCAGGGGCGGCTGCTCAGAAAGCCTGGACTCTTTCCCGGCCGTGAGTGGGTCAAGTTTTCTTGTCCCAGGGGAGCCGAGAACCCCCTTCAGGTCAGCGGAGCAAACCCACCCCCAACACACGCTCTATTCAGGGAGCCTGTTCTTGGAGCCTCAGCCCTCTCCCCTTCTAGTCACTCATTCATTCACTCGTTCATTCATTCAGCAAATCTCTGTGGAACACATCCCACGGTCAAGGACTGTTCTATATCCAGCAAGACAAGGCCCTGCTCACCCTGCCCTCCAGAGGTTAAGTGGGAGCAACCAGACAATAACGGGTAAATATGTAAATTAAATAAATATAGCCTGTGCCTTGAAGACGCATCTTCAAATCACATTCCCATTACAGCATGCATCCACCCTCAGTAGGGTGGCCAGCTTGTCCCAGTTTAGTTCTGAAAGTCTGGCAAACTAGGACAGTTGGTCTCTGTACCCTCAGGTCCGAACACACCCATTTCAGAGATGGAGAAACTGAGGCCCCAAATCCAAGGACAGCTCTTTCCTTGTCATGGAGCTAGAGAAAGAGCTGGTGGCCCTAACTTAGAATCCTGGGTTCTATGAGCTAAACGCTTTTCATTGCCTGGAGCTCCACCTCTCTGCCCCTCAAGGCCTCTGAAAGCACAGAGGACCACCTACGGCCAGTCCCCCGAGGTGTGCATGAAACTGCTGACTCCCGGACTGTGACCCAGCTCTTCTGAATCCAAAGCCTGAAGACAGCCTTGGAATCTGAATAACCGCCTCCTCAGGTGACTCTGAGACCTCTTGCAGCTGCCTTCAGGGCAGACAAGCCTGGATGCTCCTTTTGTCGTGAGACAGCGCATTTCCTCTTTGTACCTTGACTAAGCCAAAGCTGGGAAATCAGCAGGGAGGGAAGGTTCCGAGCTCGCGGGCCTGTAGGCGGCAAGCATGGACAAGTGCAGCCCTTCCCTCTCCCTGAGCTGGAGGACGGCAGGGCCAAGGGAAGAGGAGGAGGAGGATGCTCCTTCCCCCCGGCACTGAGCCCTCCCAGCTGTGCTGTGCTGGGAACAGGCCAGGCGTTTGTGAAATCCTCGGGTGAGCCTGACCCACTGTCATGAGGACTTGCCTGTGGAAGCTGGTGCCGGGAGGGGGATGGGGGGCTGTTCCCAGAAGCGGGTAGAACTCTGGACTTCCCACTCCTGAGCGCTCTGATTGCAGCACAGCCTTAAGCAACAGTAGCGGCCTGGAAGGCTGGGCTGCAGGCTGGAAGGCTGGGATGCAGCCTGGAAGGAAGGCTGCGCTGCAGGCTGGAACACTGGGTTGTAGGCTTCAGGCTTTTTTTCAGAAAAGAAATTAGGGTTCTGAATGCTAAGACGTTGGGCTCTTCCAGTTAACACCATCACTGCCGGTATTCACAGCACTATTCAGGCCCAGCCTCAGGAAGAGACTGCAAACCCAGATATAAAAAATAAAAATAAATAAAAAACAGCCAGGCGTGAGCCACCGCGCCCGGCTCAAAAAAAAAAATTTAAAAAAAAATAACAAAAAAAATAAAAAACAGAATGCAAGCTCATTATTTACATTACACAAGACGATATATTTCCTCTCTTTCACCTCCCCTCCCCCAAATCTCCAATCATAGTATTTTCCTACAGAAAATGTTATTTAGCGCCTGTAATGTACAGAATGTTGAAGGTACAGACATGAAAAATTAAATCCGGCTGGGCATGGTGGCTCACGCCTGTAATCCCAGCACTTTGGGAGGCCGAGGTGGACGGATCACTCGAGGTCAGGAGTTTGAGACCAGCCTGGCCAACATGGCAAAACCCCATCTCTACAAAAAATACAAAAATTAGCCGGGTGTGGTGGCGGCGCCTGTAATCCCAGCTACTCGGGAGGCTGAGGCAGGAGAATCGCTTGAACCCAGAAGGCAGAAGTTGCAGAGAGCCCAGATGGTGCCACTGCACTCCAGCCTGAGTCACAGAGTGACACACCAAGAAAGAAAGAGAGAGAGAAAGGAAGGAAGGAAGGAAGGAAGAAGGGAGGAAGAGAAGGGAAGGAAGGAGAAAGAGAGAGAAAGAAAATAAAGTGAAAAAAAAAAAACTGAATCCATGAGGACCTGGGTCCTCCAGGAGGTGTCTGTGCTGCACAACTCCAGGGGGTGCTGTTTATATCATGATATGCTCTTTGTAGATGTTGTCCTATGAGGCCATGTGAGAGAGGTGGAGCTGCAGTGTTCCTAAACTTTAGGGTGTATCAGCAGCACCTGATGTTTGCCTGACCCAGGTGTCACCTGGGACCCAGGTGCCCCAGGTGATACCAACATAGGTGGAAACACGGCTCTGGCCACCATGCCTGTTGCTGGACAAAAATAACAATCAGGAAATATTCCAGGCTTCAAGAGACTCACAGTCTGAAAGGGGAACCAGATGTGAAAACCAAGAAGTATCCTAAAAAGGAATGGGTGTAAAAATAAAGTGGTAGACAGGGTACAGCTGGGGGTGCCCAGGAGGAAATGACCTCTAGTGGCTTCCCAGAAGAGGTGATGCGTAAGTTAAGGTGAAACAGCAGGTGTTCCTTCCACAGGCTTGGGAGAATGGGGCATTCTCAGAAACAGGGAAATAGCCCGGAAAAGGGAAACTTTGGGGAACTTCAAGAAGTTTGGTATGTCCCCATGGGCCCATCCATGCCAGACTCATCTTCTAAAAATATTGCTTTCATGATGTCATGCACACAGGCAGCCCATCCCTGTAGGATCTATACTGGTTCCCCCTGGCATTTTCCACTAAGCTGGGTTTCCAAAACCCTTCAACTGTAGCCCCAGTGGGAAGTTTACTCTGCCCCCACTCCACCCCACGCTAGGAGGCAAACTTCTTCCCATCAGGGTGGTCTTCTTCCCTGCCCACCATATTCATCACTTCCCTGCTCACTTGGGATTAGGAGCCCATGTTGGGGTTAGCCCTTCTTCCCAGCCAGCCCCTCCAATTCTCTCTTCTAGTTCTCCCTCTCTGCTGAGGATTTCTCCCTTCCTGCCTCCTCCCTGAAGCCTCCCACACCCTGGAGACCTCTCCTCCCTCCAAATGCATATTATATGTACAGCCTGCACCACTCATTCATCACCCGGTCACATGACTGTCCCCGTCCAAACTGGACTGTGAACTCTCAGATGGAAGAAATTCGCTCTTATTCATCCAATGATTATTAATATATATATATATTTTGAGACAGAGTCTCACTGTGTCGCCCAGGCTGGAGTGCAGTGGCATGATCTTGGCTCACTGCAACTTCTGCCTCCCAGGCTCAAGCAATTCACCTGCCTCAGCCTCCCGAGTAGCTGGGACTACCGCCATGTGCCACCAGGCCCGGCTAATTTTTGTACTTTTAGTAGAGATGGGGTTTGACCATGGTGGCCAGGCCGGTCTTGAACTCTTGGCCTCAGGTGATCCACCCACCTCAGCCTCCCAAAGTGCTGGGAACACAGGTCTGAGCCACCGTGCCCTGCCCAATGATTATTAATTGAATGCCAACTCCGTACCAGGCCCTATATCTTCTGCTTTTTTATGTTCCTCACAAAATCTAGCAGAATGGGTGATGCTTGCTGGAAACTCATCAAACACTGGCTCTGTGGCTGTACAAAAGACAAAATGTTCTTTAAATAATGGGGTTCCTGGATCATTAAAATATCACTTAATTCATAACTTTTTTTTTTTTTTTTTTTTGAGACGGATGGTCTCGCTCTGTCACCAGGCTGGAGTGCAGGAGTGCAATGGCGCAATCTCGGCTCACTGCAACCTCCGCCTCCCGGGTTCAAGTGATTCTCCTGCCTCAGCCTCCTGAGTAGCTGGGACTACAGGCGTGTGCCACCGTGCTCAGCTAATTTTTTTGGTATTTTTAGTAGAGATGGGGTTTCCCCATGTCGGCCAGGTTGGTCTCGATCTCTCGACCTTGTGATCCACCCGCCTTGACCTCCCAAAGTGCTGGGATTACAGGTGTGAGCCACAGCGCCCGGCATCATTCACAACTTTTACTTCCAGAAGCAAACAGGCATCTTTTATTTTTAGTACCATGTGTTTGCATAAATAGCACTTTTGTTTTTTCAAAATGCATTTTAATAGGTGATCTCATTCCGTCCTTCCTCCATGCCTCAGATGTAAGGCAGGTAAAATAAAATATACCACACTTTCCAGATGAGTAAACTAAGCTGTAGAGGAGTTTAGGCTTGCCTCAGATCACAGATAAGCAGTGAGAGAAGCAGAAACGGACCACCTCTCAGCTGATGTCAAATCCAGTGCCCTCTCCACTGTTACTTGCTTAAGTACTGCCCCTCCTACGTGTGAGAACCCTCCCCAGTGCCAGGACCTCTGCTTGGCAGCTACTGTGAAGGCTCCCCCAGGGATCTAAATGACAGCTAGGTCCACTCTTGGCTCTCATCAGAGTCCAGGTCAGCCTGGGGAACAGTCCTGGGCTGCCATTCCGTCCACCCAGACCCTGGGGGGTTGCAGGGAACACCAGAGTCCTCCCAGCTCCTAGCAGGTGGGGAGCCCCAGGTGTTCAGGGCTAGTGCTCCCAATGGATATACAATTCCCAAGGCAACCCCAGCAAGATCTCTGGCCAGCCCAATGTCCAAGGTTTGGCCCGAAGCCTCAGAGAACGCCAGATCCCTCTAACCCATCCGTTCTGGAAACTTGGTGAAGGTGGAGGAGATGACCTCTCTGTTTCCTCCTGTTGTAGAATTCTATGAAAAGGAGGCCGGAGGGACAGGAGCTGGCACCAGGAGGAAGGCAGGCTGATTTTCAAGAGTGGTCCTCTAGCTATTCACTGCCTTTTTTAGTGTCCCTTGGCCACCTGGTGAAAGTAGGCAAGAGGATGTGGTAGAAAGGCTACCCAGAAGAACTCAGAGACCGCCGGCACTGCACAATGCTGGGGGAGGGACAGTGAGGGCTATGGAGCCCTCACTTTGGGGCTTCCCCACCAGACCCCTCAGGCCATCACAGGGCTGGCGCTTGGCTGAGAACTCAGTAAGGACCCTGACCAGGCTCCAGCCAGAGTCCTGGAGTGGAGGGGAGGAGCCCAGGAGAGCAGCCCAGACCCTCCCTCGGGCACCCTTCCAGGCCTCTCCAGTCTAAGAGAAGGAGCTGAGAAGGTCAGCAAACTGGCCCAGCTGCAGCAAGAGACCTTGTGCCCACACCAGGATGGAAACAGAGCTGGTCAGACCTGAGTGGGGGAGGAGAGAGGCCTTCACCTGGGGCCCTGGGGCCCTGGGACCATCAGGCCAGGCTCTGTGGCTGGAAGGAGAGATGCCTGGAGAGGAGTCAATTAAAAGAGCCACCTCTGTAATCCCAGCACTTTGGGAGGCCAAGGTGGGGGGGATCACCTGAGGTCAGGAGTTCAAGACCAGCCTGGCCAACATGGTGAAACCCCATCTCTACTAAAAATACAAAAAAAATTAACTGTTTGTGGTGGTGCATGCCTATAGTCCCAGCTACTTGGGAGACTGAGGCAGGAGAATCGCTTGAAGCTGGGTCGCAGAGGTTGCAATGAGCCGAGATCACTCCACTGCACTCCAGCGTGGTGACAGAGCAAGACTCTAGAAAGAGAGAGAGAAAGAAAGAAAGAGAGAGAGAAAGAAAGAAGAAAAAGAAAGAAAGGAAGGAAGAAGGAAAGGAAGGAAAGAAAAGAAAGAAGAAAGGGAAGGAAGGAAGGAAGAAAGGAAGGAAAGAAAGGAAAGAGAAAGGAAAGAAAGGAAAGAAAGGAAAGGAAGAGAAAGGAAGAGAAAGAAGGAAAGAAAGAAAGGAAAGGAAAGAAAGAGCCAGAGGCCAGGTAGAGGCTGCAGCACCCTCCGCAGGACGCGGCCAGAGATGACTGGAGGACCTCCCAGATGCACAGGGTGTATACACGTTGCTGCATGCACACACCACTCTGCGCATTCTGAGTGCCATGCGTAAAGGTGACGGTTAACACTATCCTGGGGATGTGCACCGGGCACCATCCTTCTGTGGAGCGATGAGTGATAGTGAATCACCCCAGACCAGGTTCCCACTGTGAGCAAAACAGCCAAGCAGGAGACCAACCAAGTAGGATTCAGGGTTCCAAGCTTTCCTCCAGTAGGACAAAGCTGGCCCAGATCAGGATCAAACAGTAATCTTGGCCCTAGAGGCAGGATTCTAGCAACTGAGTCAGCCTGCCCAGAATGTGGGTGCAACTCTGCTTTCTGCTCTCAGGTGTCCCCCTTGCTGGTCTTGAGGGTTCTATGGGAAATAGAAGAGAACTGCATGAGAATGCTATTGGCCTTGATATCTCCATGTCTGTGGAGTAAGAATAAGACAGGTCACCATCCTGAAGCCCTCTCCTTGGCCCCAGCTATGAAAGAAAGAGTTCTCTCGCCCAGCGGGTTTTATTTATTTCACAACACTTTTATGGCTGTGCTTCCAGTGTGCCAAGCACTATTCTAAGCACCTGAAACGTACTGACCCATGGAGGTCTCCAGCAACTCCATGAGTTACGTACTATTCTTGTCCCTATTTTCTCAGTGGGTGAAACTGCAAAACAGGGATGTAATGTAACTTGCCCAAGGTCACACAGCTCACCAGGAGTAGAGCTGGGATCCAAACCTAGGCAGCAGGGCTCCAACGCCCCTGCCTGTGGCCAGGGCCCTCGCTGTGCCTCTTGGCCCAGCCCCACCAAGGCACTGGACATGGGCACTGGAGCCCTGGATCAGGAGAGGACAAGTGGTAAGGGCAGGGTGTGGGAAAGCTGGGCTCCAGTTCCAGATCACTGCTGCTGCCTATGACCCTGGGCAGGCACCCAACCGCCCTGCCTTGTTCCTAATCTATACACGGGGATTTCAATAAAACCTGCTTTAGGCACTGTGGTGAGGATGAGACGAGACCATATCTTGAGTTTGTTATTATTAACAGGGTCTCCCTGGGACCCAGCAAGATTCAGACCCTTCTCATTCATCCGACATCCAAGCTCACCCGCTCTTGTGGGGGGGAATAGGTAGCCGCTTCTTCCAAGGCTCAGCCACTAGGTCTCCGGCTTCCTGTCCGGGTGCGAGGAGGAAGTTGAGGAAGCATTCCTTCCTGTCCCTCCTTGGTCTCTTCCAAGTCTTTTCTTTACGTGCCTCATGCATTTCCCTCTTGTTTTTCCCAGCTGCCCTGTGTTTGACATTTGGTGATTGTATTCCTTTCCTGGGACAGCCGTAACAAAACGCCACAAACTCAGCAGCTTCAAACAACCAAAATGGATTCTCTCACAGCTCTGGAGGCCAGAAGGCCAACACTCAAGGTGTACTGGGACCGTGCTCCCTCTGAAGCCCCCAGGGAAGAATGACTTCCTTGCCCCTGCCAGCTCCTGGTGGTGGCCGGCGGTCCTGCTCGCTCCTTGGCTTGTAGACACATCTCTCCCATCTCTGCCTCCACCACCGCGTGGCCTTCTCTGTGTGTCTGTGTCCAGATTTCCCTCATATAAGGGCATCAGTCATTGGACTGGGGCCATCCTCATACAACATGCTGTTAGCCTTGATCTCCCCAGGCCTGTGGAGTACATCTTAATTACATCTGCAAAGACCCTCTTTCCAAACAAAGTCACATTTGTAGGTTCCATGCAGACATGAATTTGGTGGGGGGGGACGCCATTCGACCCAGTACAGTGGTCCTGTAGGATCTCACATTGAGAACGTTCTTTCTTTCCTTTCGTCTTCCAAGAAAAGCCTAAGAGAGGTCCACTTCCTTGCTGTTGGGTAGAGGGACAAGTGAAATGCCACTTTATGCTCTGCTAAAGACGCCCTGAGCACTGAAGACAGGCTGGAAAGACGCCCAGGGATGGAGCCCAGCAGATGGCCTGGCCACCAGCAGGGCTCAGACGCAGGCTGTGTAGCCAGGGGCGTTCCTCCCCTCTGAGCTACCTGGCGTGGCCTGGCGTGCCCCAGACATTGCCTCACTTAGCTGCGGGATGCTTCCTGCGTTTCTCTGGTGAAGAGCTTCAGTCTTTACAACCTCAGATGACCCCTCACACAAGAAACATCATGCTCTAGAAAGCTTATTTTGAGCTTCCACAGGCAAGGGGGGTGGGAGGTGGAACCGTGGAGCTGGATGTGGGAAGTAGGGACAGTGCCACAGTTCCTTGGCAGCGTCACCTAGGGGAAAGTTGAGGTGATGCCCAAGAGCCAGCCAGCTCTTTCCAAAGCCCTGGAGTATCTGATGGGGAGGTGGAGACCCCATCTCTCAGAAGCTCCTTTCTTTTTTTTTTTTTTTTTTGAAATGGAGTCTCACTCTGTCGCCCAGGCTGGAGTGCAATGGCACGATCTTGGCTCACTGCAACCTCCGCCTCCCGGGTTCAAGCGATTCTCCTGCCTCAGCCTCCCGAGTAGCTGGGATTACAGGTGCCTGCCACCATGCCCGGCTAATTTTGTATTTTTAGTAGAGATGGGGTTTCTCCATGTTGGTCAGGCTGGTCTTGAACTCCCACCCTCAGGTGGTTCGCTCGCCTCAGCCTCCCAAAGTGCTGGGATTACAGGCATGAGCCACCACGCCCAGATAGAAGCTCCTTGCAAATCCATCCACCTGGTTGGAGAGCTGGGCCTTTCATCTGCACTCTTAGTCACTGCACCCTCATCATCGTCAGGCAGCGTGATACAGAAAGCCCTGTCTGGTCTTCAGTAGCTGAAGGGAAGGTTCTCAGCTACTCTCCAAGCCCTCGCCAATCAGGGTCTGCAGTCCCAGCTCTGGGCAGCAGGTAAACGTCTTTCCCGGAGCAGCTCTCTGGGGCACCCAGGTCGGACTTGCAGAGCCTGAGAAAGGAGAGAGGGAGGATGCCAAGAAGGCATGGGGTTATGCCCTTACCTGAACCACAGGAAGGGGACCGCCCTGCCCCAGCATACCGGCAGCTGCTCTTCCAGGGACAGGAAGTCAGCTGAGTACCGAGCAAGCCGCATGCCCATGTGGCTGGGGGGTGGGGGCACCTGGGCAGTCAGCTGGGCCATCCACCACTCTTCCGGGCCACACTGGTTCCCACGCTCATAGGCCAGATGGAGTGGGGATCGGGAGCCAGCGGGGAAACCCAGTTTGCATCCCAGGACTCTAAATCCGCTCCCCATCTGTACAATGGGGATAACAACAGTTCCCGTTTTCTTGGGTGGTTGTGACAGTTCAGTGAGCAAACGCCCATATGGCGTAGTACATGGTGAGTGCTCAGTCAACACTGGCGGCTCTGATGCCCTCCAAAAGGGGCTGAGCCCCTGGACAGCCTTTTTTTTTTCTTGTAAATAACCTGGCATTTAGGTAGTGGCCCAACCTGCTTAGGGAAGAGGAGCCACCTTCCAGGCAGCCTCATCTGGTCTACTAGCTGTCTCAGGAAATCAGTGACAGCACAGCCCCTCCGCCCCCCAGTACACACACACTGGGCCCTGGCAACGGGAGGCAAGTTCTCTCTGAGTCCTCCCTACACCAGGGGCCTCTCTGGCCGGGCAGCCCAACCACAGGACAATCAGGCTTTGGGCCAGGAAGTTACAGTAAGTCAGGCCCGCCCTTCCCCACATGGGGTACCGCTGCTTCCCTGGTCCCAAGCCTCGGCTCCCCTAGAGGAAGAGAAGGGGGATCAAGACCCCTTCTCAACCCTCCCCCACCCCACTGTGCTCTGAATCCCACCCCAAGGACATGCTGGTCTTTCCAGAGATTTTCAGAGGCTGCCTCTTGCTGGCAACTTAGCAGCCCCAGCTGCACAGGGCAGCTGAAGCCGCAACTGAATTTGGGAGGAGAGGCTGACTCACCCCAGCCAGGCTGGGCCTCCGCTAATATTCTTGGGTCGCAGCCTGGGATTCCTGCAGGTTCCGACAATAGGCTGGACCATCCTCTTGTAGGAGGCGGGGTTCAAAGTAACCCCAAGCGCGGGGAGGGGAGCTCTGGCAGGGGCGTCCATGTGTCCAGGACTCTAGGCCTGGGGGTTGGGGGTGACATCGGCACGCCCCCCTCCCCAGGCCTGATGCAGGAGGAAGGAGGTGTGGGACAGGGAAAGAGGACCGCGTTTGGAGTGCACACGGCACATTACATAATTATTCTATTTTAATATAACAAGCCTGGATGGTAGCTATGACTAATCTCTAGTTAATAGGTGAGGAAACCGAGGCCGGGAGAGGTTAAGGAGTTAGGGGTGGGTGGAGGGCCGGTGAGGGGTGGCGGCTGTGACGGGCAGAGCGTGAGGCCAGGCCCCTTGGAAACTCCCCCTCAGCCTCCGTGTCCACCTAAGCTACCAGTGCGGGGCCTGCGGCTGCGGCCCGTGGGCTGTGCAGGCTCAGAGCCCCGGGACCCGCAGGCCCCAGGCCTGCATGTGTGAGCGCAGGAGGCGGGGAGGCAGACACCGCATTTCCACAGGACCCTGCGGGATCAGGGCGCAGACCGGGCGGCGGGGTCCCTCGGGGCCTCCCCTGGCCCCAGCACCTCCCGCCCGCCGCCGCGGGGTTCTTCCAGTCCATGCCAACCTGGCTCGAGCAGGACAAGGTGATCGAGGCTCAGCGGCCCCTGGTCCCCCAGCCCCACGCCCGGCCCGTGGCCATGGCAACCGCTGCGCTGTGGCTCCCTCGCCGGGCAACGGAGAGAGGGGAAGGGAACGCGCCCGGCCGCGCCGCCGGCTGCGAATTCCTCAGGCCTTCCATCAGCCCCGCCGGCCCCGACGGGCTTCCTCGCGGGCTGTGAGGTCAGCGCCCGGCTCCACCCGCCTCGGGCTGGCCCCGCGCCCGGGATCCCGGTCCCGGCCCCGCGCCCCGCCCCCACCCCGCCCGCGGACCCGCCCACCCGGGTCCTCGCGTCCCAGGGCCGGGCCCGCACCCCGCAGCCCCTCCCGGTCCACGCGCGGGCCCCGGCTCCCCGGCGAGTCCTGCAGCTGGGGCGGCCCCTGGCGCCCGCCACCCGGCCGAGCCCTATTTCGGGCGCTGGCGCTGCGGGCCGGGGCAGCCCTGCCCGGAAGGGAGGCTATTCTGGGCCGGGCCGCCCGAGCAGCTGCGGCCCCGGGCTTCCCGGCAGGGTGTGCGGCGCGGGACCGAGGGCACACCAGGGCAGGGCTCCCCTCCCTCCCCAGCGCCGCACCTTCCTCCCAGGCCGCGCCTAGCTCTCTCGCCTTTTTGGCCAGACCCAGGTCCTTCCTTAGGCCAGGAACATTCCCTAGTGCCAGGTCGCTGAGAATGTCCAGAGGCTAAGGCCATCCGGTGCCCTACCCCAGTGCCCTCCGGGCAGGTGCCTTGCCCTGAGCCTGTCCGCCCTGGGCCCCACTTCCTTCTTTTTCTTGATTTATTTTATTTTATTTTATTTATTATTTTTTTTTTAGACAGGGCCTCGCTCTGTTGCCCAGGCTGGAGTGCAGTGGCACTATCTCAGCTCACTGCAACCTCTACCTCCCCGGTTCAGGCGATTCTCCTGCCTCAGCTTCCCGGGTAGCTGGGACTACAGGCACGCGCCACCATACCTGGCTAGTTTTTGTATTTTTAGTAGAGATGGGGTTTCACCATGTTGACCAGGGTAGGGTGGTTTCGAACTCCTGACCTCAAGTGATCGGCCTGCCTCGGCCTCCCAAAGTGCTGGGATTACAGGCATGAGCCACCGCGCCCGGCCCCCACTTCCTTTCTAGGGTGGTCTTCCCAACACCCTGTGCTGACCTGGGTTCAGCCCTTGTCCCCATGTGCTACTTCTCTGCCCATCCTAACTCTAACGACCTTCCTGCCATGGGTCCATTTGGTCTGTGTTGAATCCGCAGTGCCCAGCACAGGATGGCTGCTTCCAAAATGGGTGTGTCATGAAAGCTGTTAAACCATCACATTCAGTATCACATTGCGGACACCAGCCCCTAAGGGGCTTTTTACATACAACCAGCAAACCCATATGAGGACTAGAGGTCCAGCTGCCCTCTTGCCCCCTTGCCCCACCAGAGTGAGTGACCACATCCACGGGTGGTGGCGGCTTGGTGGAAGAAGCTGTGGGTACTTGCATACGTGGCCCTGGTCGCCTTGGGTTCACCCTGTAACCTTAGGACCATATGCTGAACTCCTAGGGGCCACACTTTGCAGTCTGGCCCACATCAATGATTGCAAGGAGACAAAATATGTGCTGCACCATGAGAATGCAGGTCGCCCACATTTCACCCACAATCCAACCCACATCTCTCCCTCCCAAGCAAAAGATCTCCCTGGGATGGTGTCTGAGGATGCTCGGGGGAGAGGAGGAGGGCAGCTGACGCCCATCCATGCCCACTCTCTGCCAGGTGTTTTACATATGTCATGTTATTTAGCCTGGCCTCTCAAACTTTCACGTCAGCACCAATCACCTGGATCTTGTTAAACTGCAGACTGATTCATCTGGCTGGGGTGGGCCATGAGATGCTGCATTTCTGAGCAGCTCTAGGTAGACTCTATCTTGCCAGGACTCTGCCACACTGGAACTGGGAGGGGGAATCCACACAGCAGTTCTCTGAGCTCATCTGCCTGGTTTTCAAACGAAGAATCTGAGGTTTAGAGTCATTAAGAAGCTTGTTGAGCAGTCAGGCCAGCACCCTGACTGACTGGCCACAGAGAATGTCCCCCAGATCCTAAACCCACTCTCTATGACCCCAGAGAGTCTTCCCCAGGCAGTTTACACCCCTTAGCTTCCTTTTGTTTTTGAGGCAGGGTCTCCTTCTGTCACCCAGGCTGGAGTGCAGTGGCATGATCATAGCTCATTGCAGCCCCTGCCCCCTAGGCTCAATGGATCCTCCTGCCGCAACCTCCTGAATAGCTGGGACTACAGGCATGTGCCACCACACCTGGCTAATTTTTCTATTTTTTTGTAGAGACGGTGGGGGTGGGGGGGGGGTCTCCCTATGTTGCTTACACTGGTCTCGAACTCCTGGGCTCAAGCCATCCTCCCGCCTTAGCCTCCTAAAGTGCTGTGATTACAGGCATGAGCCACTGTGCCCAGTCATCCTTCCTTTTTAAAGAAAGTTGACTGAGCGAGGTGGCTGTTGCCTGTAATTTCAGCACTTTGGGAGGCAGAGGTGGGAGGATCACATGAAGCCATGAGTTTGAGACCAGTCTGGCCAACATGGTGAAACCCCATCTCTACTAAAAATACAAAAATTAGCCAGGCATGGTGGGGTCCACCTGTAGTCCCAGCTACTCAGGAGGCTGAGGCATGAGAATTGCTTGAACCCAGGAGGCAGAGGTTGCAGTAAGCTGAGATCGTGCCACTGCACTCCAGCCTGGGTGACAGAGTGAGACTCCATCTCAAAAAAAAAAAAAAAAAAAGTTATCACACTAATACATTGTATTACATGTGTACTAAATATATAGCTATCCTCAAGGAAAATTAATAAAATATTGAACTCATCCCCATGCCCAGTCCAACTAACTCAGTTCACTGCCCAGAAAAATAAATATTATCCACAAGTGGCTACTAATTCTTTAATTAACTAGATAGCTGAATTGAATAGTTTTATTTATAACTTGGATTATTGCTGTAGAATACGGGTTAAAAGGTTTGGCAAGAGCTACCCAAACTTGGGATGGAAATCTGCTGAGAGGAGCCTAGTCTGCTGAGAGAGAGAGAAAGAAAGTACCATTCAAATATGAGCCCAGGGAGAGGCAGGAAACCACTTTCTCCCCAGGACTCTGTACTACAATCTTTCAGGGCGTGCTGGACAGGTGAGGGGAAACCTAAACGCGCCAATGCCCTCCTTCATGAATAAGTAACAGCCGCCCAGTGCTTTGACTCATTCGTCAATAGAGAGTTCACTTCCTGACAAAGAAGCCAGCGCCTTCACACTCACATGTAAGTGACGGAGTAATCAATTGACGATTAATTACAGAGGAAGTTACCAGGAATATAGAATTGCTCTATCAAAATTCAGCGGCTAAGGCAGTATTTTTCAGGTGTGCTTCTGTTATGGAGATCAGACCTGCAGCTGAAATAAACCAGAGTGGTGGTGTTTCCTGAAAGAATATGTCTGCTCAATCTTGGGGGGCTTCCAGTTGGGGGGGGGAGCCTGGGAAGACTGGGTCAGATCCTGGTGTCATCATCCTCCGACTAGGCTGTCATTGTGTCATCTGTAAAACGAGGATGCTGACCTCTACAGAGGGCTCTGGTGAGGTCCCTGGGTTCCTGGCCTGACACATAGTGGGGGCTCAACTGGAGATTCTTCCTTCTCCTGTCACCTGCTCACCAGCACCCCCCTCTGACTGCCCCCAAACCCACTCCTCAATTCTGGAGTTGAAAGGAACCTTACAAGGCTGGTTTCTTTTACAGATGGGTACTTTGACAGACTTGGGTAATTGGGTAAAAGTCAGAGATCTCAATTTCTTTTTTAAGAGACAGGGTCAGCTGGACATGGTGGCTCATGCTTGTAATCCCAGGAATTTGGGAGGCTGAGGCAGGTGGATCACCTGTTCAAGACCAGCCTGGCCAACATGGTGAAACCCCATCTCTACTAAAATTACAAAAATTAGCCAGGCGTGGTGGCTTGCATCTGTAGTCCCAGCCACTGGGGAGATCTGAGGCAGGAGAATTGCTTGAACCCGGGAGGCGGAAGTTGCAGTGAGCCAAGATTGAGCCACTGCACTCCAGCCTGGGCGACAGAGCAAGACTCCATCTCAAGCAAAAAAGAGACAGGGTCTCACTTTGTCACCCAGGCTGGAGTGCAATGGTGTGATCATAGCTCACTGCAGTCTCAACCTCCTGAGTTCAAGTGATCCCCCAACCTCAGCCTCTCAAGTAGCTAGAACCACAGGTGTGCACTACCACGCCTGGCTGATTTTAATTTTTTTGCAGAGACGGGGGTCTCACTATGTTGCCCAGGCTGGTCTTGAACTCCTGGCCTTAAGTGATCCTCCGGCTTCGGCCTTCTGAAGTGCTGGGATTACAGGCATGAGCCACTGCACCCACCCAGTGATCTCATTTCTGAACAGGGAAGGGGCAGAGGGCCCACACAGGGAGTAGGGTTGGGGTAGAGTGAGAAGGGAAAGGAGAAGGGGAAGGTGACTGGGAATTCTCACCCATTCTCACTTCTGCTTTGTGGGTTAGAAACACTGAGCTGCCTCATCCTCCTGTCTCTGAACTTCCTTCACAGCCCATTGGGCCATTTGCATATGTCTCGTTGAAATTCCGGATCACGGCGTCACTGCCTCCTCCCCATGGCCCCCAGAGGGTGACCGGAGCATCACTAGGAGCCAAAGAATGGGGATGAGCAGTGCGGGGTAGTGTTGACCGCCCCAACTTTCCCATGGTGACTCACTCTTATTCAATAGACAGACCATTTTCCTAGAATGTTGCAACAGGGGTATTAGGGTTTTTCCAGAGCTTTCCACTCTCGATTACCCAACCCTGAGCCCCTCGCGTGGAACTCGAGGTGATCCCCGCTAGTGAGGGCTGGACATTTGCCTCTGGCCTTGGCATCCCCTTCATCTTGAACTTTCTCAAGGGGCAGAGCCAGCCTCCCGAGATGGGTTCTGTGCACCCCGGTTGTGCCCGCAGTAGGCTCCTGGACTGTTTTTCTTTCTTAATACATATTTGTTTAATGGATGGGATGACTGGAAATTACTTATCCCTGACGAAGAAACAGGAAGGCAAACAGTTTTACATTTCTTTTTACAAAAACTGTCTTGAGTTTTACCCTGTTCGTCTTTCTTCACTTTAGATTGTGAAGTTTCCAACTCTAACTCCTAAAAATCTTAGTGGAGAGATTCTAAACCCTTCGAGGGTGAGATCAAATCTCCTTCCTCCTTTCTCTCCCCAATCCCTGGTTCATAGTTATGTACTAGGTGCTTAATAGATCTTATTGTATTGGATTATTTTAAAAGTCATTATTTTATACAAAAGATTAGCTGTGCATAGTGGTGGGCGCCTGTAATCCCAGCTATTTGGGAGGCTGAAGCAGGAGAATCACTTGAACCCAAGAGGAGGAGGTTGCAGTGAGCCTGAGATCATGCCATTACGCTCCAGCCTGAGCAACAGAGTGAGACTCCATCTCAAAAAGAAAAAAAAAAAAGTTATTATTTTAAAAGTCAGCCGCTTATAGAGTCAGGCGTGTTAGGTATCATCAATGAAGCCTGGGCTGAGTTCAGGAATCCCGAACCTGTTTGGGTGCATTTGAGCTGATTGCCTTGTCAAAAAGTTCAGTAATGGCTCTGGCAAACTATGGCTTTGCGAGAGTTGGTGGAGGGGATTATAATGGTCTTTATTCCAAGGGAAAGTCTACTGCTTGAGCAGGGCACACCGGCTGGTGCCTGTAGTTCCAGGTACTCAGGAGGCCGAGGCAGGAGGATCACTTGAGCCCAGGACTTCAAGGCTGCAGTGAGTGAGCTACGATCAAGTCAATCCACTGTAGCCTGGGTGACAGAGCCAGACCCTGTCTCTCTGTCTTTCTCTCTCTTTTTTTGGGGGGGTGGGGCGGGATGGGATCTGGCTCTGTAGCCCAGGCTGGAGTGCAGTGGCAGGATCTCGGCTCACTACAACCTCCATCTCCCGATGGCGGTCTGGCCAGATGGGGTCTGGCTTTGTCACCCAGGCTGGAGTGCAGTGGCTTCATCTCTACTCACTGCAACCTCCATCAAGTGGTTCTCCTGCCTCAGCCTCCCTAGTAGCTGGGATTACAGGCGTGAGCCACCATGCCCGACCTAAGACCCTGTGTCTTAAATTTTTTTTTAAGTCTATTGTTTGAACCCCAGGAAAGGAATTTCATTGTGGGGTCACTCTTCATACAGGATGATTCCCTGTGAGTTTATAATAGCTCAGGAAGAGATACTGGAAATTATCACATAGGTACCCTATACTTTAGGGGAAATTTCTCCAAAAAGAAATGCTGGCCAAAAAAAGAAAGCTGTAGGTTCTAAAAAGGAAAATGGTAAGGTAGACCAAAAAAAATCCACAATTCAGACAATTCAATCACAAAAGATTTCTATGAGAAAGAGGCCAGGCATGGTGGCTCATGCCTGTAATCCCAGCACTTTGGGAGGCCCAGGCGGGTGGATCACCTGAGGTCAGGAGTTCGACACCAGCCTGAGCAACCTGGAGAAACCCCGTCTCTACTAAAAATAGAAAAAATTAGCTGGGTATGGTGGTGCACGCCTGTAATCCCAGCTACTCGGGAGGCTGAGGCAGGAGAATTGCTTGAACCCAGGAGGTGGAGGCTGCAGTGAGCCGAGATCACGCCATTGCATTCTAGCCTGGGCGACAACAGTGAAACTCCGTCTCGAAAAAAAAAAAAAGAGAAAGAAAGTTGGTAGGGGTACAAAATAAAGCACTGATACCTTCTAGGGAGCTGAGCTCATATTTCAAAAGGACAGAGAAGAGGGCAGGAGGGAGGGAGGACTCTCAACCACAAGTGAAGGCAAAAGAGCCCCTTGAGCCTGATGGGAGGGGCTGGGGTGCTATTAACCCTCAGCTCCCAATAAAACCTCTAAGAAAACAAAAATGGCTTGGAAGGTTGTAGTCACGGCTACAAGGACGAGCGAAGGACAGACCCAGTCCTTAGCTGAGAAGACCGAATCGTGTCAGATGACAGAAGAGGAAAGAGAATAAAGACCACCGTTATTGAGCGCCTATGTGTACTGGTGCATCCCCAACGCCTGTCCATCCTAAAGCTCTGTCCATCTCCCAACACAGACCAGGGGCAGTTGCTTCCTTCCTACCAGGGAGCAGCTCAGAGGCTAAGACCCTGCCACTGCTTGAAGCATCTCCCAGGGGAATGCAGATCTGCCCCAGGTTCTACCTGCTCCCCTGTCAAACTCCGAGAGAAAGTAGGGTGAGGGTAGGAGGGATCTGAAATCCAGGATGGGGAGGGCGAGCTGGGAAGCTCCACATTGACTTGAAAGTGGGCTGGGCAGCAGAGTGAGACGCTGTCTGGGTAGATGCCAGCCCCGGACTCTTGCTGGCTTTCACCCTTGGCCTGAGATGAGGAGAGGGACAGAAAGATGACAAACAAGGCCACTGTGGGCCAGAAACTAGACTGGGGAAACTAGAAACTCACGACTATGTTACTCACCCACAAAACACTGCAGTGAATCACTAAACAAATTCATATATTCTTGCCCTTAGTCAACAAATATCTATGGCATGTCCGTAAGTGCAAGTTATTGTGTTATAGGTATTAGGGATGCAATCTTAAATCAGGATGGGATCTTTCCTAAGGGATCTTAGTAGCTACAAGCAGGGAGATGACAGGACATAATTAATTTTATTTTATTTATTTCATTTATTTATTTTTTTTGAGACGGAGTCTCGCTCTGTCACCCAGGCTGGAGTGCAGTAGCATGATCTCGGCTCACTGCAAGCTCCTCCTCCCAGGTTGACGCCATTCTCTTGCCTCAGCCTCCCGAGTAGCTGGGAGCTACTGGTGGCGCCTGCCACCATGCCCGGCTAATTTTTTTGTATTTTTTTTTAGTAGAGATGGGGTTTCGCCCTGTTAGCCAGGATGGTCTTGATCTCCTGACCTCGTGATCTGCCCGCCTCAGCCTCCCAAAGTGATGGGATTACAGGCGTGCTACTGCACCTGGCCAGCGACAGGACATAATTATTGTAGTGGAAAATATGCTTACCAAAAAAGCACAGATAAAAAAAAAAAGCTACAGGGATTCAAGGGAGAAATAGGTCTTGAATAGTTAGAAAAAGGCTGACTATAGCATCTGAACGTATTTCAGGGAAGGAGCCAGACATGTTCATAACAGGCATATATAACAATGCTTATAAAGACAAAAAAATGGAATCCAGTAATATGGGATCTGTTGAATAGGATATGTCCACATAATGCAATACCACCCAGCTAATAGAAACAGTTTATGTAGCTGTACATATATATATTCAATCACATGTGAAGATAGTCATGAAATATGAGTAAATGAGAAAAGCAGATAACAAAAGAGTATTTAGAGACTGATTGCATTTTTATGAGTTTTTGGTATATGTAGTTCGAGATGCTTTTAGAAATTTCCAGAAATGGCAGTCTGCAGTGGCTCACTCCTAGCACTCTGGGTGGCCGAGGCAGGTGGATCACCTGAGGTCAGGAGTTTGAGACCAACCTGGCCAACATTATGAAACCTCATCTCTACTAAAAATACAAAAATTAGCCAGGTGTATGGCACACACCTGTAGTCCCAGGTACTCGGGAGGCTGAGGCAGGAGAATCGCTTGAACCCGGGGGGCAGAGGTTGCAGTGAGCCGAGATTGCGCCACTTCACTCCAGCCTGGGCGAAAGAGCGAAACTCCATCTCAAAAAAAAAAAAAAAAAAAAAAGAAACTTCCAGAAATACATACCAAAATGTTTGAAGTGCTTATCTCTGCATAGAGGGTTTTAGAATGCTTTCAGATTCTTTTTTCCTTTATCTGTATTTTGGTATTTTCATAAAACAAATGCAGGAATATACAAATCATCATTTTTTCAAAGGTAAAAACAAAACAAAACCCTATTTGCACCTCTGGCCTAAGTAACTCCTTTTTCCTTTGACAAGATTTTCAGATCATGGAAATGCTATGGGTATAGAATACCTTGATTTCACAGAACATTCAACTTCCTGTGATAGCCT
This sequence comes from Homo sapiens, assembly GCF_000001405.40. Lineage (NCBI taxonomy): Eukaryota > Metazoa > Chordata > Mammalia > Primates > Hominidae > Homo > Homo sapiens. The sequence goes on along the minus strand of NC_000017.11, from coordinate 78,333,221 downwards.
TACACAAGACAGGAAACAAAGTAGCCTAGAAAACAGTTTAATGCGGCGGTGGCAGGTAGAAAGATTCACTAAAAACAAAACAAAAGGCCGTTGATAAGTAAACCAGTGCTCATCTAGAAGTAAGTCTCCAGAGATGTGCCACAGGGCTGTGACCTAGACCATGTCCTAGTTAACGTTTTTATCAATGACTTGAATGAAGACCATGATGTGATTGGATTTGCAGATAACACTGGAGAGTAACCCCCAGAAGGATGATAGGCTAGACCCACAGGTTGAACGACTCAGATGAAATTGAACAGGATTGAAAATCGAGTCCAGCAATCAGGTTACCCAGATGTCTCAGGACTGGGGGGCCTTCGAGGAGGACAGAAAGGCAGGGAAAGGGGTCTGAGGCTCAGAGCCGTGGGAGCAGCTGATGGAACCCAGGTTATTTACAGGAGAGAGAGAAGCTATGACGAGGTTCACCAGCTAGTTGACGATCAAGTGACTGTCAGCTAGTCAGGGAGATGGCTTCCCTCACCCAGATCAAAGAACACAGGGAAATAACTTTCCAGGAGGCCGATTTCAACTCAGTACAGTGACGGAAAAGAAAAACATCATTCACCAAGAGCCCTCCAAGTACCGGATTCTCAGAGGGGCATCTTTTCCAGCCTCCAAAGAGCCTCTCCCCTGGGGTGTTCACTGCCTCATCACACAGACCAGGTGAGGAAGAGTCACTCTGAACCCCCGGGGCCGTCCACTCAAAAACACCAGACTTCGGGAGGTACCACTAGGGACGCTGGATGGGACAACCCCAGGATCCCCACCAGCTCATTGGAAGCACAGAGGAAATGGGAAGTGACCCAGCAAAGTGGTGACCCTCGTCCTGCAGGTGCCGTCAGTAGGGGTGGACCCAGCACTGGCACACAGGAGGGGGACCACATTGGACTCGTAACAGCAGCCTGATGACAACACAGAGGAGGAAGGGGATCGAGGGAAGGCCAAGGGGGAGCAGAAAGGGAACTCGAAAGAGAGAAAGAGGGCCGGGTGCGGTAATCCCAGCATCTGCGGTCCCTCCTTAGGCTGCTGAGGCCAAGATGAGAGAGTCAAGATGAGGATCACTTGAGCCTCGCAGGCGGAGGTTGCAGTGAGCCAAGATCATGCCACTGCACTCCAGCCTGGGTGACAAAGCAAATCCGTTTCAAACAACAAAAACATTTTTTTTTTTTTTTGAGACGGAGTCTCGCTCTGTCACCCAGACTGGAGTGCAGTGGCGCGATCTCAGCTCACTGCAAGCTCTGCCTTCCGGGTTCACGCCATTCTCCTGCCTCTGCCTCCCGAGTAGCTGGGACAACAGGCGCCCACCACCACGCCCAGCTAATTATTTTGTATTTTTAGTAGAGATGAGCTTTCACTGTGTTGGCCAGAGATGGTCTCGATCTCCTGACCTCGTGATCCGCCCGCCTCAGCCTCCCAAAGTGCTGGGATTACAGGCGTGAGCCACCGTGCCCGGCCAAACAACAAAAACATTAGTCAGGTATGCTGGCGGGTGCCTGTAATCCCAGGTACTCAGGAGGCTGAGGCAGGAGAATTGCTTGAACCTGGGAGGCGGAGGTTGCAGTAAGCGGAGATCACGCCACTGCTCTCCAGCCTGGGCAACAGAGCGAGACTGTCTCAAAACCAAACAAACAAAAACAGGCTGGGTGCAGTGGTTCACGCCTGTAATCCTAGCACTTTGGGAGGCCTAGGTGGGCGGATCACTTGAGGTCAGGAGTTCAAGTTTAGCCTGGCCAACATGGCGAAACTCCATCTCTACAAAAATACAAAAAAAAAAAAAAAAAAATTAACTGGGCATGGTGACGTGCACCTGTAATCTCAGCTAGCTACTCAGGGAACTGAGGCAGGAGAATCGCTTGAATCCGGGAGGCAGAGGTTGCAGTGAGTCGAGATGGCACCACTGCACTCCAGCCTGGGCAACAGAGCAAGACTCGGTCTCAAAAACAGAACAAAACAAAAACAAAAACAAAAAGAAAAAAAGAAAAGAAAGAGAGAGAGGAGCAAAGGGAAACACACAGGAGGAGGAAAGTTATGAACAGATCAGGAAAAGGGAGGCCAGAGAGAGACGGCGAGGCCTGCAAGGGAGAATCCGGGAGACAGGAGCCGGCACGTGGTAGTGGAGGAAGGGATCTGCCCAGTGTTTGTTGACAAGGAGCCGTGGGGGTAAGAGGGAGGGGCAGGAGGCTCCACTGGGATGGGGCAGGGTTTGCTGCAGAGGCTGGTGCTTTGCCCAGAGCCACCTGCAGAGGATTTGAACCCATCGGGCACTCAGTCCACTTGTGAGTCATGCCTGAACACTCCTGATATGTCAGGGGCTGCCAGGACGGCTTTAGAAAGTGAGGAGGCCGCAGTCCTGGCCAGCCTGCCAGATTTGCCATCCAGCGAGGTGAACGCCCATTAACTGTCAAAATGCACAGCACAGCCATCCTGAGGTGGGATATGGGCAGGACCAACGTGGGAGTCAGGAAGGCCTGAGTTCAAATCCCGACTTCACCACTTCATGCTGTGTGACCTCAGGCAAGTTCCTGAACCTCTCTGAGCCTTAGTTTCCTTCTCTGTTGTGAGGATGTGAAACAGCAGATGTACAAGCACTGGGTCATCCTCCCACCAAATGTGAGCACGGCCTTAACGTTAAAGGGAGCAACCCCGGCCCTAAGTGCTCCTGGAGTCTGCAGAAGAGAAGTTGCAGAGGTCAGGACGTCTTAGAGGAGGGACATAGTCTCGTCCCCTAAGCAGCAGGGTTCATTCACTACCTGTTCTTTTTTTTTTTTTTAGATGGAGTCTTGCTCTGTCTCCCAGGCTGGAGTGCAGTGGTGTGACCTCGGCTCACTGCAAGCTCCACCTCCCGGGTTCACGCCATTCTCCTGCCTCAGCCTCCCAAGTAGCTGGGACTATAGGCGCCCGCCACCATGCCCAGCTAATTTTTTAAAATATTTTTTGTAGAGATGGGGTCTCACTGTGTTGCCCAGGCTGCTCTCTAACTCCTGAGCTCAACTGATCCACCTGTCTCGGCCTCCCAAAGTGCTGAGACTACAGGCGTGAGCCACCGCATCTAGCCTCAATCACGAACAGTTCTAAAGGTGTTAGTTTTGAGCCTACCGATGAGACAGTAGACAAGTCACTGGCACCAACCAGTGGAACTTGAGCCTGAACAGCCTGGAAGCGGCTGGGCCCCAGGGAACTGAGCCTTTGGCGGTCTGCATGCCTGCTGAGTGCTAACAAGGCCCCCCGGAGAAGGTGCATGGCTGGGGGCAGCCAGCAGGGTGGGAGACCTTGGCAGCTGTTGCCGGCTTTGCAGACAGTGGGGAATTCTTACAGAGTGTCCAGCACTGTGCACATGCCCACAAGTGGCTGGAAAACTCTGCAGGCTGTGGTCAGAGCTGGCAGAGGGTAGATTTTGCCGGCCCCAAGAGGGCGAGGCGGGGCCCCCACCCCAGCTGAGTGCTCCAGGCCCCCCACCATCTAGGGCAGCCCTCCTTGGGGCTTGCCACTGTGGGGTGCAAATCCTCCTCTCTTACAGGCCATCACTGGCCTGGGGCCTGAGCTGCTATCCCGGCCTCCACAAAGGAGGGGACCAAGCCACCCCGTGAGTCACTGTGCCCACTTCCTGCCACATGGAACCCGTGGCTGAGTCACCGGCCCCCCAAAGGGAAAGACTGGCCACAAGGCCGGAAAGCTGGAGCCCAATGGTGGCAGGAGTGGGGAGCTGGCGCTGCAGTCCCGTAACTCCCTTTTCCCTGGGCTACGTTCCTCCTGTGGAACCCAGAGTCCTCCCAGCAGCACCCATCCACCTACCGCCAGCAGGACTGGCTCTTTGCTGGTACTTTCTCCCCCAGCAATAATGGTTGCATCATACCCTTAAAAACAAAACAAAAAAACCCCCAACTTTTTATTTTGAAATCATTTCAGGCTTACAGAAAAGTTGCAAAAATACTACAAAGAATGTTCATATAACCTTCACCCAGATTCCCCAAATGTGAACATTTTACCACATTTGTATTAATTTTCTCTCTCTCCCTCTATCCTCATTTTTTTCTTTCTTTTTTGTTTTTTGTTTTGAGACAGAGTCTTGCAGGCTGAAGTGCAGTGGGTGTGATCAAGGCTCACTGCAGCCTCGACTTCCCAAGCTCAAGCGATCCTCCCACCTCAGCCTCTTAATAGCTGGGACTACAGGTGTGAATCACCACAGCCAGCTAATTTTTTTGTGTGTAGAGGCAGAGTCTCACTATGCTGCCCAGGCTGGTCTCAAACTCCTGGCCTCAAACAATCCTCCTGCCTCAGCCTTTCAAAGTGCTGGGATTACAGGTGCGAGCCACAGTACCCTCTCCCAATTTTTTTCTAAGACATTTCAGCATAAGTCACAGGCGTGATGCCTCTTTACCTCGAAATACTTCCATGTGTGTTTGTTTCTTTCTTTCTTTACTTATTTATTTATTTATTTTTTGAGACAGGGTCTGGCCCTGTTGCCCAGGGTGGCGTGCGGTGGTGCTATCACAGCCCACTGCACCTTCGATCTCCGAGGCTCAAGCAATCCTCTCACCTCAGCCTCCTGAGCAGCTGGGACTACAGACTTATGCCACCACGCCAAGCTAATTTTTTTTTGAGACGGAATCTCACTCTGTCGCCAGCCTGGAGTGCAGTGTACGATCTCAGCTCACTGCAACTTCACCTCTTGGGTTCAAGCGATTCTCCTGCCTCAGCCTCCTATGTAGCTGAGATTACAGGTACCCACCACCATACCCGGCTAATTTTTGTATTTTTAGTAGAGATGGAGTTTCACCATGTTGGCCAGGCTGGTCTTGAACTCTGGGCCTCAAGTGATCCACCCACCTCGGCCTCCCAAAGTGCTGGGATTACAGGCGTGAGCCACCGCGCCTGGCCTTAGTGTGCATTTCCTAAAAATAAGGGCATTTTCTTACAGAATCACTGTACAGTGATCAGCCTCAGGAAAGGCACTTGCATTGGACACTTTTTATGCACCATCTAAGGTGCTCCTCACTTTACCTGCCTCTAGGGCCAGCCCTGGGAGGGGTTCCAGGCTGTACCTGGCCACTTGTGGTGTCCCTGCTGCTGCTGAGCCTGAAACGCTGAGGAGCCGCTAGGCGCAGTGAGGCCTGGGCTGTGAAGGCACTGTAGAGGTACCTTTGACTAATGGAGATGGGAACCATGGATACATTCTCCCTTCCTCCTGGCATTTATCCTCAGATCCAGGTTATTCTGTCTCTTGGAAGATATCCCGGGAGACAACAGCCAGTCACATTAGATACTCAGGGGCAGGGCTGTCACGCACACATTAGATACTCAGGGGCAGGGCTGTCAACGCACACATTAGATACTCAGGGGCAGGGCTGTCACGCAGGGCCCCACACTCAGTGCTTGGGCGTTTAATGCTCTACAGTCACCTTGAAATTATTATTTATTTATTTATTTTTTTGGTGAGACAGAGTGTCTCCCTGTCGCCCAGGCTGGAGTGCAGTCGTGCGATCTCGGCTCACTGCAACCTCTGCCTCCCAGATTCAGGCAAGTCTCCTGCTTCAGCCTCCTGAGTAGCTGGGATTACAGGTGCCCGCCACCACGCCTGGCTAATTTTTTTTTTTTTTTTTTTTGAGACGGAGTCTCCCTCTGTCGCCCAGGCTGGAGTGCAGTGGTGTGATCTCGGCTCACTGCAAGCTCCGCCTCCCGGGTTCACGCCATTCTCCTGCCTCAGCCTCCCGAGTAGCTGGGACTACAGGCGCCTGCCACCACTTCTGGCTAATTGTTTTTGTATTTTTAGTAGAGACGGGGTTTCACCGTGTTAGCCAGGATGGTCTTGATCTCCTGACCTCATGATCCACCCACCTCAGCCTCCCAAAGTGCTGGGATTATAGGCGTGAGCCACCACGCCCAGCTTAATTTTTGTATTTTTAGTAGAGATGGGGTTTCACCATGTTGGTCAGGCTGGTCTCGAACTCCTGACCTCGTGATCCACCCACCTCGGCCTCCCAAAGTGCTGGCATTACAGGCATGAGCCACCAGGCCCGGCCGTGAAATTCTTAATTTTATCTTGAAAAATTTGAAATTGGCTGAGCACAGTGGCTCACGCCTGTAATCCCAGCACTTTGGGAGGCCGAGGCAGGTAGATCACTTGAGGTTGGAAGTTCAAGACCAGCTTGGCCAATATGGTGAAACCCTGTCTCTACTAAAAATATAAAAATTAGCTGGGCATGGTGGCGGGCACCTGTAATCCCAGCTACTTGGAGGCTGAGGCAGGAGGATCGCTTGAAACCAGGAGGTTGCAGTGAGCCAAGATTGGGCCACTGCATTCCAGCCTGGGTGACAGAGCGAGACTCCATCTCAAAAATAAAAAAAGAGAAAGAAAAATATGGCCAGGCGTGGTGGCTCATGCCTGTAATCCCAGCGCTTTGGGAGGCCAAGGTGGGCGGATCACCTGAGGTCAGGAGTTCAAGACCAGCCTGGCTAACATGGTGAAACCCCCTCTCTACTAAAAATACAAAAACTAGACAGGCATGGTGGCAGGTACCGGTAATCCCAGCTACTCTGGAGGCTGAGGCAGGAGAAGCGCTTGAACCTGGGAAGCGGAGGTTGCAGTGAGCTGAAATCATGCCACTGTACTCCAGCCTGGGTGACAGAGCGAGACTCCATCTGAAAAAAAAAAAAAATTTGAAATTGAATTTCAAATTGAAACTTGTGATTTGTAAGTCGAGTCTGATGGGACAATGGAGCCAGCACAGGGGGCTTGGAGCCTCGGCTTTCACGTGGCCTAGCCTCCTGCCATCCAGGGGCAGGTTCTCGGATGCTGGCTTCCTATCCCCCACCCAGAAAACCTGCCACCCTCTCCCATTGTTGGGGTCTGGACAGAGGTGGAGGGAGAGTCACACCCCATGCACCTCTGAGGGTCTGCACCTATCGTGGGTTCCCGCAAGCGCCAGCTGAGGTCGTTGTTATACCCATTTTCCTGCCAAGGTCCAGGTTTGCTGGACCAAAGAAGGCCCAGCCAGTGTTTCTGCTTTGGACAGAAGCTTGCCCCTTGCCCCGGCAGCCTGACTGCCCCTGCTGCCCTTGCTTCTGTCCTTGTGCACTGCACTGAGATGGCAAATTCCTACGTGTCCTGCTCTCTGGGGACACAGGGCCCTGTGGGATGTGGAAGCACAGCCTCCGCCTGCCTGAGCCAACTGAATAATCGCAACAGTGGTACTTTCCTTGTTTCTGAAGCCACTTGCCACGCAAAACCCCTAGCACTTTGTAGGCATCATCTCCAGTGGGTCCTGTTACCCTGCCACTCATTTCACTGATGATATAAACAAGTGTCAGAGAGATTAACCCATCCAAGTCAGCCACTAATTAGTAGAGCTGGATTCAAATCCAGTTCTTCCTGTTCCAACGCCAAAGCTCTAACTTGGACATTCACTCGGTTGTTAATTAGGTAGCTGCTTTGATCATCTGGAAACAGTAATGGATCTACGTCTTTGAACCACATGAGAATTGTGGACACAGGAAAAGGTGTTGGACATGGACTTGGGAGTTAGGCAGGGTGAGGCCCCTGGAATGATGCTGGTGCTTCGGCCAGGTGGGCCTGGGGCAGGCTCTCCGCCGTGGCCAAGCGGGGGTTGGGCCTGGGCCGGGGCCAGTCCTGTGTTCTTCCCATGGCCCAGTTCCCCCAGCCAGGCAAAGCAGGTCTGAGTCATCGGCCATCGGAGTCCCCGTCCCTGACTCCTCGCTCGTACATCGTGCATTCCCGTCCTTGGTCCTTGGCTCACGGCAAAACGCTTCTAGCTTCTTAGCTCGCCCCACCCTCTTCCCTGAAATAAAGAAGTTTCAAGCTGGGAAGGAGGTCACTGAATCTAAGCTTTTCAGTTTGCAAACTGAGGGCCCAGGGTTCTGATAGAGGTCCCAGTGGATTGGAAAATGTCTGGGCTTGCCTCCTGGGGTGGAATCTTGTCTCTGCCACCAAGTCCCTGTAAGCCCTGGGCCGATTAACCTCTCTGAGTCTGAACATTCTCCCAAAGGGGGCTGATCATCGCAGTATGATCATGGCATCTTCACCGTAGGGTGCAGAATCACTGGGAGCGTGAACTCCAGGAGTGTTCTGACGCAAAGACCCAGGAATTGCTCCTGACACTCTGCGTAGATCAGCTCATTACCCACTCAACAAATCCCCGCCGCACAGAGGGGTATCAGAGACTTTCAGTAACCTCTCTAAGGCAACCTAGCAAGCAAAGCAAAGCTGAGGTCTACCAGATGACTGAGCAGAACCTCTGCCCTTCTCTCCAGACACTGGCCCCAGAGGAGCCATGAGTACTGGCCACATGCCTGGAGCTCCCGGAGTCCACGGCTGCAGCCGTCCAGCACCGGGGCCAGCCCCGAGAGAGGAGCAAGGAAACCGACCCCCTCCAGATCAACAAAGCACTTCCTCCCCGAAGCCCGGGCCCAGGAGGAGGAGGTGCCGCACACACAACTGTTTATAGAGACAGATGTTTGGGACGGAAAAAGAGAGACAGCCCTCCTCCATCCCCATGGAGACAGAGGAAGTTTGCAACTTGGGCAGTGGCAACTGGAACTGAAAAAGGAGAAGGGGAAAAAAAGGGAGGGAGGCAGGTCTGACCCACTGGAAACAGTTTGACATTTTCAGATGCTGGTGCCTAACAAAGGGGCGTTGCCAAGGCAACCGGGCCTGTGGGCACAGGGCTGCCAATCCCAGCTGGATCTGGGGCCAGAGCCAGGGAGATGGCAAGGAGACAGATAAGGGCACGTGGGGGGACGACAGAGAAATTCCACCGGAGAGCAAAGAAATAAGCAAATACACAAGTGGCGCTTCTCAGCCCGGCTTCCCCTCACAAAGTGGCGCCCTGTCCCTCCTCTCTCCTTCCCTCCTCTCCCACTTCCTCCTTCCTTCCTCTCTCCTTTCTCCCTTCTTTATTTTATTCCTTCCCCCCTCTACCCTTCTATCCATCTTTCCTCCCTCTCTCCTTCCCTCTCTCTCTCCCCTCCCTCCCTCCCTCCCTTCCTTCCTTCCTTCCACTCTCCCTCTTTCCTTCCTACTTGCTCTGCAAGTGTTCAGCATTGCCCCTGCCCCCAGCCTAGGAAACATGTCCCCATCCTCCTGGTGACAGCTGGCAGGTGGCTCTGCATATGACTGATACCAGAGGGCTGCTTTTGCCCATAGAGTGAGGCCTTCAGGAGGGGCCAGCATGACCACATTGGCTTTCACTGGCTGGAGACCCTGGGCAGTTCAGCTGCAGTCACAGGAAGGAGAGAGAAGAGGGCTTTGGGGCCTCTTCTAAAGAACAACATCTGGAGCCGGGCACGGCAGCTCATGCCTGTAATCCCAGCACTTTAGGAGGCCGAGGCAGGCGGATCATGAGGTCAGGAGTTCGAGACCAGCCTGGCCAACGTGGCGAACCCCGTCTCTACCAAAAATACAAAAATTAGCTGGGTGTGGTGGCGGGTGCCTGTAATCCCAGCTACTCGGGAGGCTGAGGCAGGAGAATCGCTTGAACCCAGGAGTCAGAGGGAGTCAGAGGTTGCAGTGAGCCAAGATCGTGTGCCATTATACTCCAGCCTGGGCAACAAGAGCAAGACTTCATCTTAAAAAAAAAAAAAAAAAAAAAAAAGAACCACATCTGGTTCCTTGTAATTCTTCTGCCTGTTCCCCCAGCAGAGCCAGCCTGGCTGCCTGTGGCAGGGCCCTGCTTCTTCGGCCTCTGGATGGGAGGTGATGATCACTGATATTGGTGACGCTGTCATCTCATGGCCCCCAAAGCTGTGAGGCCCTATGTGGAATTCTATACCTGCACTTACGCCCATGCCAACTGTCCCTGGACCCTGCCGCACCCAGGCTCCCCTCCCCAGAACCCGAGCCTTCTCCTCCCGCTCAGCCAGATGACCTGGTCTGTTTCCTCCCTCCAGGGGATGAGGGAGGGGGACTTCCGATGAACTCTGGCCGCGTGATGGGAATCCCTGAAGCCAGGATGTTCTGTGGGAAAGAACTGGAAGGGAGTGCTGAGCCGAGTGACCCCGCTGGTCCTGGGGCCACTGCCTCAAATCCAAAGGAGAGGGCCACCCCCATCCCCAACCTCAGAAACCTCCTGAGATACCCCGTGATTGGGAGGGAGCCCACAGCTGCACACCGTGTACATCAGGCCCAGCCCAGGAGCACGCCCCAATTCCCAGGCTGACGCTGGGAGTGGGAGGGTGCCGGGCAGTCATCCTCCTCTGACGCATGGGGAGATGAAGGCCTGGCAGAGATGGTCTGGCTGGAGGCTGAGTGGAGCAGGGCTGAGAAGAGGCTGAGACCATGGGGACATGTCCACAGCTGGGGGTGGGGCAGGGGAGAGAGCAGTTACTGGCCCCAGCTGGGCTAAGTGATGGCTCCAAAGGAAGGCTCAGGAAGGGTGGGCCAGGGACTACAGAATCAGAGTCACTAACTCTAGCCCTGACCTGGGATGACTGAGAAGGCAGGACTCAATCCCTGAAGACCAGGAGTCATAAGCCCAGTCCTAGAAATGACTCGTAAAGAATGCTGCTCCACAGAAGGGCAGGGGCCTTTCGGTGGATGGAGGTCAAGGAGCACCCCCGTCAGTTCCCAAGCAAGCCTGAGACCAGGGATGGAGGCAGGCTGGGCTCCCTGGACCCCTGGAACAGCCCGGTCTCATCCCCTAAAGCCCTGGACCAGTGGACAGAGGCCAGGCTCTCCAGCTGCCCAGCTGCCCGGAAAACAGTGTGCGGACTCCCTTTGTGCCTCTGCCTCAGCCAGCGGGGTGACATTGGACAAGTTGCTTAACCTCTCTAGACTTCAACTACCTTGTCTATAAAATGGGAATAATAGGCCGGGCACGGTGGCTCATGCCTGTAATCCCAGCACTTTGGGAGACCGAGGTTGGCGGATCACAAGGTCAGGAGATCGAGACCATCCTGGCTAACATGGTGAAACCCCGTCTCTACTAAAAAAAATACAAAAAATTAGCCGGGCGTGGTGGCAGGCGCCTATAGTCCCAGCTACTTTGGAGGCTGAGGCAGGAGAATCACTTGAACCCAGGAGGCAGAGCTTGCAGTGAGCCGTGATCACGACACTGCACTCCAGCCTGGGCAACAGAGCAAGACTCCATCTCAAAATAAATAAATAAATAAAAATAAATTTAAAAAATGGGAATAATATGCCTGGTGTGGGGGCTCACGCCTGAAATCTCAGCACTTTGGGAGGCCAAGGTGGGTGGATCACCTGAGGTTAGGAGTTCGAGACCAGCCTGGCCAACACAGTGAAACCGTCTCTACTAAAAACAGAAAAATTAGCCAGGCGTGGTGGTGCACTCCTGTAGTCCCAGCTACTCAGGAGGCTGGGGCAGGAGAATTGGGAGGCGGAGGTTGCAGTGAGCTGAGATGGTGCCAGTGCACTCCAGCCTGGACAACAGAGCGAGACTCTGTCTCAAACAAAACAAAACAAAACAAAACAAAAACAGGGATGGGGATAATTGCTATGCTTTGCTCAGACATTGTGAAGATCAAAGGAGACAATGTGTAGGAAGCACCTTTAATCAACAAACTAGTAGGCCAGGTGCAGTGGCTCACACCTGCAATCCCAGAACTTCGGGAGGCTGAGGCAGGAGGATTGCTTGAGCCCAGGAGTTCAAGACCATCCTGGGCAACAAGTGAGACCTCATCTCTGTAAAAAATAGAAAAAATAAGGGCTGGGCACAGTGGCTCACGCCTGTAATCCCAGCATTTTGGGAGGCCGAGGCGGGTGGATCACTTGAGGTCAGGAGTTTGAGACCAGCCAGACCAAAATGGTGAAACCCCGTCTCTACCAAAAATACAAAAATTAGCTAGGCATGGTGGCTCGTGCCTGTAATCCCAGCTACTTGGGAGGCTGAGGCAGGAGAATTGCTTGAAACTGGGAGGGGGAGGTTGCGGTGAGCCGAGATCACGCCACTGCACTCCAGCCTGGGTGACAGAGCAAGACACTGTCTCAGAAAAAAAAAAAAAAAGAAAACATAGAAAAAATTTGCCAGGTGTGGTGGTGCCTGCCTGTAGTCCCAGCTACTTGGGAGGCTAGGGCCGGAGGATTGCTTGGGCCTGGGAGGTCAAGGCTGCAGTAAGACGTGGTCTGTCACTCCAGCCTGGGTGACGGAGTGAGACCCTGTCTCAAAACAAAACAAACTGTTGTTGAGCACCTAGGGTGCTAGGCGGCCTGCCAGAAGAGAGGCAGTACAGGTCTTATGGGGCATCTCACCTGGTCCGGGAAGGGAGGCTTCCGCTGAACCTTGAGAGAGTTCCCCAATGGAGCAGCCTAGTACAGGGGTCAGCAAACCTCCACCACTGCCCCCAGGCTAAATCCAACGTGCTGCCTGTTTTTGTTCAGCCCGCAAAAAATGGTTTTTACAGGCCTGGCGCGGTGGCTTACACCTGTAATCCCAGCACTTTGGGAGGCCGAGGTGGGTGGATCACGAGGTCAGGAGTTCAAAACCAGCCTGGCCAACATGGTGAAACCCCATCTCTATTCAAAAATATAAAAATTAGCCCGGCATCGTGGTGCGTGCCTGTAATCCCAGCTACTCGGGAGGCTGAGGCTGAGGCAGGAGAATGGCTTGACCCCGGGAGGTGGAAGTTGTGGTGAGCCGAGACTGTGCCACTGCACGCCAGCCTGGGCAACAGAGCAAGATTCCACTAAAAAAAAAATGGTTTTTACACGTTTTAGTTTCTTTTTTTTTTTTGAGACAGGGTCTCACTCTGTTGCCCAGGCTGGAGTGCAGTGGTGCGATCTCAGCTGACTGCAACCTCTGCCTCTGAGTCCAAGTGATTCTCATGCCTCAGTCTCCCAAGTAGCTGGGACTATAGGCGTGTGCCACCACATCTGGCTAATTTTTTTTCTATTTTTAGTAGAGACAGGGTTTCACCATGTTGGCCAGACTGGTCTCGAACTCCTGGCCTCAAATGATCTGCCCATCCCGGCCTCCCAAAGTGCTGGGATTACAGGTGTGAGCCACCGCACTCGGCCTACATGTTTTAATTTTAATTTTAATTATTTTTTTGAGACAGGTTCCCGCTCTGTTGCCCAGGCTGCAGCGCAGTGGTGTGATCATGGCTCACTGCTGCCTTGACCTCCTGGGCTCAAGGGGTCCTCTTGCCTCAGCCTCCTTGACTAGCTTGGACCACAGGTGTGCACCACCATGCCTGACTAATTTCTTCATTTTTTGTAAAGACGGAATCCCACTGTGTTTCCCAGGCTGATCTTGAACTCCTGGGCTCAAGTGATCCTCCCGCCTTGGCCTCCCAAAGTGCTGGGATTACAGACGTAAACCACTGTGCCTGGCTGGTTTTTACATTTTTAAGTGGTTGAAAAACCAAGCAAAAGAAAAAAGAATATTTCATGATGTGAAAATCACACGGAATTCAAGTTGCAGTGTGCGTACGCAGTTGTGTTGGAACACAGCCATACTCACTTGTTCGTGAGTGGTCCATGGCTGCTTCCTCACTAAGCAGAGGCTGAAATATTTACTACCTGGCCCTTTTCAGAGAAAGTTTGCTGCCCTCTGGCCTAGGGGAAGCACATGCAAAACCAGCGGGCAAAAGACTACAAGGTTCTGGGCATTGGCAGAAGCCGACTGCAGCTGGAGCAGAGAAGGGAAGGCAGGTGTTGGGAGCGGGCGGGACAGAGGCCACAGAGGCCACCAGCTCCTGACACCAAAGAGGGCCCTGCCATTCCCACCCAGGAGAGGGCAGAGGTCAAGCGGCGGGGGGTGGGCTCTGTCTAGTGGCCACCATCCAGGTGCCCTCCTGCCCAAGCCTCCCAGGCAAGCAGGGAGGAGAGAAGGGACTAGGGAGGAACAGAGAGCGCCCCAACTGTGTATCCACAGGGAGCAGCAGACAGCATGGAAGCCTCCAAATCAGGACACCCCGATCCTTCTCCATGGAAACTGGGGGATGCCTCTCTTCTGTGGGGCTTGACTACCCCTCCCTTGCCCCATGGAGCCAAGACAGGCTTGGGGCTCAGGGATCGGGGTTTGGGGAGGGGCTGCTGTCCTAACTCTAACCCCCCCCACACACTCCCCCGCTACATCCCCACCGCCTGCCACCAGCGAGGCCCGTGGGGTCCTCCCTCCACCTCTCTTCTGTGAAGAGAGCAGAGAGAGTGATGGAGTCTGGGGCGGGTCCACATCTGGCTGAGGGGTGCTGAGGTCACAGCTGGGACCCACATGGCCCTTTGGTGGGGAGAGGAGCTGCCACCAAGGAGGATGAGGAGCCAGAGAGCATTGTTGGGGCTCCTGTGGGAGGCTGGGACCATAGAATGCTCTCAGGGGACCCCTGGACACTTACGGGGCTGCCCAGGCGATCTCTCTGGGGGAAGGTCGTGCCCATTCCAATCCCAGCACACTTTGGTGGGATGACACATGCACACCCAACCCAGAGGGAGCTGCTAGGCTTCTCCCCTGGGTGAGGGTGGCGGTCGGGCTGGGGTCCCTCTCTACCTGGACGGATGCTTCTCTGAGATAGATTCCGGGGGTTGGTTTTTCTTTCCCGGCCTTTTCCTCACTCTGCCCAGATCTGCAAACCCGGAGCTGGGGCTGGTCTGCTCCTCATTTGTCTCTGAGTTCCCTTCCAGAGTCGGGTCCTTAGGCAGCTGCCTAAGGACTGGCCTCCCAGGGTCACCCTCTGATGCATCTGGGACCAGTTGGAGTGGCTCTGGAAATATCCCCCCTTCCTCAGTCATCTCCACACTCCCCAGAATTGGGGTGGAGTTTCAGAGGTGGGGTGGAGGTGCTGGTGGGAGTACGGAAGAAAAAGGAGGCTGGGAGCAGCCTCCACTGTCCTCCTCTCCGGCCCTAGCACGCACTGCTTGCACCTGTGTTGGGTGCCCCTGTCCGGAAGACAACACACGGAGGGCACCTGAGTGGATGCGGGAGGCCAGCTGGGCTTGCTCAGGTGGGAAGTCAGGGAATCTGGGGGAGGCTGCAGGCTAAGTGGTTCTGGGGTGGGTGACGTCGTGGGAAATGCGTGTCTATCCCTCTGCCGGGCACACAGAGAACAGACTCCTCCAGTGAGTCCAGCAGGGCAGGGTGTGCTTGCCAGAGCACAGGCCAAGCTTCCTGCCAGCCAGGACTGCAGAGGGTCCCCCTTCTTCCCTCTCTCCTCCTCACCACACCTGCAAAGTGTGGGACCTGCTAGCTCAGTCCTCATTCCTTCCCTCCTTTTTCTCTCCCTACCTGTCCACCTTCCCCTGGCCTGGTGCTGGGAGGTCCTCTTCAGCCAGGCTGAGGCTGGCAGCCTCGTCTCCAGCCCCCTCCTCTGGCAGCCACAGCTAACTCTTGGCTCACACACCCACCTGGCTCCTTCACCCAGGGGAGCCCCACCTCCCAGCCATCCCTGGGTCTAGGATCCAGAATGCTCAATCCTGGATGTCGCCTCACTTTGCATTGAACCTTCCAGCCAAGGTCCCCACCCTTGCCCTTCCCTGTTCCTCCCTCCCACTCTCTGAACTTCCTAAAGCCCCTCCCCTCCCTGCCTGCAAGTCACCTGACTGGGAGGCCAGCCCTACCCAGATTCCCCACCCCAACTCTCCCAGCTCTGAAAACAAGAAGTGCTGTCCCTGCACTGCAAACCCCCACCTGGTCCCGGTCCACACATTCCAGCCATGCCGCTCAGGCAGTCATGCTCCTATAAACACGTACACACTCACACACGTGCACACATACGCACATATGTACATGCACAGCGCACACATGCACAATCACACAGGTATGCGTGTGCATCTGTGCATACACGTGTGCGCCCTCGTGCACACGCATACATGTGCATATTCACATTCTCACACACACATGCACACTCACATGCACACACGCACACGCACTCTTGAACCACCTGAACAGTTTTACACCCCATGCTTCTTCCTCTCAGGCTTGCGAAGTGCTACTTCCTATATCTTAAATCCCCTCCAGGGACCTGCAATTATGACTTGGGGTCACCATTAGCTCACCCAAGGCTCCTTCCAGAGCAGAACCCCCACCCCACCCTTCAGATCAGTTATACTTCCCTGCTCCCAAGAACTGACATATACTTTAGAATATATATAGCTGAGCTTAAAAAAAAAAAAGAAAAAAGAAAAAACCCTATTACTGTCGGATATTGGTTAATGATTGGTGAGGGAGTTGGAGGGGGAGAAATCCCCGCCCACAAGGCTCAGTTTCACTGGGAAAGGGACTTTCCTTAGAAGGAACCAAGACGTCTTGTATCATCAGCTCTTAACGATTTGGGAAGGGAAGCTAAATAGCTCTTTCCTGTAATTCGAACAACTAAATTATTCATCGAGAGCTGCAGACAGAGATTGGACAGTGACCCGAGAGGCAGGAGACCCCAGCCCAGCCCCATGACCCAGGCACAGGGCCACCTCCCCGGCTCCTGAGGGGCCAGTGCCCGAATTAGAGGGGTCTGGAAAGTGAGCGGCCCCAGGGGTCCCAGAGGGTGGTGGGAGAGCCTGGATTCTAGCTGGGAGATGGGGGAGGAGGGAGACAGGAGAGAGTCAAAGGGCCCTGGCACTCAGGGACTTGTCCAGATGGGAAGGGGCCTGAGTGGCTTCCCCTTGCTGTACCCCCTGCGGCCTGGAGCCCCTCCCCTGACCTTGGGCTGTTGGGGTGAAGCAGGCACGCCCAGAATCCTCCCTCAAGATATGGCCTGGCCTCCTTCTGCCACAGGAGGCTTGGAATGGGGAGGCAGGGAACAAGGGACAACCAAGCTTGTCCCTCAAATTCAAAACAGCCCGCAGTTCACTCCCCTTGATGCCCGGTTCTGGGCAGGGGAGACATGGCTGGGTGAGAAACACCGCCCCGAAGCTCCTGCTCCACCACGCACTCGCCCTCAGCGTGCAGGCCTTGTGCTCCGAGCCGGGAGGGAGGCAGAGACGGCATTGGCTTGGAATGGGATCCTCAAGCATCGTTCTCTGTTGGGGGCCCAGCTCTGTCCATCCGGGGGAACCAACCACAGGAGCAGGGGCTGGGGAAGGGGACCCAGGCGCGGCCGTGGCTGGCCACATCCCGGCACAAGTCTCCTTTTCCAACAAGAAAGGGCTCTGGGAGGAGAGACCTAGGCCTTCTCTGCCTCCCCACTCCCTCCCGTGGTGCACAGTGCCTGGACTTGGTAGGTGCTCTGTAAACACCAAAGGAGCCAGTGGGTGCACAGATCGAGGCTGGACAGACAGACAGATGCAGGGAGGGAAACGATAAGGGGCAGGAAGTGAGTGGGTGCGCGTGTGTGAGGACTGAGATTCAGTGAGTTCGGTGAGGGAAAAAGTCAACAGGGGACCAGAGGAAAAGTAAAAGAGAAAGAGAGAGACCCAGGAGGAGGAGGAGGAGCAGGGCAGGAGGCCCTTTTGGAAACTGGAGCCCCGGGGGGCAGCACGTGCTGACTCACCGCCCGCCTTCCATTTTCCCTGTTTCCTGGGGATTCTCATTTTATTTTCGGGAAAGCTGCCTGCTCTGTGACTAATTTGTTCTTAAACAAACCAAACCCAGGCAGTGGGGAGGCTGGGCGGGGCCTGAGTCACTCTCTACCCAGGGGGGGACCACACCTCAGGGGGTGGCCTCCCCCACACTCCTGAGGGTTTCCCAGCCTTGGCCTGCAGGTGACTCCACTGCTCCTCAGAGACACAGTGCCCACTCCTGACAGGGACACCCTGGGCTGCAAAGAACCCCAGGCTGCTGAGCAAGCTCCTTGGTTATCCACAGCCTAAAACCATGCCTGGCACAGAGGCCATGCTCAGTTTGTGTTTGTTGACTGACTGTCTGACTGACCAACTCTGATTCCTCACTCTCCTCTCCCACTAACTCCTCCTTGAACCCTACCTTTCCCACAGGCCCTCGGCTGCATGACATGGACTTTACTAATGACCACCCTTTACCGGAACCATAATCTCTGCCAAACCCCAGGATAAATGGGTTCTTTCTCTGAATCTGCAGGACCCTGCAGGACCCTGCCTGGCCTCTGGGGTGTGTTCCTAACCACTTTGCCTTCTGGGTTCACTCAGGGCTGTCATCCCCCCGCCTATCTGTGCCCATCTGGCAGCAGAGCAGATCAGGAGGGCAGCCTGCAGCCCCCAGGCCCACCTCCGGGCAAGAGGGAGATGCCACTCCCTTTATTTTACAGAAGAAGAAACTGAGGCTCAGAGAGGTGCGAGGTCACTGGGCCAGGGAGCAGCAGACGCAAGATTTGAACCCAGATCTCAAGGCATCCTCACTTACCCTAGTCTGCCATCTGCTACACTCCACTGCAGGCTGTGAAGCCGAGACCAGGGCCCCGAAAACAGCTCAGCCCTGGGCCTCATGAGGCAGGATGACGTGAACCAGGGGGCGGGTGGGGGTTTTGTCTCCAGCTCTGGGGAGGGGGGCGCCCAGCAGGATACAGCCACTAAACCCAGGTCTCCAAAGTGGGACATGTATAAGACAACTCACTGGCATACGGAAAGGAAAACAACCCCTCTGTTTCTATTTTTTAATTCATCCTCTTTAAATCTCAACTTCTATGGATACATAATATATAAACCCAGTAATAAAGTGCCTATGGTTTATAAATAAATAAATATACACGCCCGGGGAGAAAAGTGCCCCCACCCCCACTGCAGTGGTCGCACCTTGCCTAGTAGGTGCTCAATAAACATTTCTGTGACTGGGGCAGCCAGGAGGCAGCTCTTCCTGTGTCAGGAGACACACCCACCCCCAGCACCTCCTCCAGCCGAGCCCACCTGCGCCCTGGGCAGGGCGTGGCTGCGGGCTTGGCTCCCCGCCTCCGCCTGGCCCTGGCGTGGCGCCACCTTCCACCGGGTGGCCGCGAGAATACCGGGAAGGGAGGCGGGTTCGCCTCGCAGCTGCTGAAAGCCCGCCCCACGGCTTCCCCGGGCTGCCCCCAGCTCCCTCCCTCCTCCCGCTCACCCTGGGGAGAGCGGCGCTGGGAGGCCCTGGGCGCCCTCAGGACGGGACGGGTCCCCGGGGGTGGCACGCGCCCAGGGTGGCCCAGCAGGGCGCGGCAGCCTGGGGCGCCCGAGCACCTGGCTCGGCCCTGCCCTCGGCCAAGGGCCGCCCCGGGCTCCAGCCGCCGAGCCTTGCGCCGCTCGGGAGCACGTTTCCAGTAAGCGCGAGCAAGTGGAGCCGGGCCGAGTTCCCGACAGCCCGGCCCGGGCACGGGCTCGCAGAGAAGCCGGGGCCGCGCCGCAGCGGCTGCATCCGCACCACGATCAATGCGCACCCGCGCCGCTCCGGGCTCCCTTCCTGCCCGTGGAGCGGCGGGGGTCCGAGGTCGTCCGAGCCCGCTGGGCTGCAGGTCCCCGCGCCCCCGCCCCATCATGCCTGGGTCCTCGGTCCCCTCATTCCTGTCTCTGCTGGACAAGCCTCCAACAGTCAGTCCTGCCCAAGAGCTGCGAGGAGCATTAACCTGGCGCGGTGCTTAGGGCCCTGCCTGGAGACCCCCGCATTGGCCACTGCTCTTACTATCAGATACCAAATCCTAGACTTTGGAAGCTGAACCAGCCAACCCCGTCTCTTAACTACAACTATTTTCTACGCTCACCCTTCCCCCAGCTTTTTTTTTTTTTTTTTTTTTTTTTGGCAGAGTCTTGCTATGTCACCCAGGTTGGAGTGCAGTGGTGCCATCTCGGCTCACTGCAACCTCCACCTCCCGGGTTCAAGTGATTCTTCCACCTCAGCCTCCCAAGTAGCTGGGACTACAGGCGCGCGCCAACACACCTAGCTAATTTTTGTATTTTTTGTAGAGATGAGGGTTCACCATGTTGGCCAGGCTGGTCTCGAACTCCTGACCTCAAATGATCCGCCCGCCTTGGCCTCCCAAAGTGCTGGGATTACAGGCATGAGCCACCATGCCCAGCCAGTGGCCTGTGTTTGTTACTGCCTGAGACTCCTCTCAAGGGCAGGGGCTGTGTCACGGGTATCTCCTATTGCAAGCTTGGTTCACGACCTGGCCTGCAGCGGGACGGCTGTATTATATACAGATGGGGTTACCCCAGGTAGAACCACGACCATATGAGGTGCTGGCCAAGGGGGAGGGATTATGGCTAGATGGTGGAAGGAGGAAGTTATCAGTAGAAACTATGGCAGAGTGAGGGACCACCATACACCTTTCCCCTTTATCCTGTTCATTTTTGTTTATGTTAACTAATTTCCTTTTTTCCCTCTTTTTTTTTCCTTACTATTCTACATAAAGTATAGGACCCAGGGTCACCACATAATGTTGTCCAGGCTGCACACTGCACAATTCCAAGAGGGCACTATTGGAAAAATCTATATTGCAAATGATACTTATGCCTCTGGGGGCCCTGGGGATGGGTGACTTTAATTAATCTCATGGGATTTCTGCCCAGAAGAGGAGTGAGCACCACCCACAGCTGGAGAGTGACTGATCAGAACATCAGGTTTTTCATTCTGGGGAGAGGGTGTGTGTGTGTGTGTGTGTGTGTGTGTGTGTTTGGGGCACAGTTGTATAGCATTAGGTGAAAGCTCTTGCTGCTTTTTATGCCATGGTGTGGAAGATCAGCAAGATGCTGGCTGGTGGAATCAGCTCCTTTAATCTTTTTTTTAGATGGTTGGTGTCTTGGTCCATTCATGCTGCTTTAGCAAAATACCTAGACTGGGTAATTTTCAAAGAACAGAAATGTATTTCTCACAGTTCTGGAGGCTGAGAAGTCCAAGATCATGGTGCTGGCAGGTTTGGTATTGGTGAGGGCTGCTCTCTGCTTCCAAGATGGTGACTTGGTGCTGCACCCTCCGGAGAGAATGAACACTGCATCCTTACAGGGCAGAAGGGATGGAAGGGCAAAAAATGAGCTGAATTGAACACTCTACAAAGCCTTTCTTTCTTTCTTTCTTTCTTTCTCTCTCTCTCTCTCTCTTTCTTTCTTTCGACAGAGCCTCGCCCTGTGTCACCCAGGCTGGAGCGCAGTGGCGCCATCTCAGCTCACTGCAACCTCTGCCTCTCAGGTTCAAGTGATTCTCCTGCCTCAGCCTTCCGAGTAGCTGAGATTGCAGGCCTGGGCCACCACACCCAGCTAACTTTTTGTATTTTTAATAGAGACGGGTCTCGCCATGTTGACCAGGCTGGTCTTGAACTCCTGACCTCAGGTGATCTGCCAGCCTTAGCCTCCCAAAGTGCTGGGATTATAGGCGTGAGCCACCACGTCCAGCCTTCAAAGCCTCTTTTATAAAGGTCTTAATCCCATTCACGAGGGAGAAGCTCTCCTGACCTAATCACCTCCCAAAGAACCCACCTCTTAACACTATTGCATGGAGTTATGATGGGGGTTACATTCAGACCACAGCAGTGGGAAAGCTAGAAACTCTTTCCCAGGTTCTCTCTAGATGTGACTTTCTCTCTGCAAATCAATGCGTTCTTGTGGGATTGGAAAGTGGAAGGAAGACAGACTCTTGTCTTTCTGCAGCTGCATGGGTATGAAAGTGGGTTCCAGCAGAAGCACTGGTTGGCAGTGGCTCCATTTCCCATTCTGCCATCTCAGTGCCTGATTTGTGGGTGTGGGAGTGGGGAGGATCGGGGACTGTGGTGGAGGCGTGGCCTTACCCCAGAAAGCTTTGACCTTCCATCTCTCCCAGTGATTGTTTTTCTCAAGCCCATGAATCTTTTCCAATGATTTTATGAATTCCTGATTCCTTATGTTAAAATCCCTTTTGGCTTGAACCACCTGAGGTGGATTCGCCTTGCACAGAACCCTGACAGGTACACAGTGCAAAATGCAGCAATGGGGCACATAGGTGCTGGCGCATCTGTCCAAAGGAACACTGGAAGGGAGAGAGCGAGAGCCCTTTCAAGGCTGATAGAGGACAGTCTGACAGTCTAATACATATTAAGGGATAAAAATCAAGGTGCGGAAGAGTGTGTATGGCATGCTATGATTTGTATGGGGGTAGAAAGAAGAAAGTTTGGCGGGGCGTGGTGGCTTATGCCTGTAATCCCCGCACTTTGGGAGGCTGAGGTGGGCGGATCACCTGAGGTCAGTAGCTTGAGACCAGCCTGGCCAACATAGTGAAACCCCATCTCTACTAAAAAAATATAAAAATTAGCCAGGTGTGGTGGTATGCACCTATAATCCTACCTACTCACTCAGGAGGCTGAGGCAGGAGAATCACTTGAACCCAGAAGGTGGAAGTTGCAGTGAGCCGAGATTGTACCACTGCACTCTAGCCTGGGCGACAGAGCGAGACTCCATCTCAAAAAAAAAAAAAAAAAGAAAGAAAGAAAGAAGAAAGTGTATATGTATATGCAAGCATTTGCTTTCATGTCCATAAAATATGCTAGGAAACGTACTTTTTTTTTTTTTTTTTTGAGATGGAGTCTTGTGTCACCCAGGCTGGAGTGCAGTGTGGCACGATCTCGGCTCACTGCAACCTCTGTCTCTGGGTTTAAGCAATTCTCCTACCTCAGCCTCCCGAGTAGCTGGGATGACAGGTGCCCACCACCACGCCCAGCTAATTTTTGCATTTTTTTTTTTTTTTTTAGTAGAGATGGGGTTTCACTACGTTGGCCAGGCTGACCTCAGGTGATCCGCCCACCTCGGCCTCTCACCCTGGCCTCCTAAAGTGCTGGGATTACAGGCGTAAGCCACTGTGTCCGGCCTGGAAACATACATTTTAAAAAACGATTTGTGAGCCAAGTGCAGTGGCTCATGTTTATAATTCCAGCAATTCTTGAGGCTGAGGCAGGAGGATGTCTTGAGGCCAGAACGACCTGGGCACCATAGTGAGACCCTCATCTGTACAAAAAATAAGAAAATTAGCTGGGTGTGCTGGTGTGTGCCCGTGGTCCCAGCTACTTCAGAGGCTGAGGCAAGAGGATTGCTTGAGCCCAGGAGGTGGAGGCTGCAGTAAGCTGTGATTGTGCCACTGCACTCCAGCCTAAGCAACAGAAGGAGACCCTGTCTCAAAAAGTAAAAAATAAAGGCTGGGCATGGTGGCTCAGGCCTATAATCCCAGCACTTTGGGAGGCCAAGGTGGGCGGGTCACTTGAGGTCAGGAGTTCGAGATCAGCCTGGCCAACGTGGTGAAACTCCGTCTCTACTAAAACTACAAAAATTAGCCGGGCGTTATGGCGCATGCCTGTAATCACAGCTACTCGGGAGGCTGAGGCGGGAGACTCGCTTGAATCAGGAAGGCAAATGTTATAGTGAGCCAAGATCGCACCACTGCATTCCAGCCTGGGTAACAGAGCAAGACTCTGTCTCAAAAAATAAATAAATAAATAAATAATTGAAAAAAAAAATAAAAAGAAGGCAACTCTGCAAGTCAAGAAGAGAAACTTCACGGGGAACTGAGTCAGCCACAACCTTGACCTTGAACTTCCCAGCCTCCAGAATGGTGAGAAATAAGTGTCTGTTGTTTCAGCCCCCAGTGTGGAATTTTGTTCTGGCAGCTCATGCTAAGACACTCTCCCTCCACCTTCAAAGTCAGCAGGCAGGGATCTCTCAGACCTCCTTCTTAGAAGGACCCCTGTGATTACATTTAGGGCCCACCCAGATGATCCAGGATAATCTCCCATCTCAAGAGCCTAAGCTTCATCACATTTGCAAAGTCCCTTTTGCCATATAAGGTGACATAGTCACAGGTTCCAGGAATCGGGACATGGGCACCTTTGGGGGCCCATTATTCGGCCGATCGCAAAGACAGACATTTCTCAGTAAACTCTTTTCACGACTGAATTTTGAACCATATGAATGTATTACCCATCTAAAAATACAATGTCAATCAAAGGAGACTGGAGGTGAGACCAGAGGTACCCAGGACAGGGACAGGAAGCTCAGGGGTCATTCCCCTCCCTGGCCCTCAGTTCTCTCCTCTCTAAGTGAGGGATTAAGACCCATGACTCCTGGGTCTGGAGGACTTTGAGCCTCGAGCTTCCCTCCTGATGGGGGTGGTGATGTTTCCTACCTGCCAGGGCTGCTGCAGGGATTAAATCCTGCAACAAGAAGCATCCCAAATCCTCCCAAGCAATAACTGCTGGTCATGGAAAAGCTGGTAACAGAAGCCATTCTTAACTCAGCTGCTCTACTCTCCCTAGCATGGAAAGAAAGCTGCCCCTCAGGCCGGACACGGTGACTCACGCTCATGCTGTAATCCCAGCATTGTGGGAGGTCAAGGTGGGAGGATCGCTGGAGCCCAGGAGTTCGAGGCCAGCCTGGGCAACAGAGTGAGACCCTGTCTCTAAAAAAAGGTTGGGTGTGGTGGCTCATGCTTGTAATCCCAGCACTTTGGGAGGCCAAGGCAGGTGGATCACTTGAGGTCAGGAGTTCAAGACCAGCCTGGCTAACATGGTGAAAACCTGTCTCTACTAAAAATACAATAATTAGCTGGGCATGGTGGTGGGTGCCTGTAATCCCAGCTACTTGGGAGGCTGAGGCAGGAGAATTGTTTGAACCCGGGAGGTGGAGGTTGCAGTTAGTGGAGATCACACCATTGCACTCCAGCCTGGACGAGAAGAGCAAAACTCGGTCTCAAAAAAAAAAAAAGAAAAGAAAAGAAAATTAGCCAGGCATGGTGACGTGCTGCACCTATAGTCCCAGCCACTTGGAAACCTGAGATGGGAGGATCACTTGAGCCCTGGAGTTCCAGGGAGCAGTGAGGTATGATCATGCCACTGCACTCTGGCCTGGATGACAGAGTGAGATCCTATCTCTAAAAAAAAAAAAAAAAAAAAAAAAAAAAGAAGCAAGCTGTTCCCCCGCCCGTGTCCTATTTTCTACAGAGGGCCTGTGCCTTCACGGTGCCCCCCTTCCGGGAAGGACTCGCCTGGGAGTGAGTTTGGCACCCAGTACAGGTCCTGGCCACACCCGGGACTCTTCTCAGCACAGTGACTGACAGCAGCACCCTGGAGTCAGATGGAACTGGATTGGAATCTAGTTCTGTCCCCAGGCTGCCATCCAGTGCTGTTGCCTGCTCAGCACCCACTTTCTCTTCTCTTTGTGGAAGCATCTTGGATTCTACCCCTTCATCACTCTTGCTGTATGTGGCTCAGCGATGGGCCTGACCTGCTCAGGGCTGGTCAAACACCGCATGCACACCCTAGTTGGTCCAGACCCGGTTGGGACAAGACCCAACCAGGCCAAGGCCATCCAGCCCCGGCCTTTTCCTGGAGCTGGCTGCAGCCATTTCTGCTACCGCTAGAGAGAGCCTGCCTGAGGGCGAAGCTATGGCAGAGGAAAGCCGACCTGGGAGATGGAGAGGGACAGTTTCCAGGTGACATCACTGGTGAATCTAGATCCAACTGTGCCTGAGGCCCAGCTCTAAGCCTTTGTGTTTCTGCATGGGAGCCAGTGATACAACCTCCTGCTAATTGCTTCGGGCAGTTTACACTGGCTTCAAAAAGCCCTGGCTGACAGCTATTAGCTGACCTTGGACACTTCACTTGTGTGTTCCGTGCCTCAGAAGGAATATTCCCTGAAAATAATAATACCTACTCATAAGGCTGTTGTGATTCTTAAATAAGATAATGAATTAAAGTCCCTAATTAGGCCGGGCATGGTGGCGCTCACCTGTAATCCCAGCTACTAGGGAGGCTGAGGCTGGAGAATCACTTGAACCCAGGAGTTCAAGACCAGCCAGGGCAACGTAATGGAATTGCATCTCAATTTTTTTTAAGTACCTAATTTGGTGTCTGGCACACAGTAAGCTCAATTGTGGTACCAGAGTCATTATTTTGTAGGAATTGGGTTAGAATCATGTTAACCAACAAACGTGCATGATTCAAATGGGACTATTCCATCTTAACTGGGAAAAAAGCCTAATTGTTGGGAAACCAGTCTTCTTAGCTCTCACTGCTGTAGAAAACTGGATGGAGATCAGGAAATGCATGTCATGGGGCACCCAGTCATGAGGCAGAGACCCTCTCCCTCTTTAGAGCCAGCAAGGCTCTGGCCAAAGAAAACCCCCATCAGTAACTGTGGACATACCTTAAAATGACTGCAAGCAGTCACCCTTGGGTAAGCTCCTCTGGGCATGTAGGCAAAGCCTAGGAGTTTCTTCTAGCCAATAGAACACGGCAAAGATGATGACATCACTCTCATGATTACATTACATTAGAAAAGACTCCAACTTAGCTGACTGGACTGAGATCCTCCTCATTGGCTTGGTGGAGTAGGCAGCCACATTGAGGAAGCCCATGAGGTGAGGAAGTGCTGGCAGCCTCTAGGAACTGCAGGTGGTCTCCAGCCTCCAGCCAGCAAAAACCTCAGGCCCTTAGGCACACAGCAGCAAGAATATGAAATCTGACAATAACTAGCATGGCTCTGGAAGCAGAGCCTTCCTCGGTTGAGCCTCCAGATGAGAACCCAGCCCAGCTGACACCTTGTTTGCAACCTGAGGAGATCTGAAACAGAGGATGCAGTAAAGCAGTTTCCAGACTTATCCTTTTTTTTTTTTTTTAACTTTTTTTTAAGAGTCAGAGTCTCACTCTGTCACTCAGGCTGTCGTCACTCAGGCTGGAGTGCAGTGACACAATCACTGCTCACTGCAACCTCGAACTCTTAGGCTCAAGTGATCCCCTGGCCTCAGCCTCCTAACTGGGACTGCAGGCACACACCACCATGCCCAACTAATTTTTTCTTTTCTTTTTTTTTTTGTAGAGGTGTAGTCTCACCATGTTGCCCAGGCTGGCCTTGAACTCCTGGCCCCAAGCAATCCTCCTCCCTTGGCCTCCCAAAGTGCTTGCATTACAGGCATAAGCCACTATGCCCAGCCAGTTTCCAGACTTCTGACCTGAAGAAATTGTGATATAGTAAATGTGCGTGTTGTCTTAGTTCCTGAGTGCGTGATAATGTGTTGCACAGCATAGAAAACTAACACAGCAGCCTGCAGAGGACTGAGCTTTCAGAGAGGAGACACACCGGGATGCCTTTCTCAATGAGTCGGGGTACAATTTCCCAAGGTATTCTGGTTACTTTGGCTATATTACAGTTCACCCCAAAACCTGGTCATTTAAAGCAATAATCATTTATTACCTCTCACAGTTTTGGTGGGTCAGGAATTCAAGAGTGGTTTGGCTGGGTGGTTCTGGCCTGAGGTCTCTCATGAGGCTGCAGTGAGATGGTGGTCAGAGCTGCAGTCATCTGAAGGCTTGACTGGGGCTGGAGGATCGCTTCTAAGGTGGCTCATTCATGCAGCTGTTGGCTGGTGGCCTCAGTTCCTCTTTACATGAGCTTCTCCGTGGGGTAGTTGAACTTCCTCGTGGAATAGTGACTGGCTTCCCCCAGAGTATCTGAGCTGAAAGACCAGATGGAAGAGGCGATGCTTTATGCCCTAGACCTGAAGTCATGTGAATCTGCCTGATTCGGTGTGGGAGGGGCTACCCAAGGGCATGAATACCAGAGACAAGGATCTGGGGGGCCATCTTGGAGACTGGTCACCACACAAGGGATGGCAGTGGGGACAGAGGCTGCAGGGGCTGGAAGAGGGCTCTGGAAGGAAGACAGGGAACCTTGACAGGTGGGAGAAGCTCAAAGTGTGAGACCATCCCCAGCTTCCTTCTCATGTTGTTCAGGGCATGAACTAGCTGGAGAAGATCTCGGCTCCCACCCTAGTTTCTCCACCCAGCGTTGGAGTGTGTGCTAATCTCATAATGACCTCGTCATCCACCACCAGGCAGTGAAGCAGGGTCAGCAGCCCCTGGGACAGGGAGTGGTCCACAGGAAGGAGGAGCAGCCTCCTCCACCATGGAGCTCTCCAAATAGGGCCCTGGACCCCTCAGGCACTGGGGCCTGCAGAAGTGGCACAGGAAGGGAGGGAGACCCATCTGGGCCACTCCTCATTGCTGCACAGTCCTCACTCTTTACCTCCACCTCGAAGCTTCTATCTCACCACCTGTTGCTGCGGGAGAGCCTAATTGGCTCCCTCGGTCTAGAGATGGGGAGCTGGGGAGTGGGAAGGGGTTAAGGTGTGTTGGGGGCCGTGATCAGCTAGGCTTCTATATTGCTGTCTCATGTAAGCCTGGACGGATCCTGCACTGGGTATTGTCCACCCACATCATCCAGATGAGGAAACTGAGGCTCCACGGTGGAGCCACCTGCCCTAAATCCTGCGCTGAGTCATACAGGCCCAGAGAAAAAGCTGCCCTGACATCCTTCAGAGGTGCAGATCAAGGTTCCTGCACACAGGGCCTCCTTCCATGAGCTGAGCTCAGGCCAGGGGAGGAAGGAGGGAGGGAAATGGACTGGGGAGGTCACTGCCCAGCAGGAAGCAGCCAGGACCCGGGGCTGAGAGCCACAAGAGGGCTAGAAACCTCTTGACCCCAGCTCTGATGCCGTGGCCCAGCCTGCTGGCTGCTGTCCGTCCCTGCATTGATCTGGGGAGCGGCCCAGGCTTCCTGGAACCATCCTGCTGTCTCCCTAGGGCTGGCCTGACCTGGCTACAGCAAGGAGGTCCCCACACTGGCAGGATGGGGGAACCCCCAGAGCTGGCTGGACATCCGGATCTCTCTCTGCCACCTGGAAGGCCCTGGGCTCAGGATCCTGGACAAAACATCCTTGTGCTTCAAGGGGAGGGCTTGGCGGGAATGCCGAGGCCAGATGTGAGTAGGAAGACAGCTGTGGACCCGGAATTCCAGAGGGGAAGAACAGGATGCTCTCCCGGTCAGGCAGCTGGGGTAGATCTGATATGCCCCGTGAGAGGATTCGGAAGGCCAGGTGGGGCCCTAGGGAAGGAGATAGGAGGAGGCCACAGAAGCGAGAAAAAGTCAAGAACCCTACAGAGCCCTGAGGGCCCCGCTCCTCCCACTCGTGCCTGGTCCTCGCTGCCCCTATCCTGAGCTGGCTGCATCCCACACAAGTGTCCCCACCACAGCCCCACGAGGTGAGGGATTCTCCTGCTCCCCAGTTCCAGGCTTGTGAGAGACGGAGTCAGTGGCCCAGCTCACTCCTCCCGTGAGTAGTCACGGGCCTGGAACCCAATACGACGGCTGACCTCCCAGAGGATGCCTGACCTCACTTAAACACCAGAACCGTGGCTGGGCACGGTGGCTCACGCCTGTAATCCCAGCACTTTGGGAGGCCGAGGCAGGCAGATCACGAGGTCAGGAGATCGAGACCATCCTGGCTAACACAGTGAAACCCTGTCTCTACTAAAAATACAAAAAAATTAGCCGGGCGTGGTGCGCGCCTATGGTCCCAGCTACTCAGGAGGCTGAGGCAGGAGAATGGTGTGAACCCAGGAGGCAGAGGTTGCAGAGAGCCCAGTTCACGCCACTGCACTCCAGCCTGGGCGATAGAGCGAGACGCTGTCTCAAAATAAATAAATAAATAAATAAAACCACCAGAACCGTTACAGATCCTGCCCCATAGTTGAAGAAAGTGAGACTCAGGGGGTCCCATCACGTGCCCAGGTGCCCACCACTGTCCAGTGCCAGGCTTAACATCTAGGCTCCTCACTGCAGCCAGAAGGTGCAGCCCAGGTGTCCACCTGCGGATCAGTGGGGAAACGACACGGAGAAACTCACACGGAGGAGCAGCCGGCCCTGGAAGGGAGAGAAACCCAGGCACAGGCTGCAGCATGGGTGAGCCCTGGGGACGCTGTGCTGATTGCCATAAGCCCAGCAGAAAAGGACAAATGCCGTGCACAAATGCCGTGTGACTCTGCTGACAGGAGGTCCCTAGCGCAGTCAGATTCGTGGGGACAGAAAGCAGATTGGTGGGGGCAGGGGCTGGGGGCAGGGGGAATGGGGCATTGGTGTTTAATGGGAACAGACGTTCACTTGGGAAGATGAAAGCACTCTGGAGATGGGTCATAGTGATGGTTGCACAACAATGGGAATGTGCTTAATGTCACAGAACTGTACGTTTAAAAGTGGTAAAAATGGGGCCAGGTGTGGTGGCTCTCACCTGTAATCCCAGCACTTTGGGAGGCCGAGACAGGAGGATCACTTGAGGTCAGAAGTTCGAGACCAGCCTGGCCAACATGGTGAAACCCCATCTCTACTAAAACTACAAAAATTAACCAGGTGTGGTGGTGGGTGCCTGTAATCCCAGCTGCTTGGGAGGCTGAGGCAGGAGAATCGCTTGAGCCTGGGAGGCAGAGGTTGCAGTGAGCTGAGATCATGCCACTTCACTCCAGCCTGGGCAACAGAGCAAGACTCCACCTCAAAAACAAACGGCCAGGCGCAGTGGGTCATGCCTGTAATCCCAGCACTTTGGGAGGCCGAGGCAGGTGGATCACTTGAGCTCAGGGGTTCAAGACCAGCCTGGCCAACATGGTGAAACCCTGTCTTTACTAAAAATTCAAAAATTAGCTGGGCATGGTGGCAAGCGCCTGTAATCTCAGCTACTTGGGAGGCTGAGGCAGGAGAATCTCTTGAACCCAGGAGCCAAGATCATGCCACTACACTCCAGCCTGGGCAACAAGAGCAAAACTCTGTCTCAAATAAATAAATAAATAAATGTGATAAAATGGTAGATTTTATGTTATGTATATTTGAGCACAGTAAAAATAATTAAATAAAAACAAATAATTAAATAAAAATATAATAGAATAAAAATATAAGTAAATAAAAAATTAAATTTTAAAAATTAAAAAAAAAACTAAGAAAACCCCAGGCATCAACCTCAGTGTCCATGGTGCAGCCACCAGAGTGCATGGGGGCACGCCTTTGCTTCTCGCCGACCCTACAGTCCCTGGGCAGAGGCGTGGGGATGGGGGTGGGGACAGCCAATGCAGTGGCACATGCGATCCCAACGTCTGGCGGCCTTGGAGATGTTCTGGCATAAGCACTCTGGGCAGCTGCCCTGGGGCAGGTTGTGGGTTAGGGATCCAGACCCAAACTGCCCATGCCACCCCTCTGGCCACCCCACCAGACGGGGATGTCTAGAGAAGACAGGGCCTGCCCAAGGTTTGCACTCACCCACACATCCTAGGACACTCGGGCACATGCGGGCCTGTGACCCCTCGTCTCAACGCAGCCACCTATGCTAGCGTGTGCACACGCACGTGCACACCCCCCACAATGAACGCTTGCGCACACACAGGCACTCACACATGTCCCTTCCCTCCCAGGTCACCTGAGCTCCCAGGATGGCACTAGGGAGAGGCGGTCCTTGTTCCAGGTACCCAGCGTCCCTGATAGCATCATGTCCAAGCTGCACCCACCCACCTCAGCTGCCGCCCTAAGCAGTAGCTCAGTTGACTCCAAACACGGACTCCCCGGTGCAGGGCAGGCCAGGCCTGGGACCCATCCCAGACACTGCCTGGAAATAGGAGGCCAAAGAATGCAGTGGGCAGCTTGGCAGAGAGACAGAGCCAGTGGGGCTTCCAGTAATTCACCCACCCTGCCCTGCCCTCGCCCACCGGTCCAGAGTCTCGGCCAATAGATGCCCGGTCCCAGACTCCAGCCCCCAGAAGTGCCCAGCCCCACATAGCTGCTCCAGGGCCCTCAGGGTCACCACCCCTGCCCCCAGAGACAACAGGACAGGGAACTAGATCCCGGTCCTTTCTGGGCTATGCCGGGAAGAGGGTATCTTTAGCTTCCCTTCCTGGAAGTCCACTGGCTCCCATCCACAGTGGCCCGGTGGCATTGCCTGCAGACCCTGGCCACCCTCTCGCATGGATTCCCTGGGAAAGGAGCAGCCACCCCAAGAGGTTTGCTTGGTCAGCTTGTCCCCAACTCTGGCTTGGGACCCTATGCCTAGCCAGGACAAGAGACACACTGGCGTGGCCCTCCTTCCTTCCCCTGCCCATTGGTTGGTCCCCGTGAAGCTGGCAACATGACGACATCGACTGAAATACTTCCTGTCCCCAGAGTCTCATTCGAGGGACTTAGATAGCATCAAGGTGAATCCTTTTTTACCAGAGGAGAAGACTAAGGCCCAGAGAGGGGACAGAGAGTCATATACAGCAGCTGGGTGAAATCCCCCGGAGAAGGGCTTGGAGTCCCCAGAGGCAAGAAAAGCCTGGGACAAGGAGAAATGGCACCCATGGTGGAGCTTCTCCCGGGAAGAGGACCTGGGGTGGAAGAGGTGATTCAGGGCTGAGTCAGCCACAGGGCGCAGAGAAGACAGGCCGATGTGGAGCTGGGGTGGCCCTAGGGCCTCGCGTCAGAAGCGAATAACCCAGGAACAGGATGAGGTGAAGGGAGCCCGCCGGCCCAGGAAGGAATGAGGAGGCCTGACCTCGTTTCCTGGCCCAGAGAAGACATGTAGCAGACTGGTTAAACTGAGTCTGTGGCCTGCTCTCCATGTGATCCATGAGGCTGGGATGAGGGAAAGATACAGGAAGCCGTACTCTCTGCTCCCTATGGGCTCACAGTTTGTGGGGGAACAGGAAGGTGGAGGGGACAGGCGAGAAGAGAAGCAGTGATTGCCCAGCGACCCATGACAAAGGCAGGGCATGAGACACGTCAGAAAAAAGGAGTAACCCCGGGGCACGCCTGCCCCTGGCTGCTGGGACACCTGGGAAGCCCCTGAGGAGGAGGTGGCCTTAGGGAGGCGCCTGGCTGGATGGACACAGTATCCATGGCAGACCTGGGGGCCAGGGGCTCCGGGACTGGAACAGCATAAACGCAAGGGGTGACAGGGCATGGGAGGCCAGCAAGTCTCACCCCTGTGATTTCAGCCGCAAGAAACGAAGAGTTCAACCATAAAGACAGTCATTGTGGCCAGGCGAGGTGGCTCACACCTGTAATCCCAACACTTTGGGAGGCCGAGGTGGGTGGATCACCTGAGGTCAGGGGTGAAGACCAGCCTGGCCAACATGGCGAAACCCCATCTCTACTAAAAATACAAAACTTAGCCAGGCATGGTGGTGCACGCCTGTAATCCCAGCTACTTGGGAGGCTGAGGCAGGAGAATCACTTGAACCCAGGAGGCAGAGGTTGCAGTGAGCTGAGATCAGGCCACTGCACTCCAGCCTGGGTGACGGAGCGAGACTCTGTCTCAAAAAAAAAAAAAAAAAAAAAAGACAGTCATTGTTTACATAACAAAACGTCCAGGCTGGGCATGGTGGTTCATGCCTGTAATCCCAGCACTTTGGGAGGCTGGGTGGGTGGATCATCTGAGGTCAGGAGTATGAGACCAGCCTGGCCAACATGATGAAACACTGTCTCTACTAAAAATACAAAAATTACCTGGGTGTGGTGGCACGTGCCTATGATCACAGCTACTCGGGAGGCTGAGGCAGCAGAATTGCATGAACCCAGGAGGCGGAAGTTACAGTGAGCCGAGATCACGCCATTGCGCTCCAGCCTGGACTACAAGAGCAAAACTCTGTCTCAAAAAATAAAAAATAAAAAAAGTCCAGAGGTTAGCATCTTGACAAGGGCCCAAGTTTCTATCTTCCCGTGTCATCAATTTAAGGTGACCAATCATACTGATTTGCTTAGTACTTTCCCAGTTTTGGTGCTGAAAGTCCTGTATTGAAGGAAGTCAAACGGATTTCTGCTCACCCTAGTATTAGGGCTACTGCTTCTCATGGGCACAAAGGAGCTGCCACAGCTCCAAGCATCACCCCCTCACGTAACAGTGCAGTGAGCAAGAGCAAATGCCCTCCAGAAATCCCCCCCGCTACATTTCACTGGCAGACCTGGGTGAGGGTGACATAGGCACTCTAGATCAATCACTGGCAAAAGAGCAGGGGGTTGGTAGGACCAGCTTAGGCCCATCTCTATTCATCCCGTGGGGCTGGAGCTCTGTTAATGAGGAGGAGGGGGAATGGCTGTTAGGCATCACCCGAAAGCATGAGGCCCTGCTGGACGAGCCACACTGCAGCGGCTCAGCCTGCAGGGTAAGAGCACGGACCAGGAGGTAGGTGGGCCCTGCTCCGAGTCCCAGCTCTGCCCCCACTGAGCTGCGTGCAAGTCCCCCTTGAGCAGGTCCTCCGTGAGTAAGTTCTTGAAACGGGGGATAAGAAGAGTGGCTGCCCACGCAGAGTTCTTGGGAAAATAAAATAAAATAATGCAGAAAAGTGCTGAGCACAGCATTTAGCAAACACGAAACAAGAGGATGGCTGGTGTCCGTGTAGACTGGCCACGCTCCACTATTTTTAGTTCAACTCCGAAGACAGTGATGGTCCCACGCAGATGCCTGCTCTTGTGCCTCAGTCTCCCACCAGACAGGTGTGCTGGAGGGTGGGTCAGGAAGGGCCTTCTTGAGGAGGCTCAAATCTGCTTGGCTTAATCTTTTTGTTCCTGCACAACACTTTTTTTTTTTTTTTTTTGAGACGGAGTCTCTGTTGCCCAGGCTGGAGTGCAGTGGTGCGATCTCTGCTCACCACAACTTCCACCTCTCCAGTTCAAGAGATTCTCCTGCATCAGCCTCCTGAGTAGCTGGGATTACAGGCACCACCACCATGCACCAAGCCCAGCTAATTTTTGTATTTTTAGTAGAGATGGGGTTTCACCATGTTGGCCAGGCTGGTCTCAAACTCCTGACCTCAGGTGATCCGTCCACCTCGGCCTCCCAAAGTGATGGGATTATAGGCGAGAGCCACCACACCAGGCCTTTTTCTTGATTTAGAATTATTTCTTTGGGGTGCTTTCCCAGAAGAGTAAATATTGAATCAAAGAGAATAGACTTTTTTTTTTTCTTTTCTTTCTTTGAGACAAGGTCTTGCTTTGTCACCCAGGCTGGAGTGCAGTGGCACAGTCTCAGCTCACTTCAACCTCCACCTCCTGGGTTCTAACGATTCTCCTGCGTCAGTCTCCCGAGTAGCTGGGACTACAGGCATGCACCATCAAGCCTGACTAATTTTTATATTTTTAGTAGAGACTGGGTTTCACCATGTTGCCCAGACTGGTCTTGAACTCCTGGGCTCAGGTGATTCGCCTGCCTAGGCCTCCTAAAGTGTTGGGATTACAGGCGTGAGCCATAGCGCCCGGCCAAAAAGAATAGACTTTTAAATGATACTTTATTTAAATTATTTATGGATTACTTAATCTTTGTAGAAAGCTAGAAAATACGGAGAAGCATTAAAAAGAAAATTAAGGGCCGGGCGCGGTGGCTCACGCCTGTAATCCCAGCACTTTGGGAGGCCAAGGCGGGCTGATCACGAGGTCAGGAGATCGAGACCATCCTGGCTAACACAGTGAAACCCCATCTCTCCTAAAAATACAAAAAATTAGCCAGGCGTGGTGGCGGGCGCCTGTAGTCCCAGCTACTTGGGAGGCTGAGGCAGGAGAATGGCGTGAACCCGGGAGGCGGAGGTTGCAGTGAGCCGAGATCGTGCCACTGCACTCCAGCCTGGGCCAAAAAAAAAAAAAAAAAAAAGAAGTGACAGGTAGCTATAACCTGTATGGTAGAGCTCAGTGGCCCTGGCAGGCTGAGCCCCCAGGAAGAAAGAAGAGAGGGACAGAGGCTTGGCGGGGGAAAGGACAGTTTCACTTTCCACAGTACCTATTCTGTAATGTTTCTATTTTTAAAATAATGAGAAAGTGTTTCTCTTCTAAATGGAAAACAAACAAAACATGATGATCATTTTTTTGTTTTTTAAAAAGAATTCTATAAAGAACACCAAAGCTTAGCATTTGTTGTGGTCTTTTTAAAGCGGTAACTGCTGGGGTGGCCCCAGGTACAAAGTCCAGGAGGACTCCTGCTCCACTGGGGACCTCTCCCCACTGCTTGTGGGGGTGCTGTGTTTGGGTGGGGAGGACAGAGCCAGAGTAGGTCCCCATCAGGAGTGGCAGGCTGAGGAGAGGCTGAGTGAGGGCCAGGGGCTTAGTCTGCTCAGGCTGCTATGACAAAATACTTTCTTATTTATTTATTTAGAGATGGTGTTTCACTCTTGTCTCCCGGGCTGGAGTGCAATGGCGTGATCTCGGCTTACTGCAACTTCTGCCTCCCAGGTGCAAGCGATGCTCCTGCCTCAGCCTCCTGAGTAGCTAGGATTACATGCGTGTGCCACCAGGCCCAGCTAATTTTTATATTTTTAGTAGAGACGGGGTTTCACCATGTTGGCCAGAATGGTCTCAATCTCTTGACCTGGTGATCCACCCGCCTTGGCCTCCCAAAGTGCTAGGATTACAGGCGTGAGGCAGCGCGCCCGGACTGACAAAATACTTTAGACTGGGTAATTTTCTAACGACAGAAATTCATTGCTCACAGTGCTGGAGGCTGCGAAGTCCACCATCAAAGCACTGGCCGATCTGGTGTCTGGCGAGGACCCATTCCTTACAAACGGCACCTTCTTGCTGTGTCCTCATGTGGCGGAAGGGGAAACATGCTCCCTCAAGCCTCTTTTATAAGGGCATGAATCCCATTTGTGAGGGTGAAGCCCTCATGACTTAACCAGCCCCCTAAGGCCCTACCTCTTAGTACTATCCCATTAGGCATTAAGTTCCAACACATGAATCTGCGGGACACCAGCATTCAGACCACAGCAGTCACAAGCCATGAAGAAGGCGGCAAGACTCAGCCCCAGGGCCGAGGCCTGTGCTCTCCTGTGAACTCCAGCTCCTGGCATGGAACCTGGAGTGTCCAGGTGCTTTATTGTTTGCTG
Organism: Homo sapiens; assembly: GCF_000001405.40. Classification (NCBI taxonomy): domain Eukaryota; kingdom Metazoa; phylum Chordata; class Mammalia; order Primates; family Hominidae; genus Homo; species Homo sapiens. The sequence continues at coordinate 78,296,727 of NC_000017.11, read as the reverse complement.
AATGAATAAACAAGTGTATGGATTTGGGGCAGTGTGATTGAGACATCAAGACTCGACTCAAGGCCAGGCGTGGTGGCTCACGCCTGTAATCCCAGCACTTTGGGAGGCCGAGGCAGGTGGATTGCTTGAGATCAAGAGTTCGAGACCTGCCTGGACAACATGGTGAAACCCAAAAATTAGCCAGACGTGGTGGCAGGTGCCTGTAATCTCAGCTATGCGAAGAGACTGAGGCAGGAGAATCGCTTGAAGTCGGGAGGCAGAGGTTGCGGTGAGGCGAGATTGTGCCCCTGCACTCCAGCCTGGGCAACAGAGTGAGACTGTCTCAAAAAAAGAGGCTCCACCCAAGAAGCCAGAGGGACCCCCAGAGGGAGGTTTCCATGCCAGCAGAGGTGGGGTGGCAGAGGGCAGTGCTTGGGTGGTGCAGCTTGCTGGGTGCTAAGAAGACCTCCCTGCCTGGCTCCAGGCCCGGCTCAGAGCCCACCTTCTCCTCCAGGTGGTAGCTCCTCTTCACCTCTCCCTTTTCTGTGTCACTTGAATATTTTAATGCCTGGGGGAGGTTTTGTGCTTTCCAAGGAAGACTTAGTGACTTGAATTTGAATTGAGTCAAGGCTGGCCACGGTGGCTCATACCTGTAATCCCAGCACTTTGGGAGGCCGAGGTGGGAGGATTGCTGGAGCCCAGGAGTTTGAGACCAGCCTGGACAAAATAGTAAGACCCTATCGACAAAAAAAAGAATTGAAAATTATCTGGGTGTGGTGGTGCGTGCCTGTAGTCCCAGCTACTTGGGAGGCTGAGGTGGGAGGATTGCTTGAGCCCAGGAGTTTGAGATTAGCCTGGACAATTTAGTGAGACCTCTCACTAAGTCATCTCGCTAAAAATTTTTTTTAAAAAATTAGTCGGGCATGGTGGCATGCACCTGTAGTCTAAGCACTTTGAGAGACTGAGGTAGGAGGATTGCTTGAGCCTGGGAGGTTGAGGCTGCAGTGAGCCATGATTACAGCACTGCACTCCAGCCTGGGCAACAGAGTCTAGTCTCAAAAAAAAAAAGAGTCAATATATCAAGTGTAAAAGTTGTCAATATTAAAACCTACCTTTACTTAGACCTTGCATTCCAAAATCCAACAAGTTTTAGCATTCTCTTTATAAATCTAATTTTAATATGAAAACACAATCACTTTCACTTGGGCTATGCTCAATTAACTCATACATTTAACACACTGATTACTTCTTATGCATTTAACCACACTGACCTTTTTTTCTTTTTTTTTGAGACGGAGTCTTGCTATGTTGCCCAGGCTGGAGTGCAGTGGCGTGATCTCGGCTCACTGCAACCTCCGCCTCCTGGGTTCACGCCATTCTCTTGCCTCAGCCTCCCGAGTAGCTGGGACTACAGGTGCCCACCACCACGCCGGCTAATTTTTTGTATTTTTGGTTGAGACGGGGTTTACACTGTGTTAGCCAGGATGGTCTCGATCTCCTGACCTCGTGATCCGCCCGCCTCGGCCTCCCAAAGTGCTGGGATTACAGGTGTGAGCCACCGCGCCCGGCCTCACACTGACCTTCTTAAATAACACAAGAGCCTCGGGAGTACAGATCTAAAATCACACCTTCGATGCTGCTGGAGTCTCCGAAGCACCTGGCCAGGCCGCCTACAAATCAGCATGTGAATTCTTCCAGAACGCGTAGGCAGCTCCTGTAAATTGAGGAAATCAGACTCGTAAAGGCTGTGACTCAGGTTCTCCTCATCATCTCGAACACCATCAAAACAACAATAGAGACACAGAGCAGCATTCACTTCGCGGATGGTTGCAACATAGGAAAAGCAACCACTCACCAGGGCTTTCTTGGATTTCTTGCAAATTACCGTACTCTCTCCGCCCAGGGGTCACCAGCCAGGGCTGCTAAGCACCTAAGATCGCGGGGAGGGTGTTGGCCTGGGATTCCCGGCCAGGATGCAGGACTAGCCTTAGTTCTGGGATATTCTCCCGACTTTAAGGAGGGAGGCCTCTTCCTGTGGTCAGTGGCCATGGCCTGTGAGCCTGGACTTGCGGCCAGGGTAGGATCAACACACAATTCCCCCTTCACCACCATGTCACATGCCCCCAGGCATTGCAGCCGCCAGGGTCTGGGGTCCTCACTCTCGCTTTCCCAGCTGCATCCCACCAGCAACCACAATTGGCCTTGGCGTGTACTCTTCATCCAGACTGCAGCTGCCTCCCTACAGTACTCTGGGGAGTCTGCCCTGCTCTTCATGGTCACACTCTCCACCTGCCTCACTCACCACCGTTCACGGTCATTTATTGGCCCTCCAGGCATGTCCTGGGGACCTCTCAAGCCCTCCCTTGAAACGCTTAACCCATCGGGTTAGGGCCAAGCAGGAGGGGCTTGTGTGGATTTGAAGACCCTCTGGACCAGGGATTCCAGCGATAAGCATAAAGGAACAGGCCTGAAGGCCAGGGTTTGGAGTGCTGTTTTCCTGGGCAGTGATAGCCCAGAATACCAGGGGTCAGGACTTGGGGCACACTGAGTTTGAGCATGACTGACCCTCGGAGGCACTGCCTCATCAGAGACTCACTCAACTAGCCAGGCCCTCCTGCACGGGGAGGGGCCCTGTCCTCTGCAGACTCTCCCTCATGGTCACAAGACACCCTTGGGCAGGCCCAGGCCATGTGCCTCTAGGTCCCAATGCAACAGAAAGGGAACTACTTGGCCGGGTGCAGTGGCTCACGCCCGTAATCACAGCACATTGGCAGGCCTAGGTGGGTGGATCAGCGGAGGTCAGGGGTTCAAGACCAGCCTGGCCAACATGGTGAAACCCCATCTCTACTAAAAATACAAAAATTAGCTGGGTGTAGGCCGGGCACGGTGGCTCACGCCTGTAATCCCAGCACTTTGGGAGGCCGAGGAGGGCAGATCACGAGCTCAGGAGATCGAGACCATCCTGGCCAACATGGTGAAACCCCATCTCTACTAAAAATACTAAAAAATTAGCCAGGCGTGGTGGCGGGCGCCTGTAGTCCCAGCTACTCGGGAGGCTGAGGCTGGAGAATGGCGTGAACCCGGGAGGTGGAGCTTGCAGTGAGCCGAGATTGTGCCACTGCACTCCAGCCTGGGGGACAGAGCCAGACTCCGTCTCAAAAAAAAAAAAAAAAAATTAGCTGGGCGTGGTGGTGTGCGCCTGTAATTGCAGCTACTTGGGAGGCTGAGGCTGGAGAATCACTTGAACCTGGGAGGCGGAGGTTGCAGTGAGCCAAGGTCGTGCCACTGCACTCCAGCCTGGGTGACAAAGCAAGACTCCATCTCAAAAAAAAAAGGAACTACTTGTAGGTAAAGCAACTGAAACCTATTTATAGGGCCATCTGACCCGGGTTGGGACATGTATCCTATATCGTTATAACCAAGGGGGTGAGAGAGTCAGACTGGCTTAGACCAATGAAGGCTCATCCCTGGGGTAAAGTGGATGGTGGAGAAGAAAGTGACAAAAGTTCACTATGAGAGGTGATCTGAATGAGCCCCAAAGTCTATGATTAGAAGCCAAGAGCATGGGGCCAGTCACGGTGGCTCACGCCTGAAATCCCAGCACTTTGGGAGGCCGAGGTGGGTGGATCACTTGAGCCCAGGAGTTCGAGATCAGCCTCGGCAACATGGCAAAACTTCATCTCTACACAAAATACAAGCCAGGCATGGTGGCATGCACCTGTGGTCCCAGTTAGTTGGGAGGTTGAGGTAGGAGGATCACCTGAGCCCAGAAGGTTGAGGTTGTAGTGAGCTGTGATCGTGCCACTGCACTCCAGCCTGAGCGACAGAGTGAGACTTTGTCTCAAAAAAAAAAAAAAAAAAAAAAAGGCAGCCTGGAGGACAGCTGCAGCAGCACCGTGCATCTGTATCCTGGGTGTTTAATAACTGATTGTTGAGGAAGGAAGGAAGGAAGCTGGACACAGAGAGGCAGGTATCCAGCTCTCGCTTCTGGGAGGTTGGTGGAGATGGGCACAGAGCCCAGGGCACCCGGCCAAATCAGGGGCAGGTCCAGCTAGGAGGGTCCCTTCTGAGAGCAGCGGTCCAAGCTCGCTCCTCCCTGGGAGCAAGAAGCCTGGTCAGAAACAGAGACTGAAGCAGGAGGTGAGTCCATGTGAGGCCGTGGCTTGGACACCAACCTGAGATGTTGGAGACATGGAGTGAGGCCCCATGGAGAGGGCAGATGAGGAGGGTGGATTAGGGCTGATCTTGGGAGCTGTTGCCCCCATATCCCTTTGACATTCGCCTTGGCAAACTTTGTAGGCCCGGAGGAGAGTTCTCAAAACACAGTGAGTGTGACCTGAGGGACACAGCCGGACTGGGCTGCAGGTGGGTGGATCCGAGGTGGATGAGACCAGCCCCTGTTGTGTCCTATGCTTAGATCTCGGGGCACTCTTGGGCGGTCTGTAACTGGCAACAGTGTCGCCCCCACGCAGGGAAAGCCGAGTGGGACCCAGGGTGGTCCTTGGGGAGCCCTCCACCCAGGCTCCAGCTCCGGCCTGCCCGCTGGCCAGGACATTACCTGTTCCCAGAACGCCATCTGCCCCAGAGGCCATTCACCCTGGCGGCAGGCTGGGCCAGAAAGCAAGTGCCCAGCCCCAGAGCCAAGAGTGAGGCATGAACGATGCCAGCAGAATGCCACACGTCCTCAACTCGGGCTGCCTGAAGCACAGATACTGTGGCTCCCCTGAGTTGGCCCTTTGACCATGGAGTCCACCGTCCCCAAGGAGGTGCTGGGGACAGAGGCATCGGCTCGGCAGCGTGAGGGTTTCTGTTTGCAGACAGGACGGTGCAACACACAGGTGAGGCTCACACGAGTTTGCCCTGGAGACCCCGCCTGCCTCAGAGAACTGGGGGTGTGGAGAGGCCCAGAAAGCTTCACAGATGTGGGGCTGACCAGCCTGGGGGAGAACCCTGTCTCGGGGGATCCCCACTAGCAATCCAGAGTGGACTGGGTGTGGGCTGAGAGGGGCCACTGCTATGACTGGGAAGCTTGGAGGTCTTCAACTGTCAGTCCCATTTTAGGAGGAGCAACTGACCCAGGGGCTGACTGAGTGTGTGCCCAAGAGAGGAGGGTCTGCCTGTCCGCATTGAGGAAGGCGCCTGCTGATGGGTGTCAGGGGTGCGTCGAGCCCACTCTGCCCGCTCTGTCTCCAGGGACCCTCCCTGCTGCTCTTCAGTCTCCTTCCTCGCTGGGGGCAGATCATGCGGGGCACGGCGCAGGAGGAGAAACTGCAGGGCAGCCGGGCACCATGGCTCACGCCTGTAATCCCTGCACTTTGGGAGGCTGAGGTGGGCGGATCACCTGAGGTCAGGAGTTTGAGACCAGCCTGGCCAACATGGTGAAACCCCATCTCTACTAAAAATACAAAAATTAGCTGGGCGTGGTGGTGGGCGCCTGTAATCCCAGCTACTTGGGAGGCTGAGGCAGGAGAATCACTTGAGCCCAGGAGATGGAGGCTGCAGTGAGCCAAGATCATGCCATTGCACTCCAGCCTGGGCAACAAAAGCGAGACTCCATCTCAAAAAAAAAAGAAAGAAAGAAAAAGAAACTGCAGGGCAGGCCCAGCTGTGACACTGGCAGGGCCCAGTGCAAAATGAAGATGCAGGGCTCCTTGTTAAAAAATCACTAAGAATTTCGAAATGGTGACGGAGATCATTAAACCCAGCACAGCGTGCTCTGAGCATGGGGACCAGTGCACCTCCATAGGTCACACACCCCTGGAGCTGGCCCTGCAGCAGGGAGATTAAGGGGAGTCCGCAGTGAGGTGGCATCTTATCTTTCTAATGGGCATCTTAGGCGCACACACAGTACATACAAAGGCCCTGTGGCCGCATGCCAAGGCTCCTGAGGAGGCCCTGAAGTCTGCCTCCCTCTGCATACAGTGAACCATTAAACCTCTAAACAACCAGAGAAATAGGTGTCATTAGTCCCATCTTACAGAGGAGAAAGCGGGGCTCAGGGAGGTGGAGGGACTTTCCCAAGGACACTCAGCAGGCAGGCGGCAGAGCTGGAACCCAGAGCCAGCCCAGCGGGCTCCAAAGGCTGGCTTGGGCACACTGGCCATACCACAAGGCAGCTCCTTGTCCCAGCAGGCAGGGCTCCTTTGTGCTGTGGAGCCCAGGCCCCAGCCCCCACTCCCTGGGTTCAAATCTCAGCTCTGGAAGTGACTCAGCCTCTCTGAGCCTCAGTTTCTTCCTCTGTAAAGTGGATATTGTATTCATAGGTCCTCCTTTGATAGGATTGCTTCTCGTGATACACGCAGGATGCGAAGAACAGTAGCAGGCACGGAAAAGGCCCCAAATAACATCTTCCATGGATGCCACTGTGGCCTCGCTCGCTGTTCTTCCTGCCGCTGCCGCCCAGCCTGCAGGTCTCTCCCACTTTGGGTAAATAACCCTTCCCCACCTTTGGCAAGCCGGGCCACCTGGCAGTACGTGCAGGGCTCAGGTCACTGCCCACACCCACCCGTGCATGCCCAGGTAGGACACACACACTCTCTCTCACACACACTTACACTCGCACTTACACACACAACACACACACTCATTCACACTTACACTCAACACACAAACACACTCGCACTCACACACAAAACACACACACACTCATTCACACACTCACACTCAACACACACACGCCACTCACACACACACAAAACACATACTCACACACACACATACACTCACACACACTGACACCCCTTAGCCTGGTGTCTTGAGCCAAGTACGAGGCTGCGAAGGTCTCCCTCTAGCGGCCCAGAAAGAGTAGATGCTCACTCAGGCCTGACTTAACTCACTGGAGGAAGCCGCGGGAACTCCTCTGCCCTGGGCTGCAGCCGGATCCTAAGAAGTTCCCGTCCTGGCTGGGGGGTTGGGCATGGTGGCTCACACCTGTAATCCCAGCACTTTGGGAGGCCGAGGCAGGCGGATCATCTGAGGTCGGGAGTTTGAGACCAGCCTGACCAACGTGGAGAAACCCCGTCTCTACTAAAAATACAAAATTAGCTGGGCTTGGTGGTGCACGCCTGTAATCCCAACTACTAGGGAGACTGAGGCAGAAGAATCGCTTGAACCCTGGAAGCAGAGGTTGCAGTAAGCCAAGATCGCACCACTGCACTCCAGCCTGGGCGACAAAAGCGAAACTCCATCTCAAAAAAAAAAAAAAAAAATAGAATCCCAGGTCCCGGCCATGCCTAGACACCCGCCTTCTGTCCCTTCATTCATCTGAGCAGCAGGAGCTGAACACTTGTCAGCAGCAGCCCAGCCCAGAGGCTAGAATCAGAGCCAGTCCCACGTCCAGGACCCGAGGAGGTCCCAAGGCTTTTGGGGGGCCAAACAGAGCTGGCTGAGGGGTGACGAGTAGGAGGTCTCACAGCCCTCAATGTCAGGCACAAGGGGAGAGGCAGGGTAGCCCAGGAAGAAGGACGTGCACAGGCAGGGGCTCCATGCCTTCATGCCTGGGGCTGGGGCAGGATCCGGCTGCAGAGGTGAGGCACACACAGTAGGACTGCAATAATGAATACACAGAGTAGGACTGCAGTAATGAGTGAAGGAATGAGCGCATGAACCGACAGCCTTGCAGGTTTGTTTTTGTTTTTGTTTTGTTTTGTTTTGAGACAGAGTCTTGTTCTGTTGCCCAGGCTGGAGTGCAGCAGCATGATCTCAGCTCACTGCAACCTCCGCCTCCCAGGTTCAAGTGATTCTCCTGTCCCAGCCTCCCGAGTAGCTGGGACTACAGGCACGCACCACCATGCCAGGCTAATTTTTGTATTTTTAGCAGAGACAGGGTTTCACCATGTTGGCCAGACTGGCCTTGAACTTCTGACCTCAAGTGATCGGCCCACCTCAACCTCCCAAAGTGCTAGGATTACAGGCATGAGCCACTGTGCCTGTCCAGCTTTGCCACTTTTGTATCACAAGCCCCTTGTACCTCTTAACAATAGATTCAGAGGTGGTTTGGTCTCAGCTGGAGAGAAGCCAGAGAACCTATACTTCTAAAAGTAGCTCAGATGGGCCGGGCGCAGTGGCTCACACCTGTAATCCCAGCTCTTTGGGAGGCCAAGTTGGGAGGATCGCTTGAGCCCAGAAGTTCAAGACCAGCCTGGGCAACATGGCAAGATCTGTCTCAGCAAAATATTTAAAAACTTAGCTGGGGCATGGTGGTACACGCCTGTGGTCCTAGCTACTTGGGAGGCTGAGGTGAAAGAATCACTTGAACCCTGGAGGTTGAGACTGCAGTGAGCCAAAATCCCACCACTGCACTCCAGCCTGGGCAACAGAGCGAGACCCTGTCTTAAAAAAAAAAAAATAAAAAAAGGAGCTTAGATAATTCTGAGACCAGGCAAGTCTGGAAACTTCCTGACTTCTTGTGGCATCCCTGGTTGCCTGGACACTGATTAACTCACAGCCCCAGGCCCCAGGACTCTGAGCTGGGAGGTCTGGGGTGGCCCTGGAAGCTGCCTATGCAACCAGTGTCCCAGGCATGGGGGTCCCAGTCACCCTCTGGGGTGCAGCAAACTAAGAAGCAGGAGCAGGGGACTCAAGGGGATCCCCAGGACGATGGCATTAGCGGGAACTGCCCCAGGCACTGGCAACCGCAGCCAATCCCGTGCTCTCTGGGCCTCTGGTCGCACTCAGAAGACATACCTTGTCCAGGGCCAACAGCGGTGTGAGGACCAGGACGGGGACCCTGTAGTTCCCACCAGTCATGTGTCCTGGACAGCCCACGTCACCTCTGACACTTGGTCACACAACGATGTGAAGATACTTACTGCCACTGAATTGAAACACTTAAAAATGGCTAAAGTTGGCTGGGCGCGGTGGCTTACGCCTGTAATCCCAGCACTTTGGGAGGCCGAGGCAGGTGGATCATGAGGTCAGGAGATTGAGACCATCCTGGCTGACATGGTGAAACCCCATCTCTACTAAAAATACAAAAAATTAGCCAGGCACGGTGGCGGGCACTTGTGGTCCCAGCTACTCAGGAGGCTGAGGCAGGAGAATGGTGTGAACCTGGGAGGCGGAGCTTGCAGTGAGCCGAGATCGTGCTGCTGCACTCCAGCCTGGGCGACAGAGCGAGACTCTGTCTAAAAAAAAAAAAAAAGGCTAAAGTGGCAAATTTTATGCTATGTGTTTTTTACCACAAATTTTTTTTTTTTTTTTGAGACAGAGTCTCACTCTGCCACCCATGCTGGAGTGCAGTGATGTGATCTCGGCTCACTGCAACCTCCACCTCCTGGGTTCTAGCGATTCTCCTGCCTCAGCCCCCCGAGTAGCTGGGACTATAGGTGCGCACCACCACACCCAGCTAACGCTGGTATTTTTAGTAGAGAAGGGGTTTAACCATGTTGGCCAGGCTGGCCTCAAACTCTTGACCTCCGGTGCCACCCACCTTGGCCTCCCAAAGTGGTGGGATTACAGGCGTAAGCCACCACCCCCGGCCTATTTTACCACAGTTTTTTTGAGACAGGATCTCACTCTGTCGCCCAGGCTGGAGTGCAGTGGCACCATCTCGGCTCACCTACAACCTCCGCCTCCTGGGCTCAAGCGATTCTCCCACCTCAGTCCCCCAAGTAGCTGGGACTACAGGCATGCGCCACTACAGCCAAACTGTCTGTGTGTTTAGTAGAGACGGGGTTTTGCCATGTTGCCCAGGCTGGTCTTGAACTCCTGAACTCAAGTGATCCACCCGCCTTGGCCTCCCAAAGTACTGGGACTACAGGTGTGAGCCACGGCGCCCAGCCCCACAATTTTTTTTTGAGAGAAAAAAGCTCGCAAGGAGCCCATGCACTTCAGGTTCTTTGGGTGATACAGACACCTGGTGGAGTAACTCGCTGGTCTGTGGACGATGCCTAAGACTGTTCATTCTGGCTGTATCACTGCTTCTGCCTCAGCTTCCCCATTCATAAAATGGGGATGATACAGGCAGAGGCAGCTCCACTGCTGCCCAGTGAGTGGCGGGCAGAGGCTCCATCCTGGCAGCCTGCACCCTCTCTGCTTGGCCTCCTTCTCTCCAGGGCTGCTGCCACACCTCTGTCCCTTGCAGGTGGCTCTCTTGAGATTGCCTAATGGGCCTTATGGTCCTTTTAGATTTTAGGGTCATGTCACTTTTCATTTCACGATGGAGGAAGGGGGCAGTATCCATAACCCACAAGGCAAGGAGAAGCCAGAGGGATTTTGTTAGCTATTCCCAGACACCTGTTCCAAACATTCTCTAGAGACAGCAGCTGAAAGCCCAGGGGAGGCAGGGGTGGGGGGCAGGAGGAACAGAAGCATGTTTTCTTCCTTTTTTCATTTTAGCAGCTTTATTTATTATTTATTTATTTATTTATTTATTTTTGAGATAGAGTCTCGCCCTGTTGCCCAGGCTGGAGTGCAATGGTGCGATATTGGCTCACTGCAACCTCTGCTTCCCAGGTTCAAGCGATTCTCCTGCCTCAGCCTCCCAAGTAGCTCGGATTACAGGCGTGTGCCACCACGCCCGGCTAATTTTTTTTTTTTTTTTTTTTTTGTATCTTTAGTAGAGACGGGGTTTCACCATGTTGGCCAGGCTGGTCTCAAACTCCTGACCTGGTGATCCGCCTGCCTTGGCCTCCCAAAGCGCTGGGATTACAGGCGTGAGCCACCGTGCCCGGCCTTAGCAACTTTATTAAGAGCGTTTAAACACCACACTATTCACCCATTGAAAGTATACACTCAACAGCTTCTGGTGAATTCATGGAATTGTGCAACCATCACTGTAGTCAACCACAGAACATTTTCTTTTTATTTTCTCTCTCTTTTTTTTTTTAGACGGAGTTTCGCTGTTATTGCCCAGGCTGGAATGCAATGGTGCGATCTCGGCTCACCGCAACCTCCGCCTCCCAGGTTCAAGTGATTCTCCTGCCTCAGCCTCCCGAGTAGCTGGGATTACAGGCATGCACCACCACACCCGGCTAATTTTGTATTTTTAGTAGAGACGGGGTTTCTTCATGTTGAGGCTGGTCTCGAACTCCTGACCTCAGGTGATCCGCCAACCTTGGCCTCCTAAAGTGCTGGGATTGCAGGCATGAGCCACCCTGCCCAGCCCTACCAGAACATTTTCATCATCTCAAAAGTGTCCATGAGGCCGGGCGCAGTGGCTCACACCTCTAATCCCAGCACTTTGGGAGGCCAAGGCAGGCAGATCACCTGAGGTCAGGAGTTCGAGACCAGCCTGACCAACATGGTGAAACCCCGTCTCTACTAAAAAAATACAAAATTAGCTGGGCATGGTGCCGCATGCCTGTAATCCCAGCTACTCAGGAGGCTGAGGCAGGAGAATCGCTTGAACCCAGGAGGCGGAAGTTGCAGTGAGCCGAGATTGCACCACTGCACTCCAGCCTGGGTGACAGAGCAAGACTCTGTCTCAAAAAAAAAAAAAAAAAAAAAAAAAGGATCCATGAGCGGTCACTTCCCATTTCCCCTTCCCTCCCCCAGCCCCTGACAACCACTCGTCTACTTTCTGTCTATGGAAATTTACTTTTTCTAGATATTTTTAATTTTTGTTTTTGTTTTTGTTTTTTCGGACAGGGTCTCACTCTGTTGTCTAGGCTGGAGTGCAACAGCATGATCATGGCTCACTGCAGCCTCAACCTCTTGGGTTCAAGGGATCCTCCTGCCTCAGCCTCCCAAGTAGCCAGGACTACAGGTGCACACCACCATGCCTGCCTAATTTTTAAGTTATTTGTAGAGATGGGGGTCTTGCTATGTTACCCAGGCTGGCCTCAAACTCCTGAGCTCAAGCGACCCTCCCACCTCAGCCTCCCAAAGTACTGGGATAACAGGTGTGAACCACCACACCTAGCCTTTTTCTGGCTATTTAATTTCAATGGGATCATACAGTATGTGGATCAAAAGTATACATCGTTTGTGTCTGGCTTTTTTTACTTTTATTTTTTGAGATGGAGTCTCGCTCTGTTGCCCAGGCTGGAGTGCAGTGGCACGATATTGACTCACCAAAACCTCTGCCTCCTGGCTTCAAACGATTCTCCTGTCTCGGCCTCCCCAGTAGCTGGGATTACAGGCATGCGCCACCATGCCCAGCTAATTTTGTATTTTTAGTAGAGACAGGGTTTCACCATGTTGGCCAGGCTGGTCTTGAACTCCTGACCTTGTGATCTGCCCGCCTCGGCCTCCCAAAGTGCTGGGATTACAGGAGTGAGCCACCGCACCTGGCTGTATCTGGCTTCTTTCGTGGAGCATAATGTCTCGAAGGCTCATCCGAGTTGCAGTGTGTATGAGAACTGCATTCTCTTTACGGCCAAGCAGTGTTCTACAGTGTGGTTACCACACATTGTATCCGTGCACTCATCAGGCGATGGACCAGCCCACGTTCTCTGAGACGGGCTGACTTGGACTCTGAAATGTTAAGCAACTTGCTCTCCAGGAGTCCTGTGAAGAAGTTGCTTCATCCTTTTGAAGTCTGCCCAGGAGCCCTAACTGCTAGACCAGGCTCCCCAGCTGCTGGTCTCATCAGGATAGCAATGGAGAGTTCACTTTTTCCGAGAAGGATGTTTTATGTGTTTACAGGCATTCTGTAGTTATGTTTATTATTTACGGTCAGGTTTAGGGACATAAAATTGCCACTGTATTGTTGGGAGTAAATTTTATTTCCGTGGTTTTAACACACACACACAAATAATAATCATATTAGTAGCTGAATATTGTCATAATTCTGTAGGATATAAATTTTACTGCAATAACAACTATAAAATACCAAGAACCCACTGCAGCAGGATTATTAGGAATAAATGTTACTGCTGCTTCCAAAACACAAACGATCACTCCATTGGCGGCTGCAAAGAGCCCTCACACTGGTGAGTATAAATGTGCTATGTGAGCAACTCTAAAACCCACAATACTCAACCACTGTGGTGGGATGATTGCGAATCCATTTTATGTCTCCAATGAAGACAAAAATAAAATGAATGATGCCTTTTGTAGTTAAATTTTCAATCATCTTGCCGGCAAGAATGTTTTACTGCTACAATTGTAAAACCATAAAATGCAAAAAGAAGAAGCCATTTCAGCCCCAGGAAAGACGAAATGATAAAAATGCACCTTTATCTGTGAGAAATGTATGGTTGGGGCAGGAAAATCGTTCTTATAGACGTGAATTTGGAGGGCCGGGCGTGGTGGCTCACGCCTGTAATCCCAGCACTTTGGGAGGCCGAGGCAGGTGGATCACCTGAGGTCAGGAGTTCGAGACTAGCCCAGCCAACATGGTGAAACCCCGTTGTACTAAAAATACAAAAATTAGCCAGGCGTGGTGGTGCACGGCAGCTACGCGGGAGGCTGAGGCAGGAGAATTGCTTGAACCCAAGAGACAGAGGTTGCTGTGACCTGGGATCATGCCACTGCAATCCAGCCTGGGCATTAAGAGTGAAACTCTGTCTCAAAAAAAAAAAGATGTGAATTTGGAAGAGGGTGGGACTAGGATTGCCAGATAAAACACAGGATGCTCAGTTAAATTTGAATTTCAGAGAAACAACAAATACATTTTTTTTTATTTTTGAGGCACAGTCTCACTCTGTCACTCAAGCTGGAGTGCAGTGACATGATCTTGGCTCACTGCAACCTCCACCTCCTGGGTTCAAGCAATTCTCATGCCTCAGCCCTCTGGTAGCTGGGATTACAGGTGCTCGCCACCAGGCCCGGCTAATTTTTGTATTAGTAGAGATGGGTTTTTGCCATGTTGGCCAGGCTGGTCTCGAACTCCTGACCTCAAGTGATCCACCCACCTCAGCCTCCCAAAGTGCTGGGATTACAGGTGTGAGCCCACACGCCTGGCCAAATACATTTTTTAGAGTAAGTATCTCTCTCATATTGCATGGGATATACTTACACTAAAAATGTATTTGTTATTTCTCTGAAATTCAAATTTAACTAGGTGTCTTGGTTTTTTGTTTGCTTTTTTACTAAATTTGGCCACCTTTGGCTGGCCTGAAGAACAAGGATGGACCATGGACCTCCAAGCCCATCTGTGAACACTTTTTTTGTTTTGTTCTGTTTTTTTTTTTTTTTGAGACGGAGGCTCGCTCTGTCACCAGGCTGGAGTGCAGTGGCGCAGTCTCAGCTCACTGCAACCTCTGCCTCCTGGGTTCAAGCGATTTTTCTGCCTCAGCCTCCGGAGTAGCCACCACACCCAGCTAATTTTTGTATTTTTAGTGGAGATGGGGTTTCATCATGTTGGCCAGGATGATCTCGATATCTTTTTTTTTTTTTTGAAACGGAGTCTCGCTGTGTCGCCCAGGCTGGAGTGCAGTGTCGCAATCTCGGCTCACTGCAAGCTCCACCTCCCGGGTTCACACCATTCTCCTGCCTCAGCCTCCCGAGTAGCTGGGACTACAGGCATCCATCACCATGCCCGGCTAATTTTTTGTATTTTTTTTTTTTTTTTAGTAGAGACGGGGTTTCACCATGTTAGGCAGGATGGTCTCGATCTCCTGACCTCGTGATCCGCCTGCCTTGGCCTCCCGAAGTGCTGGGATTACAGGTGTGAACCACCGTGCCCGGCCTGATCTCGATACCTTGACCTCATGATCCGTCCGCCTTGGCCTCCCAAAGTGCTGGGATTACAGGAGTGAGCCACTGCTCCCGGCCCACTTTTTTTTTTTTTTTTTTTTGAGACAGGGTCTCACTCACTCTGTCACCCAGGTTACATACAGTACAGTGGTGCAGTCATGGTTCACTACCATCTCAACCTCCTGGGCTCAAGTGATCCTCCCACCTCAGCCTCCCAAGCAGCTGGGACTACAGGTGTTCACCACCATGCCCAGCCACAAGTAAACTCTTACAGTGAAGAACTGCTGGGATCCCAGGGGTTATTTGGAGGCTTAGAGCTAGCCAGGCAGGGCGCTTTTGGTCTCAGGTGGCTGAACTTGTCCCTAAGGCTTTAGGCGAGGTATGGTGGGGAGCTCAGGAGCTGCTGCCACAGCCTTGGCAGGGACCATTGAAGCGCAAAGGCACAACGAGTGGCGCTGACCGGGATTCACACCCACGTGCACGTCAGCCTCACACTATGCTACTAAGTCGGGGGTGGTGCTGCTGATTCACAGCAGGAGAGTAGAAGGAGCTGGTCCTGGGCCACACAGCCAAACAGAGACCTGCGAGAGCTTTAAAGCCCCCAGTCCCTTCCCCTGGGCTGCAGGGTGAGGCCCTGACCAGGTCTGTAGAGGGCAACTGCATTCGGGGCTCCAGAGTGTGCTAACTTGGGAGGCTACACCTTCTGTCCTTAAAAGCTTTACAGAAGGCCTGGCTTCCCGACCTTCGCCCCAGGTACCCGAGAGTGAAAATCAGCCCCAAGTCTTAAAGAGCCAGGGCTTGTTTTGGAGTAAAAACTGCACGATTCAGTTTTGATCGCCCACTTACTCCTAGGCCTAGTAGCAAATGGATTTCAGCTGCTGCCAAAAAAAAAACATCCACCTTCACAGAAGAGCGGCTTTGCCCCTTCCTCCCCCACCAGAAAACCAATAAGAACAGGAGGCAGTGAGGAGAGGTGAACTCCAGGGAACCCCTGGAATAGGCTCAACCCCTAGCGGGGCCTCCACGGGTGAGGACCTCCGTTCCCATGATTGTTACATAAACCTCTAGGCCCCATCACAGCCCCACCTTGTAGTTTCGCTGAGTTTGGGTGGTGGGTTTTGGGGGGTTGCCCTGAAGGAGAACACCACAGACCCCTGGGTCTGCAGAGCACCCAGAAGATGCCCTCCCCCACTCTGTCCCCACTCCCAGCCTCCCCAACACAGGTACCCAGGCACCAAAACACATATAGCTTTTCCTTAATGCAAATTAGATGGAAATATAACAGCATTCCCAAAATACACTGTTGGGGCTCAGAAAATATGGCGCCTTGACAAGAAGGGGCCCCAAGGTCTCTCTGACCTACCTCCAGCCCCATGTCTTCCCAAAGCACAGGATGAGGCTGTTCTCGGACTTTCCTTAACTACCTAGAAACCAGACTGGCCAAGAGGAACACAATTGCCTTCCCTGAAATGTTATTAACCGGAGAAGATTAAAACTCACATCACAAAGGAAGAGGCTGCAATGAACCACCACACCTAGAGCCCAGACCAACTTCCTCCCAAACCATTGTCTGTTCTTTGGTCCTATTTGATTCCCAAAGAGAATTATTCACTAACCATTGTCTGAGCAAGGGGCCCATTCATTTCATTTCCCCCCAAAAATCATTGACTTTGCCTCAAAGAGGTGGTTTCCCACCACCTCTTCTCCCATGAGGAAGGGCATGGCAGGTTCTGGACCCCTCTGGATTACTGGGTAATCACGTCCGGGGAGTCCTGTGCTATGCAGTTACAGTAAATTTTGTGAGCCTTTTCTCCTATGAATCTGCCTTTTGTCCGCTGATTTTTCGGCGAAGCTTCAGAGGGCAAAGGGCAGCTTTCTCTTCCTAACCCAGAATCCGACCACTTCTCAGCCCTTCCACTGCCACCCCTGGCCGCAGCCCCTGGCATCTCCTGCCCGGGGAACTTGGTTCCCTCCGTGCTCTGCCTGTTTCCACCACAACCTCCCCAGGGCACCTGGGTTGATGTTGCAGGGCCCCCTCCCACTACATGGCCCCTGCACAGACCATACTCTTCCCAAGGCCCAGGGCTCCCTGTGCCTGGCTCCAGCCTCCTTATGGTTTCTGGAACATACACCGGTGTGTCCTCCTTGCTCATCCTGACTTGTCACCTGTATCTTTCTCTCCCTACTGGAGCCCTGCAAAGCAGGCATTTTCATCTGCTGGGATATCCCCAGCCCCTGGAACAGCCCAGGCTCATAATAGACACCGAGTTTGCAGAATAAGTGAATGAATGGGAGACTGAAGGAGTGAGCTTGCTTGTACACAACCACCTCTCAGAACACACATGCATCTGTCTGCACCGGTCTGTCATTTTGAATTCTGGGGCAGGGAGGAGTGCCATTGATTTGCTTCATTCATTCGCCTGGTGGTGTGTGTCCCTCCCTTTTGACTATAGCTTACCTGGCATGCACCTTCTTCCTCACTGCCCCAAGGCCTGACCTGGAGTCCGGCCTGCCATAGGCGCCCCTGCATTCCTGCTGATGACCAGAGGGCTTCAGTGGTCTTGCCTGGAGAGAGTGACCAGTTGTGGTTGGGTCTCATTTGCATGTGCTTTGCATAATGCTTTGCATAACCTCCTACAAGCCACATTGAGCAGGGAAGGTGGGGTGCAGAGAGGACTGGCCCTGGGGCCCCCTGAGAGCTGACCCCTGCAGCAGATGTTCTGGGGTTTGGGGCTCCTTGGGGACCAGCTCCACCTGGTGCCAGTCTCCCCAGGCCAGGTTAGGGGTGCAGATCTGGACACAGTGAGGGTGAGGGTACAGGCTTCCCTCGCCAGACGCGGCTTCTCCCTTCCTCTCCCTGGGAAAGGGGAGGCCTCACTGCAAGCCCCAGGAACCTGCCCCAAGGCCCTCCGAAGTTCAGGCCCTGCCTCCCTGCACTGAAGAGGCTGGGGTTGGGGGGCAAGTGTCACCCACGCCTCAGAGTGAGCCCTAGATCTGAGGAGAGACAAGATGGGGAGGAGGGGAAGGGGGTCAGCTCAGAGGGCAGCCCTGCCCACTCTGCCATGTCCCAGCTTTCAGACGTGGCTGAGAGGACATGAGATGCCCCGCTCCCCGGAGCGGGTCACAGAACTCGGGGTAAGTTTCTGGTCTGCCTACCTGGCAGATGCCCCTAGAGAGTGGCCTCCCCAACAGCACCGACCACCCCAGGGCAGGTGGGGAGCAGCGTCCCCCACCCCATGACCCCGGCCAGCCTGGCCACCCTGCTGGGCCACATGGTGCCACAGGTCAGCAGGGGTCTTCAGGCCATGTGAGGAAGGTGTCTGGGCTGGTGGCCAGGCTGGGTGGGAGGGGTGGGGGCAGGTGGAGCTGGGTGGGTGATTGGGTGACCTCGACCCCTCAGCAGGCTGCACCAACCCTGGCTGGAGCTGCCACTGGCCTCAGCTTCCCTTCTCAGCAACTGTGACCTCAAGCAGCTGCTGCACCTGTTGGGTGTGGGTGAGCCCGGCTCTTCTTTCCCTTCCAGGGGAGGAGTCAGCCCAGGAGTCAACTACGAGGTCGGGGAGGGGATTAAGGAGCTGAGAACAGGAGACAGCAGAGGGGACAGGCTGTCTTCAAGCACAGCTGGCACCTGGGGAAAGCCGCCTCCTCCCTCCCACTGCCCCCACCCCCGCTTGTTACTGGAAATGAGGAGAGCCTCCCAGGTCCCAGCAGAGCTGCTGCTGGTAAGTCCCTTCCCCAGCGGCCCCTCCACCCCTCACAGGCCCAGCTGTGCCAGCCCAGCCTGGGCCCTACTCCCGGCTCCTGCTTTAGGTGGTCTCCTGTGGCCTGAGGCCCTGGGGGTGGGCAGGGGTAGGCACCCAGGCCCAGAGGCTCTGCGCCTGTCTCCAGGCTTCCCTGCTGCCTGGGCTCTGTGGTGGGAGGCGGGGTTGCAGGTGAGGGGAGTCCTCCGTAATCAACCCCGGTTTATAGGAATTGGGGCCCCAGTGCCCAGACTCATGGGCCTCCAGGGGAGCAGGTGGGAGGCTCTGCCCAGCCCACCTCCCTCTGAGTATGGATCTGAGGTCACACACACCTGGCTGGAAGTGACTTATCCTGTGAACCTCAGCGTCCTTACCTGTAAAAGGTAACAAAATTCTCTCTTCCTCCAAGTGGCTGAGAAAGGTAGAAAAACAGAGTAAGAGCAGCTGGTCCCAGCCCCGTGAGCACCGGCCGGGACCCCTCGGGTGGGATCCCATCGTACCATCTCTGCCCATGATCCAAGGAGACCATTTCAGAGAGGCTGAACAACATGCCGGGCTCAGGGCACGGGGCAGGCTTTAGTTTTGCCACAGCCAGCCGGCTGGTGAGCAGGGGCGGGGCAGCCGTGGGCCTGGAGAGTGGGGGCGACTTCTTCCTACCCCCTCCCAGAAGGAGAAAGCCCACATTTTTAGGTACCACAGCAGCCCTTTTGGGCAACAGGCTTCCCCTTTTTTTTTTTTTTTGGAGACAGAGTCTTGCCCTGTCGCCCAGGCTGGAGTGCAGTGGTGTGATCTCGGCTGACTGCAACCTCCGCCTCCCAGGTTCAAGCAATTCTCCTGCCTCAGTCTCCCGAGTAGATGGGATTACGCCCACCACCATGCCCGGCTAATTTTTGTATTTTTAGTAGAGACGACAGGGTTCCACCATGTTGGCCAGACTGGTCTGGAACTCCTGACCTCAGATGATCCACCCACCTTGGCCTCCCAAAGTGCTGGGATTACAGGTGTGAGCCACTGTACCCGACCCTCTTTTTTTAAAAAAACCTTTTAAGTTCAGGGGTCCACGTGCAGGTTTGTTATATAGGTAAGCCCGTGACATTGGGGTTTGTTGTACAGATTATTTCAGCACGCAGGTACTAAGTCTAGTACGCATTAGTTATTTTTCCTGATCCTCTTCCTCCTCCCAGCCTCCACCCTCTGATAGGATCCAGGGTCGGCTGGTCTATTCTATGCAGATTCTTAGAAATATCAACTGAGACCGGGTGCGGTGGCTCATTCCTGTAATCCCAGCACTTTGGGAGGCCGAGGTGGGCGGATCACCTGAGGTCAGGAGTTTGAGACCAGCCTGGCCAACATGGCAAAACCCCGTCTCTACTAAAAATAACAAAATTAGCTGGGCATGGTGGCACCTGTAATCCCAGCTACTCAGGAGGCTGAGGCAGGAGAATTGCTTGAACCTGGGAGGCGGAGGTTGCAGTGAGCCGAGATCGCACCACTGCACTCCAGCCTGGGTGACAGAGCAAGACTCCATCTCAAAAAAAAAAAAAAAAAAAAAAAGATAAATACCCCTGATGGAATGCAAGGGGAAAGTTCCGCCCTTAGCCCATCAATCCTGGCAGGTGCTCCACCCTCCCACCTGGGGACCCAGGTGGCAACCGGCAGAGCGAGCTCAGAAACTCCACGTCAAGGTAGCAAAGCAGCATCCGCCTGGGTCCCCTAAGGGAGTAGGGCTGCATAGACCGGGTGCACCCGCCCTGGGCTGTTACAGAAGGAGAAATAAACTTCTCCACAAGCCACAGCTGCTATTGTTGGCTACCGTGCTGCAGCTGCTGAGCTGGTATGTGTCTTTGTGTGACTGGCTGATTTCACTTAGTGTGATGTCTCCAAGGTTCATCCACATGATAGCATAGGTCAGAATTTCCTTCCTTTGTTAAGGCTGAATAATATTCCACAGTATGGATAGACCATAGTTTGTTTATCCATTCATGTATCCATGGACACTAGGGTTGCTTCTATCTTTTGGCTATTGCAAATGAATAATGCTGCTATGAACGCGGGTGAACATATCTCTTTGAGTTCTGCAGCTGCTGAGCCTACCTGAACTAGCGCCAGTTACAAGAAACAGAAACTCACCTCAAACCAGCCGAAGTCAAATGGAGCCTGAAATGCAAACTAAAACCACAAGACGACGCCACTCAATACCTATTAGGACGGCTACTATTTTTTTTAAAAAAAAAACAACAGAAAATAACAAGTGTTGGTGAAGATGTGGAGAAATTGGAATCCTGTGCACTCAATTTTTTTTTTTGAGGTGGAGTCTCACTGTCATCCAGGCTGGAGTGCAGTGGCACTATCTCGGCCCACCACAACCTCCACCTCCTGGATTCAAGCGATTCTCGTGCCTCAGCCTCCTGAGTAGCTGGGATTACAGGCATGCTTCACCATGGCCCGACTAATTTTTATATTTTTAGTAGAGACGGGGTTTCACCATGTTGGCCAGGCCGGTCTCAAACTCCTGACCTCAAGTGATCCACCCGCCATGGCCTCCCAAAGTGCTGGGATTACAGGTGTGAGCCACAGCGCTTGGCCCTGTGCACTCAATTTTGGTGGGAATGGAAAATGGTACAATTGCTGTGGAAAACAGTGTGGTGAGATGCTCCAAAAATTAAACATAGAATTAGCGTATAACCCAGCACTTCCACTCCTGTATCTATCCCCAAAAGAATTAAAAGCAGAGACTCAGAGATATGTTCACCCACGTTCATAGCAGCATTATTCATTTGCAATAGCCAGAAGATAGAAGCAACCCTAGTATCCATGGATGCATGAATGGATAAACAAACTATGGTCTATCCATACGGTGGAATATTATTCAGCCTTAAAAAGGAAGGAAATTCTGACCTATGCTATCACGTGGATGCACCTTGAAGACATCACACTAAATGAAATCAGCCAGTCACACAAAGACACATACCGTGTGATTCCACTCATGTGAGATTGTTAGATTTATAGAGACAGAAAATAGCATGGTGGTTGCCAGGGGTTGGGGTCCAGGGGAATGGGGAGCTAGTGTTAATTAATGGGGACAGTTTCAGTTTGGGAAGATTAGAATGTTCAGGAGCTGGAGAGCAACTGTGCAACAGTGGTAATTACTTAATGCCACTGAACTGTACACTTGAAAATGGTTAAAATGGTAAATTTTGTTATGTGTGTATATATACATATATCTTTACATAAATTATTTGTTTTACATATGGGAAAAAAAAGTTTAAAAAATACACTTTACCAAGGGAAAAAAAACAGGTTAGACAAATATGGGAAAATAATAATAATTGTGGAATCTGGGTGATGTTCTATGGGGATTCATTACACCCTTCTGCCTATTTTTATTTATTTTTACTTATTTATTTTTTTGAGATGGAGTCTCGCTCTGTCGCCCAGGCTGGAGTGCAGTGGCGCTATCTCGGCTCACTGCAAGCTCTGCCTCCTGGGTTCACGCCATTCTCCTGCCTCAGCCTCTCGAGTAGCTGGGACTACAGGCGCCCGCCACCAAACCCGGCTAATTTTTTTTGTATTTTTAGTAGAGATGGGGTTTCACCATGTTAGCCAGGATGGTCTCGATCTCCTGACCTCGTGATCTACCTGCCTCTGCCTCCCAAAGTGCTGGGATTACAGGCGTGAGCCACCGTGCCCGGCCCCTTCTGCCTATTTTTAAAAAAATATTTTCATGGTCCTGGTGCAGTGGCTTACGCCCATAATCCCAGCACTTTAGGAGGCCGAGGTGGGCAGATCACCTGAGTCCAGGAGTTTGAGACCAGCCTAGCCAACATGGCAAAACCCCGTATCTACTAAAAATACAAAAATTAGCTGGGCGTGGTGGCAGAAGCCTGTAGTCCCAGCTACTCGGGGGGGCTGAAGCAAGAGAATTGCTTAAACCCGAGAGGTGGAGGTTGCAGTGAGCTGAGATCACACCACTGCACTTCAGCCAGCCTGGGCGACAGAACAAGACTCGGTCTCAAAAAAAAATTTTTTTTTTCATAATAAAAACTAAAAACAAATAAGGGGAGGATGGAATGATCAGTCCTGCTTCTTCACTCCCTTGTAGTAGAATTATGCATTCACATCCTTGACTTGGGGCATAGCTATGGGACTTGCTTTGATCAGTGGGATGTCAGGGGATATGGAGTGAGTAGACTTGAACTGTGCTTGCACAATGAACTTGCTCTCTTTCACTGCTGAAGTCACCCTGGAAGGAACACGCCTCAGGTAGCTTGCTGGGCCGAGGTTGATAAGAAACATGTGAAGCAAACCTGGACCCAACTCACAGCCCAGACGCCAGCCAGCTAATCCAAGCCTGGATCTGGTGAACCCCCACAGACCCACAGAGATGTGAGCAAAACAAATGCTTATTGTAGAATGCCACCAGGATTGCGGGGCTGCTTGTTACACAGCCTGATTATGGCACTCACTAACTGATATAGGGAGTTTCTCAGGAAACCCAAGAGAAGCCACTAGTCAGTATTGTGACTGACAGTGGCACTCTGGTTAACCTATGCAGAAAAGGAATTCAGTGGGGGTAACCGTTAGCATAGAATGGGCTGCATAGGGTATCGAGGCTGGATACTCACTGCATGCTGTGACACAGTGCTGTCTGGCTCTACCACAACCCTTGGGAACAATCCTAAATTACTCTTTTTTTATTTTTTATTTTTTTTTGAGACAGAGTCTTGCTGTGTCGCCCAGGCTGGAGTGCAGTGACCTGATCTTGGCTCACTGCAACCTCCACCTCCCAGGTTCAAGCGATTCTCCTGTCTCAGCCTCCCGAGTAGCTGGGATTATAGGTGTGCACCACCACACCTGACTAATTTTTGCATTTTTAGTAGACACAGGGTTTCACCATATTGGCCAGGCTTGTCTCAAACTCCTGGTCTCCAGTGATCCACCTGCCTCGGCCTCCCAAAATGCTGGGGTTACAGGCGCAAGCCACCACACCTGGCCCCTAAATTACTCTTGAACTTGGCATCTCATCTTCACGATTAAACATTCAGGTGGAAGCATTTAATGTAATCATTTTGGTCACATTCCCAGGAGTCAGTTTTCAGAGCCTGGGAAAGGGAGCAGGGACCCCCAGGACCCTACCTCCAACGTAGAAAGGGTATTTGGACACCAGGCAACCAAAAGGGCAAATGGCTACCACTGGCAGGAATGCAGGAGGGGCTGAAGACAGGTGTGAGCTCTCGGCAGGAGTTGGGGGGCCTGATCCTACCTCCTGCTGTTCCCCCATGTCCCCTCTGTTTTGAACTCAGAGCTTCGGACAAGAGCCCCCTCCTGCTGTCTGAAGGGCACCAGTGTGGCTGCCCGCTGCTCCCAGGTTCCACGTGCCTAGCTTCAGCCACCTGGAGGGAGACTGATTCCTCTTCCTCATTCCAGTTCTCATTTCTGGAGCCAAGTGAACGCCATTCGGAGAAATGTCCCTCGGCTTCCACTGTCTCCAGGCAAAGGGTAGGAAGGAGTGGTTCCCAGAGGCCGAGATGAGGACTCAGATGAAGCCACAGGTGTCTGCAGCTGTGTGGAGCTCTGGCAGATGCAGGCGGAGACTTGCCTCTGACATAGGGAGTTGTTGACGTCCCAGCTAAGTCAGCTGAGAACAGAAAGCCAGTGACGCAAACAACTCCAACCCACGGGACGGCTCGGGGGCTGGGGTGAGGCATGCAGAGTACACCTGACTGATCCCAGTGCAACTCACAGGGCGGCTGGAGGGTTATCCCAGCCCAACTCTAGGACAGCTGGAGGGCTGGGGAAAGGCATGCAGAGTATGCCAACCAATCCCAGCCCTGGACAGAGAGGCATGGAGAGGGCTATTGTGATACCCAACCTTGTTTTAACCTGAATTGACTCTCCCTTAGCTGAGAGAGCCAGACAGACTCCATCTTGGCTCCTTCACTTACAGCCCCTTACCCACCCCCTTCCTCAAGGACTTAACTTGTGCAAGCAGACTGCCAGCACATCCAAGGATGCAATTAACTGATAAGATACTGTGGCAAGTTATATCCGCAGTTCCTAGGAATTCGCCCGGTTGATAGCACCCAGAGTCCCCGCGTTTGTATCCGGTTGATAACACTCAAAGCCCCGCGTCTATCACCTTGTAATACATTTAAAGCCCCTGCACCTGGAACTGTTTGCTTTCCCGTAACCATTTATCCTTTTAACTTTTTTGTCTGCTTTGCTTCTGTAAGATTGTTTTAACTAGACTCCCCCCACCGCCCCTTTCTAAAACAAAGTATAAAAGAAAATCTAGCCCCTTCTTTGGGGTGGAGAGAATTTTGAGCACTAGCCTGAATTCGTCTCAGAGAGTGGCGTTTCTCTACAACTCGCTTGATCACAACTCTGTGAGGGAGGCAGATAGAGGAAGGAACACCCACGCCCCCAACTGCACTGTCCCCCACCCCCATGTTCTGCAGGTGCCTCCCACTGTGGGCTCCACAGAGGCAGAGGATGAGGGAGCCACTGATACCTCCCTGTAAGGCAGCCTCCCTGAGCGAGCAGGAGCAGGTCAGGGGTGAGTGTGGAATGATGACAGCCCAGGGCATCCTAGGCCCCCGGGGCAAGAGCAAGCTCCCTGTGCTTCCTGACCCCCGCCTCATTTGCAGATACATGTGCTCATGTCGGGAGATACCTGGAGTCATCTCAACTCCTGTCCCCCATTCCGCAGGTCCACAAGTCACCAGGTTCCATTCCCCTTCCCCTCCACATATCTCAGAGCTGTCACAGACTCTCCATGCCCCATTTCAGGGGTCTTGGCCCAGGCCTTGTCATGCCTTATCTGGACCAAGAGCAATGGTCCCCAACCAGCTCCACCCAGGTACCCCCTGCCCCGCCCATGTCCCCCACAGTTGCACCATGCCTGCTGGCACCTGCCCTCTCTTCACTGGTGCTCCAGCAGCTGCAGAGGCAGGGCTGAACCCTGGGCCCGCTCTCAGGGCCCCCACCTCCTGCTCATCCTCCACATGGCCCAAGCCCTTCATGACTGTTTGCCTCTTGCCCACATCTTCCATGTTGACGTCGCCTGGGACTGGAGGATGCATCAGAGCACGGATCCTTGAGCCAGCTTAAAAACGGTGTGTGAGGCCGGGCACGGTGGCTCACGCCTGTAATCCCAGCACTTTGGGAGGCCGAGGTGAGTGGATCACCTGAGGTCAGGAGCTTAAGACCAGCCTGGCCAACATGGTGAAATCCCATCTCTACTAAAAATACAAAAATTAGCCAGGTGTGGTGGCACATGCCTGTAATCCCAGCTACTCGGGAGGCTAAGGCAGGAGAATCGCTTGAACCTGGGAGGCAGAGGTTGCAGTGAGCCAAGATTGCGCCATTGCACTCCAGCCTGGGCAACTGAGAGAGATTCTATCTCAAAAAAACAAACAAACAAACCCGATGTGTGAGTCTAACTTTGCCACTCAGCTTCCTCACATTCATTTCCTTCATTCACTCATTCATTCAATCAACAAAGCTTTATCTGTGCCAGGTTCTGCCCTGAGGCTCTGCAGACCCAGCTGGGGAACAAGCCCACCCCCTGTCTTCACAGGGTCTACAGGAGTTAGTGCATGCAGTGTGCTTAGGACAGGGCCTGCTGGAGGAATGTTTACTACTACTATTAATGACTGGTACCCGGGGCTAGTGATCCAGCATTTCCTGCCTAGCGCCTTGTCCATTCCATGAGAACCGGCCCTCCTCAGCCTCACCAGGGACATCGACATGTCTGACCCCCTGCAGCCTGCAGGCAAGAACGCTTTCGTCTTTTCCTGTCACTCCCTAGTTCCCGAAAAGGGGCTGGGGCTCAGGCGGTGGGGTGGGCTGGACTGAAGGAGCCCAGGACCAGAGTCTATCCTGCAAGGGAACTGCTCCCAAGACTGAGCCACACCCACCCCCACTCCTGGAGAGGCCCCCATCTTGCCTCTTAGAAGACAGAGCAGAGTTGAGTCTAAGGGGTGCTGCCCCCCCTCCCCATACCAGAAATCAGGACAGAACCACAGCAGGGTGCCAAGTTGGGGCTCAGCTCCCCCACTTCCTCCTGAGCAGGAGAGAGCAGGTACTAGGCAAAGGCCGAGCCCCTGGTCCCGCTGAGCAGCCATGGGTGTGAATTGAATGTCTGGTGCGGCCCCAGCCGGCAAACGGGCCCCACGCAGGCTTCCATCCTCCATCATCTGCAGCAAAGCGTTTCCAGTCAATAAGCTGGCTAATTAATTCTCTTCAAAGACCTCTCAATTATTCATCCTGGGCTACAGAGAGAACAATTACAGCATCTCCTTGCTCACTCTGGCTGCAGAAGTGAGGCTGGGCCTGGGCCACGGAGCCCCCTGAGCCCCTGCAGCCTGGGGTGTCCCCAGGGGCCCCTCCACCTGGCAGAGGCAGCAGGACAGAACCTTCTAGGGGGATCCTCTTCCCCAAGCTTGGAAGCAGCCCAGATCATTATCCCCACTTCTCAGGGGGAGGACACGGAGACCCTGAGCAGGCAGCGACTTCTGGAGTTCAACAGCCCCCTAGGGCAGACCTGTGGATGCAAAGCCGGGCTCCAGGTACGCAGTGCCCTTGGGGGCCGCCAGGTGCTGGCAGCAGGGCCACGGGGACCTGGGACTGAGCCCTCTCTGCCTCCAGGAAAAAGGTTTGTGCCGGGAGGGGAGAGGAGGAAGAGGGGATCGGCTAACAGGGTAGCAGCTGCAGCCAGGCCGGGAAGGGTCTCGTGTCCCAGCGACTGCGGGCAGGGGGTCACTCTAGAAGGGGTGAGCTGCGCTGTGGGCCCCAGCTAGGCCTCCTCTGTGCCAAGGGGGCCCCTAGGTCAGAGCTAGCTTCACTGCTCCGCTCCAGCTTCCTGGAGTTGCTCAAGTCACTCGCTGGGGCCTTCAAGGACAGGGCAGCTTGTCTTGCCCCCGTCCACCCTCTCCTCTCCAGCCTGGGGCCCGCATTGCCGGCTCTCACTCCCGTCTCCCCCAAACAACAGACACCAGCATGCGCAGGGTTAACTCCCCGAGGCTCCAAGACCGCGCAGAGTGGGGGGTGGGGGGCCGGGCGTGCCTGTCGGGAAGTATGGATTTCTGCAGTGGTTTTACTGGAAAAGCTGTAGCTGAAGGTGGGAGGGGGTCACCATGGCAACTTCTGGCTGTGGGAACAGGTTGGCTAGTGGGAACCCATTGTTCCAGGGGCCCAAGGGGGCCCAGCAGGCCCTGGGGGACCCCACACTTGCCTCCGAGGGGTCCTCACCCACTCGGAGAGCTACGGAGACCCTCCTCAATCTGGAATTACCAACCTCCCCGCCTCCCTTCCCGTCCTCCCTCCTGTAACATCTCCCCTGGGCTGGGCCCCTGACTCAGCTGCCCTGCCCCCCACTGAAGTGCCCCTCGCACCCGAGCTGTTAATCGAAGCGCCAATTACCAGGCGGAGGCCCAGGAGGTCCAGGGAATCTCCCTCTTGGAAGAGCTTTTCCTGTGGAGCGAGCCTGACTTCAAAGCCTGGGGTGAATTCAGGGATGCCATAAACGAAGCTCCCCGACCCCAACACAACTCAACGGAGGGAGCCCAGGATTCTGGCGGCAGGGGGTGGGCAGGGTGGGCAAGAGCTCACCCCAACCCTGCCCCAATAGGGAAGATTCCAATCAAAGCAACAAATTCTAGGAAGTCCTCCCCACCCCACCACAAACCTGCACAGCCCTCCCTGCAAGGGAAATCAGGGTAAGGGGAGGCGGCCCGGAAGGGACAGGAGGTTCCCGGGTGCCCCTCCAAATCCCAATGCCCCCCTGTCTGCTCTCTGCCCGGGAAGACTCAGTGGCTGGGATCAGCCCTGCCCAGCGTCCCACAACACTGCGAGTGCCCTGGACTAAACCTCCCGTAGGGACCCCCTGCAATGCCTTGCTGAAGCCTCCGAAGCTGATTCAGCCCCGGCCCCGGAGGGCCTACTGGGTGCAGGGTGCACGGGATCGGGGATCAGGCCAAGGGAACGCGGGGCACTTGAGAGCAGACACGGCGGGCTCCTAGACCCTTCAGGCTCAGGTTCCTCCCAGGTCCTGCAGGGCTCCCGGCTGGCCTTGGGGCCCTCCTGCAAACCCGGGAAGCGCAGAGTGGGGGGCTGGGAGGGTCCCGGAGGATGTGTGTGTGTGTGGCCCGAAGGCACTTCCAGGAATCTCCAGTGGCACTGCCCAAAAGGCCCTGGCCAGGCAGGGATGGTTGCGGGGCAGTGAGGGGAGCCACGCCCCCTGCTGTTTTTCCTTTCTTTTGGGATGCTGCCCCAAAAGAAAGACCACCCGCCCGCCCCCCACCTGGGCACCTCCCTGCTCTGCTGGAGGTCCTCAGATCTGTGACTCGTCTCACTCTGGTTTCCTCGTCTAAAAATGGGCCCGATAAGCCCACTTCCAGGGGGTGGTGGACGCCGAATGAGATCAGGTGATACGCGGGAAGTTAATAGGTGACGGATTCCAAGGTCACGCTGCTTCCTCCTCCTTCACCCCCACCAGAAAAGGGCAATGGCCCTCCTTAAGTCCTGGGTTGCTGCTGAGAGATGCGGCTCCCTACCTTCCCTCCAGTCCACCAGGGTCCTGCGGGGCAGGGGAGACATCGGCATAGGCCAGAACCCAGAAAGGCGCGGTAGGCCTACCCAGGCCAAACACCCAGGTGCGATTTTGCAGCATTGGGCAGGGCCTGAAAGAGTTAACTTGACCATCGTTAACCAGGGTCTTTCCTTCCTCTGGGTCATCCAGCTGATTTGGAGGACACTCCAACTTCTGGGGCCTCCCTGTGCTCCCATAATATCCCTGCCCTGCCCCCGCACCCACTGCCTGCACACTCGGATCTGCCGAATCCCGATAAAACATTTGGGGGAGATAAGTGCTGCATATTAATAATTAAGACCACATGCATATTCGCCAACAAAAGAAAAGTTTCAAACCCCCATTCCGGGAACAGCTGCCCGTGTGGGGCCCGGCAGGGCTGTGGAGGCCCACCCCACAGACTCTCTCTTCTAGGAGGACCAGCCAGGGGCTCCTCTCCAAGCCAGTGCCTCCCCCAGCACCAGGGGGCCTGGCCTCCAGAGTGGGCAGGGGGAGTGTGTCAGGGGCGCTGAGCCCAGAGTGGAATGGGGAACGCCAGCACCACCGTGGAGTGGTCCTCACACACCCACAGAGCCCAAACCACCAGGCAGGGTCCCCCAACCCCAA
The DNA here is from genome assembly GCF_000001405.40 of Homo sapiens. Taxonomy (NCBI): domain Eukaryota; kingdom Metazoa; phylum Chordata; class Mammalia; order Primates; family Hominidae; genus Homo; species Homo sapiens. Next base: position 78,267,228 of record NC_000017.11, on the reverse strand, counting down.
CACCAGGCAGGCTCTAGCCACCCTGTCGGTTCCCAATAAGCCATTTATTGAATAAAGATTGAATCCAAAACTCCAGGTTCCAGGGGAGTGTGATTCCTGAGCTCTGGCTGAGGGTAGCCGGGCCGGAAGAACACCCAGAGGGAGTAGCTATCCTCCATGCCCTTCTCCTCTGCAGCACGGGTTGGCGCAAGCTCACCCTGGGCTAAAGGAAGGCTTGCCCTGCCATGCCCCTGCTCAAGGACCTGCCAGGGCTCCCTATGGGCGTTAGTATCTGATCCCATCCCTCTGCCTGGCTTTCAAGGTCCTCTGTCCCACGGGGCCATCCCCGGAGGTCAGACAGGCCTCCTGCTCACACCATGCTCCATGCCCTCCCTGGAGCTGTTCTGTACTGGCCTCCCCACAACTCCCCACCACCCCCACCCTGCCTGGTCATCCCACTAGGTTCACGTCTCGCCTTTAGAAGCAAGCCCCTCTCCACCCTCTGCTATCCGTTTCCTCATCCACGTTTCTCCAGTTATTTCCTGAATGCTCATTATGCCCTAAGCCCCCTGCTAGGGATCCTGAGAATGAAAGACTCAGGTCTTGCCCTCCATGAGCCTGAAACCCAGTGAGGGACGCTGGCCGACGACAAAGGCAACTGTGAGATAAGCCAGGTGCCAAGGAAAAAGGGAGAAGAGGGTGTGTGTCTTGGCAGAGGGGTAGGGCTATCATGCAAGGCTTCCTGGAGGAAGAGAGAGGCTGAAAAACAGCTGGAATTCTTCCAAGTGCAGAAGAGGAGGAGGCTGGACAGTGCCTGGAGGCCCTGCCAGCACTGCCCCTGGCTGACTCCACACACACCTGGGAGGACCAGCCAGGGGCTCCTCCCCAAGCTAGTGCCTCCCCACAGCCAGGGTGGGTCCTACAGGGAGGCAGAGACCTTAGCGGCGCGGGTTCCAATCCTGGCTTTACTGCTCACCACCAAGGTTCCCTTCCTCCCTAATCTGTTTCCTCCCCAGCAAAATGGGATCATGGTCCCAGGCGTCCATTCGAGGTCCTCTCCCCTTGGCAGGAGACGAAGGACACTGAACCCAGCACTCAGCATGGGCTGGCAAACCTAATCAGTGCCCATGGATTATGTTTGCCATCCACTGACTGGTGGACGGATTGAGGACCTTGGAGTTATCTTCCTGAATCTTCCCTCCTTGATGGCAACTCACCTCCGCTCACCAAGGGGTCCAGGAAGGCACCTGACTCTCAGGACCGCTGGCGTCTTGTATGTGTCAATCACCCAACAGACCAGGAATGCATGGCAGTACACACCGCCTCTGCTCCTGCCAGGGCCCTGGCAGGAGCGTGACAAATATTTGTTGTGGAATTAGGTTCTTAAGCGATGACGCTCTGCCCAGGGATCCCAGGGCAGCTCGGCAAGTGGGCGTGCCTCAGCAGGTGCCAGTTGTCCTTCTGTTCCCAGGAAGGGGCTCTTGGGTTCCTAATCAGACGGCACATGGCCGGGAGCAGTGGCTCACGCCTGTAATCCCAGCACTTTGGGAGGCCGAGGCGGGCGGATCACCTGAGGTCAGGAGTTCGAGAGGAACCTGTCCAACATAGAGAAACCCCATCTCTACTGAAAATACAAAATTAGCCAGGCGTGGTGGTGTGTGGCTGTAATTCCAGCTACTCGAGACGCTGAGGCAGGAGAATCACTTCCACCCAGGAGGCAGAGGCTGCAGTGAGCCAACATTGCGCTATCGCACTCCAGCCTGGGCAACAAGAGCAAAACTCTGTCTCAGAAAACAAAACAAAACAAAACAAAACAGAAGACCCAGCCAGGGTCTTGTCTCTGCTTCCAGCGGGGGCAAGCGCTCACCACAGAGAGGCCTGAACCCCATGCGTGCCTACATCACCTCTCGGTCTCCAGGCCCGCCCATGCTACTCATTAAACTAGGCCTTTCTGTTGCAGCCTGTCCTGCAGGTCCCCAAATGTGGGACCTTCCTTCATCCTGCCATCCTAGACCTTGGAATCAGCAGGTGGGTGGCCAAGGACAGAAATTATAAGACCTAGAGCCAGATGCGGTGGCACACGCCTACCGTCCCAGCTACCCTAGAGGCTGAGGCAGGAGGATCTCTTGAGCCCAGGAGTTCGAGGATGCAGTGAGCTTTAGCTTGGGTTACAAAGCAAGACTCCATCTCCAAAAAAATAAATAAATAAATAAAAAGTAATTAAAGAAACAATAAGACCTAGGAGAAAGTGACCTTCAAACCTTCACACTATTTTGATCGTGCACCCTTACCAACAAAAATGATATATGCATAGTTATTTTTAGATTACAAGTTTCCATGACCGCATGAATACATTACTTGCATTATAAAACATTCACGAAAGATAGGCATTTAAAAAGAGCGAGATTTAAATGCTAAGTATAACATTCTCCTCCCTGCCCCAGGGGGGTCATCCTGCATATCCCATTCTAGAGGCCAATGTCAGCAGGACAGCCCTCCCTTCCCCAGCTAGGATGGAGCCCCTCCCCTATGATCCATCCCCCAGCCTCAAGTTCCAACCTTCCTTCTTCCCAAAGACCCCTGCAAACTCTGCCACTATGAAGACCATACTTTTCCTCGTTTCCTGATCCCAGATGTTTTTTTTTTTTTTTTTTTTTGAGACAGAGTCTCGCTCTGTCACCCAGGCTGGAGTGCAGTGGTGAGATCTCGGCTCACTGCAAGCTCTGCCTCCCGGGTTCACGCCATTCTCCTGCCTCAGCCTTCTGAGTAGCTGGGACTACAGGCGCCTGCCACCACGCCCGGCTAATTTTTTGTATTTTTAGTAGAGACAGGGTTTCACCATGTTAGCCAGGGTGGTCTCGAACTCCTGACCTCAAGTGATCCGCCTGCCTCGGCCTCCCAAAGTGCTGGAATTACAGGTGTGAGCCACCATGCCGGGTCTGTCTCAGTTGTTCTATCATCAGCTGGGGAGCCATGCCTGGGGTGCCCAGGGTGCCTCTAACAAGGGCCATCTCTCATCCTCTGCAGGGCCAGCCTGGGAGAGAAATTCATCTGGCTTATGGCACAGGGACAGAAGCAGGCCGGCTGAGGACAAGGTAACAGAAGGGCTAGGGCTTTTAGAAGACAAAGCTTCCTTCACGGATGCAGAAGGAGAATGCTGTTTCTCTGCGCTGGGCAACCTGGGTTTGAATCCCATCTCTGGGATAAGTGTGCAGGGCGCACAGCAGGTGTTCGGCACACAGAGCCCTTACTGAAGATACTGCTCAACAAGGCAGGGTCTGCCTGGCGCTGGCTTCAGGCCCTTGGCAGGGGCTGGGCAGCCACTCTTGCCCATGCCCTGGTGGCCCCGAGATGCCAGCACTCCTCTGGGTGGTTGGGGAACCCACCCAGGGTGGAGGAGGTGGGCAAGGCCTGGGATTCCACATCTCCAGGGCAGCAGACCCCACGGTCTCCAGGGATCTTGTCTGTGCCCAAACTCCTGAGACTTCCCTGTCCTTTCCCACAAGGGCCCTGGCTCTGGTGGCTGCAGAAGTGGGAGGAGGGGATGTGGGGGAGTCTGGGGAAGGCCACCTTCCATGACGCTCTGCCAAGCCAGGAGGAGCGAAGGAATAACCTGGTCCCCGTGCTGGACCCTGGACTCCAGGAAGCAGAGCCCACAGCCGGCTCAGCCTTGGGTCCCCTGCCTCTGTGGAGCTGGCCCTACCCCAGATGGCCACTGTGCCTGAGGCCCGGCATCTGACCCTCTGTCCTCCCTGCCGAGGGGCCAGAACAGAGGCCCCGGCAACAGGCAAGGCGCAGTGCACGGAGCTGACCCCGTGCCTCGGTCCAGGCCTAGCAACAGGAAGTGAGAGGCCAATGCCGGTAAACGAGATCCGAAAGATTAGAGGCCTCGCTGCCGCCCCAAGTTAGAGGACAAGTTCCTGGAAGGAGGAGGAAGCTGCCGCAGTAAATAACGCCAGACCCCAGCGTCCCAGCTGTCAGCAGCCAGTGCGGCCGCAGGCTGGTAGGCCCAGGAGGGAGCAGGTGGGGGCAGAAGGCACAAGGGGGTGCCCTGGTCTCAGCCCAAGCTGGGGACACCTGGAAGGCAGTAGAGGGGTTCCTGAGGGTCCCCCCAGCCCAATCCCTAAGTCCCCATTCCCCTGTCCACACACACCACAGCTTGCAACCGTATCTAAAGACAGAAGCGGGGCCGGGTGCAGCGGCTCACACCTGTCATCCCAGCACTTTGAAAGGCCAAGGCGGGTGGATTACTTGAGAGCAGGAGTTCAAGACCAGCCTGGCCAACATGGTGAAATCCCCTCTCTATTAAACACAAAAATTAGCTGCGTGTGGTGGTCGGTGCCTGTAATCTCAGCTACTGGGGAGGCTGAGGCAGAGAATCGCTTGAACCTGGGAGGTGGAGGTTGCAGTGAGCTGAGATCGCACCACTGTACTCCAGCCTGGGCAACAGAGCATGACTCCATCTCAAAAAAAAAAAAAAAAAAAAAGAAGAAGAAAAAGAAAGAAAAGAAAAAGAAAAGCCAGCCAGCTGCAGTGGCTCATGCCTGTAATCCCAGCACTTTGGGAGGCCAAGTTGGGAGGACTGCTTGAGGACAAGAGTTTGAGACCAGCCTGGACAACATAGCAAGACCTCATGTCTGCAAATAAAATAAAATAGCCAGGCATGGTGGTATGTCCCTGCTACTCTGGAGGCTGAGGCCGGAGGACTGCTTGAGCCCAGGAGGTTGAGGCTACAGTGAGCTATGATCATACCACTGCACTCCAACCTGAGCAAAAGAGTCAGACCTTGTCTCAAACAATAACAACAAAAAAAGACAAACCACAGCACGGGGGAAATTTTTTTTTTTTTTTTTTTTTTTGACAGAGTCTCACTCTGTCACCCAGGCTGGAGTGCAGTAGCTCGATGTCAGCTCACTGCAGCCTCCACCTCCTGGGTTCAAGCAATTCTCCTGCCTCAGCCTCCCCAGTAGCTGGGATTACAGGCATGTGCCACCACGCCTGGCTAATTTCTGTATTTTGAGTAGAGACAGGGTTTCACCACGTTGGCCAGGCTGGTATCGAACTCCTGACCTCCAGTGATCCCCGTCCCTTGGCCTCCCAAAGTGCTGGGATTATAGGCGAGAGCCACCGCAGCTGTACTGTGGGGAAATTTTTTTTTTTTTTTTTTTGAGATGGAGTCTCGCACTGTTGCCCGGGCTGGAGCGCAATGGCTCGATCTCTGCTCACTGCAACCTCTGACTCTTGGGTTCATGTGATTCTCCTGCCTCAGTCTCCCAAGTAGCTGGGATTACAGGCACATACCACCATACCCAGATAATCTTTTGTATTTTTGGTAGATATGGGGTTTCACTATGTTGACCAGACTGGTCTCGAACTGCTGACCTTGTGATCCGCCCGCCTTGGACTCTCAAAGTGCTGGGATTGAAGGCATGAGCCACTGCACCCAGCCCTGGGGTGAAATCTTTGCAACGCACAGAACCCGCAAGGATCAGTATGCTTGCACATACCAACCAGCCTGACCAGTCAATGAGAAAAGACCAGAACATGCTCTTCACAAAGAGGAATTCAAACGGCTAAAACATAAGAAAAGGGGCTGGGCGCGGTGGCTCACGCCTGTAATCCCAGCACTTTGGGAGGCCAAGACGGGTGTATCACGAGGTCAGGAGATCGAGACCATCCTGGCTAACACGGTGAAACCCCGTCTCTACTAAAAATACAAGAAAAATTAGCCGGGCATGGTGGCGGGCGCCTGTGGTCCCAGCTACTCGGGAGGCTGAGGCAGGAGAATGGTGTGAACTTGGGAGGCGGAGCTTGCAGTGAGCCGAGATCGCGCCACTGCACTCCAGCCTGGGCGATAGAGCGAGACTCCGTCTCAAAAAATAAATAAATAAATAAATAAATAATAAAAGGTACTCTCCTTTAGCAGTTAACAGAAAGAGCAGGGCCCAGTGTGGTGGCTCATGCCTATAATCCCAGCACCTTGGGAGGCTGATGGGGGTGGATTGCTTAAGCCCAGGAGTTCAGGCTGCAATGAGCTATGATTGCACCACTGCACTGCAGCCTGGGTGACAGAGCAAGACTCAGTTTCTTCAAAAAAAAAAAAAAAAAAAAAAAAGAGGCCAGGCACGGTGGCTCATGCCTGTAATCCCACCACTTTGGAAGGCCGAGGCAGGCAGATCACCTGAGGTCAAGAGTTCAAGACCAGCCTGGCTAACATGGTGAAACCCCCATCTACTAAAAATACAAAAATTAACCAGGCGTGGTGGTGGGCACCTGTAATCCCAGCTACTCGGGAGGCTGAGGCAGGAGAATCGCTTGAACCCGGGAGACAGAGGTTGCAGTGAGCCGAGATTGCGTCACTGCACTCCAGCCTGGGTGACAGAGTGAGATTCCATCAAAGAAAAAAAAAAAAAAAAGATCAGATTAAAATTGCCAGGAGATATCACCACATATCACAAGGACAGCTAAGATGAAGAAGTCTGATAACACTAGTGTTACCGAGATGGAGAAGTGTGGGAAAGTGGGGGAGGAGGGCATTTCCAGCACTTTGGGAAAGGATTTGGCACACCTAGTAAAGCTGCAGATGAGAGACCCCAGAATCAGCAGCCCCACCGCCAGGCGTCCGCCCTCCCGAAGCAGGCACCTGTGCCCCAGCAGACAGGAATAAGAATGCCCACCAGCACCACCGTACATGGCCAGTCTGGAAACAAAATCCCAAATGTCCCTAAACAGGTAGAATGGAGAAATAAACTATGCTCTAGGGACCCAGTGGAAAAGTACCTGGCAGCAGAGAATAAATGACAGCCACAGCACGGGTGACTCTTGCAAACAGCCTAATGAAGCCAGACATAAAAGGAGACACCCTGATTCGACTTCTGTAAAGTTCACACACAGGCCACACTCAACACTCAACTGCTATTAAGGGATACATCTACGGTGGCAAAATCATAAAGAAAAGCAAGTCCTGGTCATAAAAGTCAGGCCAGGCCAGGCCTGGTGGCTCACATCTGTGATCCCAGAGATTTGGGAGGCAGAGGTGGGAGGACCGCTTGAGTCCAGGAGTTCGAAACCAGCCTGGGTAACATAGTTAGACTCCATCTCAAATCTGTCTATCTATCATCTATCTATCTATCTATCTATGTGTGTGTGTATATATATGTGTATATATATGTATACATATATGTGTATGTATATGTATATGTGTATATATATATGAAGAAGAATGTCAGGGCAGCAGTAACTTCTGCAGAGGGAAGGGTTGTAAATAGGAAGGAAGCTTCTGGAATCCTGGCCATGGTCTATTTCTTTTGTGTGTGTGTGTGTTTGTGTTTGTGTGTATGTGTGTGTGTGAGACACAGTCTTGCTCTGTCGCCCAGGCTGGAGTGCAATGGCACGATCTCGGCTCACTGCAACCTCTGCCTCCCGAGTTCAAGTGATTCTCCTGCCTCAGCCTCCCGAGTAGCTGGGATTCCAAGCGCCCACCACCATGCCTGGGTAATTTTTTGTATTTTTGGTAGAGACGGGGTTTCTCCATGTTGGCCAGGCTGGTCTCGAACTCCTGACTTCAGGTGATCCACCCGCCTTGGCCTCCCAAAGCCCTGGGGTTACAGGCGTGAGCCACCACGCCCCACCATGGACTATTTATTGGTCTGAGTGGCTATGGCACGGGAGTTTATTTTATATGTATTTATTCATAACACTGTACAAATATGCTTCATGAGCATTTCTGTATGCGTGGTAAATTTCTTAATTTTTTAAACAAGCAAGTGTATTTGAGCGCCCATTGTGTTGGGCACTGGGGATGGGCCATGCCGAGCTCCCGCTAGCCCACGGTGAGCTGATGGAGTGCAGGTGAACATCCTGTGGCTTCCTGTTGAAGTCATGCACAGGGTCTCCCCAGCTCTGTAGCCCCCCTGCTCTGCACCTGGCTGGGGAACAGCCCTCACGCCCCCCTCACTCCACCCCCCATTCTCTCCCGGTCTCGCACCCTCATGGCACCTCACTCTGGATTTCCGGAGATGGTGCTGAAGGCGAACCTGGAGAGGGACATCTTTCCCACTAGGGGGTCCCAGTTGGGGAAGTGCAGGGGCTTGGAGGAGCTCCCTCCCTTCCCCTTCCCACCCTCCCAACAGCACACATGACCTTGACACCCAGTGGCCCCCACGTGGGCCAAGTGCATGCCCACCATGGGCCCAGCCAGGCCCCCAGGCCCAGCGCCCTGTCCTTTGCCACCCAGTCCCCCAGGCTGGGAATGATGATGGCAGTGCCGACAACTCCCCTCTGGATCCCAAGCTATCGGGGCTGGGCTTAGGCTAGGGCGCTATAGATCCTGCAGGCTCAGGGCCAAGAGGATGGGATGGAAAGGACATTTCCCCCCCCCCACCCCCCCCACCTGTTTACCAGGACCCAGGGCCGCTATCTCCAGCTGCGATCTGCTGCCTCCCTTTATCTCAGCGGGGCCAGCCCTGGGTTCCCAGCAGCAGCCTCCCCGGCGCGCACTTCCTGCCAGCAGCCCAGCGTTACAGGAATCCGCACACTGAACTCAGCATGTGAGTGTGTGCCCACACCCCAGCGCCTGCGCCTGGGCGGGTGCCAGGGAGCCGGGGGCGCCGTGAAAGGCAGCCCACCTGGGGCTTATGTCGCAAGGCCCCCTCCAGCCAGCCCAGTGGCCTCCCACTGCTCAGGGGAGCCGCAAATCTCTCAAGAAGGCCAGGGAGGGGGCTGTCTTCAGGACCCCCAGACCTGACTCTGAGAGGCTGAGGCCAGGCCAGCCCCTGTTCCTCTGGAATCCTCGCCATGTCCTTCTGCACAGGGGTCTCACACCCTGGGGGGTGTGCACACTTCTGCCTGGGGGGTCCCAGGGGCAGGGGATGGCGAACCACATGTCCCTCCATTGTCAGTCACCTGGCTGGTGTTTACTGAGTCCTGTGGTCCTGGCACTGGGCTAGGCATGCAGGACACACCAAAGGAGGAGGGCGTCTGGGCCCTGCAGGCACAGGGCATCAGCCACACGGAGAAGTCAGAGGAGTAAACAGGCAGCTGTGACCCGTGCGCAGTGGGAAGAAAAGGTGCTATAGGCAGCACAGGAGGAGGGCTACCTCCATCCCCCACTGGGCTGGGCCAGGAGGGCTTCATGGAGAATGAGGCGTCTCAGCTAAGATCTGAAGACTTAGAAGGTGGTGACCAGGGATGCGTGCCGACGGTTGGGGGTTTTCCAGACAGAATGCAGGTGCAGAGGTCTCGGGGTGAAAGAGAGGCCAGCGCATTCGGGAACAGAAGTGTTGCAAGCCAGAGTGTGGGGCGGGGAGGCGTCTGGGAGGCAGAAGGGCTGGATCCCACAGAGGCCAGGGAGGAAGCCCCGCCGAGGGGCCCCACTGCACCCACGGACAGAGGAGCTCAGAAGTTTGGGAAGGGCTGGGCTGCAGGGGTCAGTCCTGGGGGGCAGGGGCTCAGGAGAGAAGGGAGCAGCTGGCATGTGGGGGTGGGGCCAGCCTGCGTTGGGGCAGGAGATGACCCCAGGACCTCCAGTGATGGTGACCCTTCTAGTGAGAATGTCAAGAAGAACTGCAGAGAGGGGAGGGAAGAGGGTCAGTGCTGGGACAGGGGTGGGGGCAAGTAGAGTTGGCTCCACAGAGGGCTTTGGGCTTCTCATCCCAGCCTGGGAACTGCGGCCCGTCCCCAGCTTACCAGCAAGACAACTCAGATCTCAGTTGCAGCCAGGGTCACACACACACACGTGCGCACACACACATGCACACACACACACACACCCATGTACACACGCATGCACACACACACATGTAGGAGCCCAGACAACCCCCCAGAGGCCAAGCTGGGGTCATGGGGTCCACCTGCCACAGGCCTCACTGCACCTTTCCGTGTGAGAGCCCACCCTTCTTGCTCCTCCACACTGTCAGACCCCACTGGGACAAGGCAGGGCTGGCCCAGGTGACCCGGGGACTAGATAGGAGGACCCAGAAGAAGGAAACTGTTCTGCCCCAGGTTCCCCCAGGGAGAGGCCACCTATCTGGGGAGACAGCTCTGATTTGGGAGAAAGGGAGAAAGGCCCTGTTGGGTGACCAGCTGTGCCTCTCGGGCAGGGTCCTCGGGCCTCTGTGACCCCAGCCTCCCTGCCCATCCTTCCACTGCAAAGCCGCTGGGACCATTGGCAGGGAAGCTGCAGAGGGCAGGCTTTGCAGACTGCGAAGCTTGGCAAACAGGAGGCCATTCTGTGATTCTGCCATAGCTCGAGGGGCCGGGGGTCCATTTGTTTGTCCCCCTTCTCCCCTGAGCGCTGCTATCCCTGCCCCCAGTCCCTGCCCCGCCAGACCACCTCCTTTCCTTCCCACAGAGGCCTCCGTTCCCCGCCCCCTACTTCCCAGCAGAAGGTCTGGAGCCAGACAATGAGATAAGGGGCTTGTTTTCTAAGGGCAGGAATTTGGTGCAGATTGTGGGTCAGGCCCAGAAGGGCTCTGGGGAGGGGAAGGCAGCAAGCCTGTCCATCACATGGGTGTCCTTGGGACCACTGACCCTGCGGGTACTTACAATTCCCACCAAGCTGAAGGAAGAGAGATGGAGAGCCCCTGAGAGGTCATCAGGCCCCGGATGTAGCTTTTGGGCTCCATCCCCACCCCTGCTCACTTCCCCAGCCACGCTGGCCCTCAGGGCCACAAACGCAGCAGCTCCTCTCTACCCAGAGGCTTCACCCCTGCTATCCCTCTGTCCAAAGTCGGCTCCATCTTCGAAGCTCAGCCTAATCACTGCTTCCTCCAAAAAGCCTGCCCTGCTGCCTGGACTGGGACTGTTAGAGCTGCTTCCTCGCTGCCATCCTCTCACGGCCAGCATCTTGTCCCCCACCCCTGGGACCTGAGCTCTGGAGGGCAGGCCACCTCTGCTCGCCCTAAGTCCCCAGGCCTGACCTGGAGCTGGCCTGTGGTAAAGGCCTGGCCATGACTGATCTAGGATGGGTGTCCTCCTCACCAAGGGCCACCCTCACCAGACGCTTGGCCCAGCAGCTGTGGCCCCTCCTGGATCTTTCTCCTATGGGGGACAGAAAGAGGAAGAGGAGCCGCTGAGTGGCAATGGGTGCCTGTGCTCCCTGTGTGGGGGAAGGGCACCCCACAGTCTAGACTGTGTCAGAGTTCACCCCAAAGCCCCCGGGCCCTCAGAGTTCCAAGCTGGGATCAGTAACGACAATGATAATAACAGCCACAGCTGGGCAGGTCGTGATGGCTCACGCCTGTAATCCCAGCACTTTGTGGGGCTGAGGGAGAATCACTTGGGCTCAGGAGCTTGAGACCAGCCTGAGCAACACAGCAAGACCTTGTCTCTACGAAAAACACAGAAAGATTAGCCAGGCATAGTAGCACTTGCCTGTAGTCCCAACTACTTGGGAGGCTGAGGTGGGAGGTTCACCCAAGCCCAGGAAGTCAAGAATGCACTGAGCTGTAATCACACCACTGCACTCCAGCTTGGGGGATAGAGTGAGACCCTGTCTTAAAAAATTAAAAAACAGCCACAGTGGGGTGACCACCCTGAGCTTACAGCAAGCCAGGCATTGGGGTCAGCACCAAACACATATCCAGTCACTGAATGCTCACAACAGCCCAATCTGCAGTTGAGGAAACCGAGGCACAAAGAAGCTACATGGCTTGTCCAAGGCCACACAGCTGGCTTGAACTTCAGCACCACCCTGCCCCCATGGAGGCAGTCCACCCAGGGGCAGGGGCCTATGGAGGAGGGGCTCCCCACGCATTCTTTTAGCGGTCTCCCCTTAGACTGGAACCCGGCTGGAGACATAGCCCTGTCCCCCAGCCTGGCACCTGGACACCTGGACACTGCCTGGCGCACCGAACTTGCTCAACAAATCAATACTGAAGATGGTAAACGAGGGAAGCTGTGTTTTAGGGGCAGCATGAAACAGTGATTTAGGGCTGCCCTCTGGAGACAGCGGTACCCCGCCCGGACCAATTCCTACCCAAGTGGCCTCCAGCTGTCCGTTAGCTCCGCGTCTCCTGTTCCCCATCTGCAAGACAGGGATAGCAATAGTGCTTGTCTCCTAGAGTCGTTGGGAGGTTTAACTGAGCTAACATTTGCAAAGGGCCTGGGGCAGAGCCTGGCACATGGCAAGTGCCACATGAGCGTCTGTGTTATAAAAGCTCGCCCAGGGCTGGGTGCAGTGGCTCACGCCTGTAATCCCAGCAATTTGGGAGGTCAAGTCGGGTGGATCACCTGAGGTCAAGAGTTCGAGACCAGCCAGGCCAACATGGTGAAAACTCCTCTCTACTAAAAATACAAAAAAAAAAAAAAATTAGCTGGGCGTGGTGGCGCGCGCCTGTAATCCCAGCTACTCGGGAGGCTGAGACAGGAGAATTGCTTGTACCTGTGAGGCGGAGGTTGCAGTGAGTCAAGATCGCGTCACTGCACTCCAGCCTGGGCGACAAAGCGAGACTCTGTCACACACACACACACACACACACACACACACACACACACACACACTCGCTCGGCCTCGGTTTCTCCTTCAATGAGCAGAACCTTCTGCTTCAGCATCACGGGCTCGCTGGTTCTCCGCCGCGACGCAGCCCGTACTACAACTCCCAGCGTGCCACGGGGCCCGTTCGCAGACGCTCGCGCACGCCCGCCGCGAGGGAGCGCGAACTACAACTCCCAGCGTGCCACGGGGCTCGCTCCCTGGACCCCCGGCCCAGGGCGGCTGCTTCCCAGCTCTAGGAATTCTGGCCGCACCGACCACGTCGCTCTCGCCGCCTTCGCTGGGGAGTAGAGGAGTCAGCAGCTCCCGCCGGGGTGGGGAGTCGGGCGCTGCCCGCGCCATGCTCCGCAGACTGGCCCGAGCGGCGGCCCCGGTACATGGGGCGCTCCGGGCGGGGTGTGGGAGCGCGGGGGTCGCAGCCTACGTGGTGGGCCTGCGCAGCGACAAGGTGACCAGGCCCGGGCCGGCCATGAGGTGCGTCATGGCCGAGGCGGTCGTGGGGGACGACGACTACGGCGAAGACCGGCGTGCAGGCCGGGGGTCGTGGAGGCGGCAGCGGAGCGCTGTCCGTGATGGTCTGGGACGCAGGGGAAGTGGCTCCCTTGGCGCTTAAAACCCATTTATGCCTAGTGTTCCATTATTGGAACGCTAAGCATCTGGGAGGTATTTATGTCCTACTGCTCAAGGTCATCGCCAAGGTCTGATGGCAAAAATTCAAAAAATTGCAACCTCCGACATAAATGGGTGTAATGAACACCTGCCACAGGATAGGCTTGCCGTCTGCGTGCGTGCTGCTGTTACCTGAAAGTTAGAAATGCAGATTCCGGCCGGGCGCAGTGGCTCAAGCCTGTAATCCTAGCATTTTGAGAGGCCAAGGCAGGCGGATCACGAGGTCAGGAGTTCGAGACCAGCCTGGCCAACATGATGAAACCCCATCTCTACTAAAAATACAAAAATTATCTGGGCGTGGTGGTGGGCACCCGTAATCCCAGCTTCTCAGGAGGCTGAGGCAGGAGAATCACTTGAACCCGGGAGGCAGAGGTTGCAGTGAGCTGAGATCGTCCCACTGCATTCCAGCCTGGGCGACAAGAGCGAGACTCCATCTCAAAAAAAAAAAAATAAAAATAAAAATAAATAAATAAAAGAAATGCAGATTCACATGGCCTGCCGAGAAGAACCTGCATTTCTATAGGCTCACCAGGTGGTTGTGTGTGTCCTGCATTGTCACCCAGCTGCCCCCTGAGATGGGTGATGTCCAGTCTTGCAGAGGAGGGTTCTGAGATGTGGAGGGAGGCGCTCCAGGCCCCATACTTAGTAAATGGCAGAACCAAGGTTTGAACCCGGGTCTTCTGACTCTGAAACCCACAACTGTTCTCCTGCACTGCCTTCCCCCACAGAAGGCAAATGGAAAATAGATGTAGAAAGGGGCAGGTTCTACAGGCTGCACCTCGCAAGGAGTGGGTTCTAATAACCTAGGGAGTGTCTCCAGGGTACAGCGACCCCCAGCCCCAGCCCTGGGTTGTGAGTTGCCATAGTGAACCACTTTGACTGTTGGGGTGTGCACACCCCTCAGCTAGGCCAGGACAAGCCATGGGGTCACCAGTTGAATCCCGAGGGCCCGTCTGCTAAGGGGTTAAGGGATGGCTGGGGCTAAGCATGTATCCAGCTGCTGCCCAGCGTTGCTGGAGATGCTGATCTCCATGCTCCCAGGCAGCCTCACATGTCAACAAGTCACTGCCGCTCAAGGAGAGGCTGGGGAGGCGCTTGAGTTGATGGGAGTCTAGAGAGGGTGCCCTGGGAAGCAGAGGATGGGGCGAGGCTGTGGCTCACGGGGAAGGGGGCTTCACAGAGGAGCCCTCCTGCAGGCTGAGTGGAAGCATCCCAGGCAGGGAAGGGAGCGCCGGCTCACAGGGCAGGGGTCTTCAGGAGCAGAAGCAGACTGGTGAGAAAGGTCTTCAGGGCGCAGGTGGGGATGTGGCAGGTGTGGAGAGTGCAGGAGGCTCTGAGGAGGGGGGGCAGAGGCCAGGTCACTCCAGCCCTGAGTGTCATGCTAAGGACTTGATGCCACAGTTGGGGGGACCACAGTGGGCTTTACAGCAAGAGCGGGAGCCTTCCTCACCCTCCAGCTGCACCCTCACACCCCGTCCAGCCCCCCACTCATCCCTCCTGACGAGGAAAGGAAGTCAGCAGAGAAACCACAGGCCCCACCTGCAAAGGGCTGAGGGGAAAGGAAGTGAGACAGGTGTGAGGTCTGCCGGGGACAGGTTCAAACCACAAGAGAGGTTCTTGGGGGGAGCGGGGAGAGGCCATGGCCCAGGGTAGGTGGGGTGCAGAGTTGACTGAGGGCCCTGTGGGGCTGGATGTGTGGTTGCTAAGCCCACAGAGTGTGCAGCTGGTGGATGGGGCTCCAAACCCACTCAGCTGCTCACCGGAGCCTCGGGCTAGGGGCCTCACCTGGGCTCAGGGCGTGCTCTGGCCCAAGTGACACAGGGAAAGCAGCATGGACGGTGCTGACACCCGAGTGTGCAAGCACAGCGGCTTCCCTGTCCCTCCGCAGAGCTGCAAGAAATGGCTGTGGAGCTGCTAGGGCTGGGGCGCACCCTCTTTGTGCCCTCCAACACTATGGCCAACCTCATCTCTGGTGAGCGCAGGGCGACTTCTGTCTGCCTAGCAGGTCCTCAGTGCATATGGGGGGGCTCTGACACTCATGGACCACATTCCTCCATTTCTGTTGGGTTGGTGGGGAGCCCTGGAAGGAGATGGGGGAGGAGGACAGTGGGGGCTGCAGGTCTGCTCCTCCCTAGCTCCTCTTCCGAGGGTCCCCAGGGCCTCTGGGCCAGCGTCAGGGACCTCTCCACATAGCCCTGGCTCCGGGTTCCTGCAGCCACACCTTCCTCTCACCCCTCAGGCCTGTTCTCCGGGCTTCCCTGCTCCTGCCTCCCCTCTATAAACCGTCCCATGATTAAACACTGCCAGTTTCCCAGTGTGTGTGTGCCGTCTGTTTCCTGCCAGGGTCTGACGACTGCAGGTGCCTCGGCTGCGTGTCCACCAAGAAGCAGCATTGCAGCAGCTTCTCCAGCAGGCGATGCTCTGTGGAGGGGCCTCCAGGCGCAGGTGTGCAGGCTGGGTGTGGCCCAGCGATTCCCAGCGCAGCACAGCTATCCTAGACTTGTGTGTTTAATGGGATGGTCTTCTGGCACGTAGCACTGAGGTGTCTTGAAGGTGCTGTTTCCTTGCCGGCCTCAGGCATTTGTGAGTTGACTGTAGCCTTAGGGCTCAGCCTAGCCACGCTGAGCAGGGCCACATGCCTCCAGACTCAATGCCAAGACCTGCCCTCCTTCTGTCTCAGTGATGTGTCACTGCTGGCGCCGGGGCTCCCAGCTCCTCCTTGGGCAGGAGTGCCACCTCCACGTCTATGAGCAGGGTGGGGTGGCTCAGGTAAGGAGCAGGCATTGCTCACCTGGGGCCCTGGGCATCCTCCAGCCAGCACAGGCTGCTCAGGGGCAAACCCCCTTCCCAGGCACCAGGCTGGGACCTGCGGAGGGGAGAAAGGGACAGCCATGGAGAAGCTGGCTGGGATGGCAGCCTCTCCAGGGGAGGAAGGAAGGAGAGCAGAGCCCCAGATTTGCCACGTGGGGGCGGCAGCGGCTGGGGCTGGCCCCAGGCTTGCCGGGCAGACACCTGGGCGGTGCTTGGTGCCTGGTGCCCTCTAGTGGACACTCGGAGCACTCCCGCGCTCCCGACGGGAGCCAGACAGCAGCATCTGAAGAGTTAATAGGGGAGGGGCCCAGTGCCCCCCAGCTGGGACGTCTGTCTAGATGCACAGAACAGAGGAAAGGCTCCAAGGCCCAGGCCTCGGGGGAGCAGACACAGGACTCAGGGTCTGGCTCCTTACTCCAGAGGAGCCCCCCACTCCGCCAAGAGGTGCCCCTGGACCCCTCAGCCCTCATCCTCTTCCTGACCCACAGAGGGCTGGAGTGCACTCCCACTCCCTCCCAGAGCTGCCCCACTGCACTCTGGACTGGCTGAGCTGGAGAGGATGATCACGCGGGGCCTCCAGAGTCCCTACCACCAGGTCTGCGAGCTCATTTGCCTGGAGAACTCACACAGCATCTCGGGGGTCCGGATCCTCCCCATCAACTACCTACGCCAGGTAGGCCCAGCCCCACCACTGTGTGCCCCCCACCAGCCTGATCCTGGCTTCCTGTGCCCCTGGCCCATCCTGGGGTTCAGTCCCCTCTGATTTATGCCATGGGCACCCATCAGCGGCCAGACCTGTCACAGGAAGGACACATGTGTGGTCCTAGGCTGAGACACAAAGGGAATTATTACCCCAGGTCAGGGCCCCTAGTCCCTGCACCAGCCCAACAGCAGAGATGCCCCCACCCCCAAGTCCCCAGAGCTGAGTCCCAGAGCAGCACCAGGACCTGCTGCCCTGGCGCAGAAACGTGTGCCCCATGAGGCTGCAGGAACAAGCTCGTGTGAGTGCCCTCCACCTGGTCCTTGCCACCCACGTGCGAGGTGAGGAGGCCGCAGTGTCTGAGCTCTGCTGTTTACCAGACACTAGTTAGGCAGCAGCCTAACTCTCCAAGCCTTGCGTTCCTTGCCTGTGAAATGGGAGCAGCGGCGTCTCCCTCGAGTTGTTGTGCAGCCTAAATGAGGTGACACACATTTACCCTTGGCCCACGGTCGTTTGGCCCATGCTCAGTGTGCGACAAAGCTGGGTTAAATGTGCACCCCCAGATCCTCCCAGAGCCCAGCATGGAGGCTTAGGCAGCACAGCCTGACTGCTTGGGTCCCAGATCACCAGAGCCAGTCACCAGCCAGGTCTCCTGATCCCTCCTGATTCCTCAGGCAGCTAAGCCCAGGACCCTCCTCCCTCTATGCCTCCCTCAGGCCTGGCCCCTCTGACTCTGCCTGCACCTCACCCCCAGGTGCACCTCCTGGCCCAGACCTATGGGGCCTGGGTCCACCTGGACAGGGCCCAGCTGATGAACGTGGTGCTGGCCCTGCATGTCCCGCCCACCTACATTGTGGAGCACTGTGACTCTGTGTCTTTCTGCCTCTCCAAGGTGGGAAAGCCCTGGGCTGGCCTCCCACAGACAGGTGGGGTGGGGCGCCCCAGCAGGAGGCAGGGTTGGATTCCTGAGCTCCATCCCTGGCAGCTGGCCCCAGGTTCCCCTTTAACACCTCTGCAGATGGGGCTACGCATCTGTCCCCACCCTGGCCCAAGGACAGGGATGTGAGCTGGCAGGAGTCTCTCCTCTCCACCTCCCAGGGCCTGGGCGCCCCAGTGGGGTCCCTGGCTGGGAGGCCCAAGGACTTCATTGAAGAAGCCTGGCGCCTCCAAAAAGCCCTGGGTGGAAGCATGCACCAGGTGGGGATGCTGGCTGCGGTGGCCCTGGTGGGACTGGTTGACACAAAGCAGGCACTGTGGCAAGACCATGGGAACGCCCAGAGATTCACCCAAGGTGCCTGGACAGGACGCCCCACCCTCGCTTCCCTGTGCTTCCTCTGACTTGGCCTGAGCTGTGCCGTCGGGGGTCCCCCAGCAGGCCTGCAGGCTTCTGGATCCTGGGACTCAGGGTGGCCATTGAGTCACTAGGGCGGGACCCAGGGCACCAGCTGCTTCAGCAGACCCTACTCAGCGCAGAGTCCAGCCTGGGGAAGCCCTCGGTGGACGGCCAGGATTGTGATGCTCTGCAGAGTCTGGCAGAGCCTCTAACCTGGGTCTTCCATCTGCTCACTGAGTCCTCCAACAATCCCATGATGTCCCTACTTCACAATGAGGAAACAGAGGCCCAGAGAGGTCAATAGGTTTGTCTGAGATCACATAGCTAAACGCAGCAGAGCCCAGTCTGTGTGACTGCAAAGGCCAAGTCAGGACACAGGGCCCTTCCTTCTCCTACCGTGACCGAACTGCCCCCTGCCTCCCGGGTGACCTTGCTGGCAATGGGGTCAGGGTCAGGGCCTGGGGTCACCTCTGCTCACCTCAGGACCTGGCCCAGGACTCCAGGAGCTGGTGTTGTCCGTCTGCTCAGTTGATCCCACCTTCGTGGAGACGAACATGGTGGTGGTGAGCATGGCTGGGTTGCGGGCCGTGAGTGCTGATGAGCTGGCCCACACTGGCCACGTGGCGTGCGTGCCACTGTTCCTATGGACAGAGCAGTCCGTGCTTCCGTGTGGCACCGCGACGTCTCGGTGTAGGACACTGAACTGGTGCTGAGGAAGTGGGAGTTTGTGCTGAGGCCGTTGGAGTCCTGAGGACGGAGTGACCGGGACCCTGTGCCCGGGCTGGGGTGGAAGCAGGGAGTGGAGGTGTTCCCAGCAAGCAGGCAGCAGAGGAGGTGTTACCTGCTCCTGGGGCTCTTTGGTCCCCTTCACCCCCACAACACTCAGGGTTAGGACCTCCCCCATGCTTGTCAGCACACACTGAATTCCTCCAGTGTCTGGGACAGGGTGTAGGGACAGGAAGGACACCCTTCCAGCTCCCGTCACCAGAGCTCGGGAGGCAGCGGGGCAGGCCTTCGCTCTAGGTCAGAGAGGAGCCCTTTCTTCAGGGCCACGTGGCCAGTTACAGCTTCCTGAGTTCAGGAAGGGAAACGTCAGAAGGAAGCAGAAAGGGACATGGGAACTTGATGGTCAGGGCTTTAACTGCCGTGGTGAGGGATTTCCATTTTATCTTGTGGTCCTCTAATACGTATTTTCCTTTTTAGAAAATAAATTACTCAGGGCCGGGCATGGTGGCTCACGCCTGTAATCCCAGCACTTTGGGAGGCCGAGGTGGGTGGATCACTTGAGGTCAGGAGTTCGAGACCAGCCTGGCCAACATGGTGAAACCCCATCTCTACTAAAAATACAAAAATTAGCCAGGTGTGGTGGTGCGTACCCGTAGTCCCAGCTACTCGGGAGGCAGAGGTGAGAGAATCGCTTGAACTGGGGAGGTGGGGGTTGCAGTGAGCCGAGATTACGCCACTGCACTCCGGCCTGGGTAACAGAGCCAGACTCCGTCTCAAAAAAAAAAAAAAGGAAAAGAAATTACTCTGCTTAACAAAATAATATGTCTGTATTGTAGATGATGTGGGAGTAAATCTTACTTTTAGCAACTCTTAGGGTAGTTCAGGCAGACTCAGTCAAAAAAAAAAAAATGAAGCCAGGCGTGGTGGGGTGTGCATCTGTGGTCCCAGCTACGTGGGAGCCTGGGGTAGGAGGATCATTTAAGTCCAGGAGGTGGAGTCTGCAGTGAGCCGAGATCACACCACTGCATTCCAGCCTGGGCGACAGAGGGAGACCCTGTCTCAACAAATAAACAAACAAACAATCTGATAGTACTGAAGAGCCTGCAAGGCAGTCATGAATTGTGAGGTCAAGATCTGGGAGAAGAGGGAACCTAGAGAGGTGAGCCTGGCATTTGGGACACTTTTCCTCGACGCGTCTGCTCGGGAGCTGAGGAACTGAGCAGAACTTTTCACAGGCACACAGGGCTGAGGGCAGAAGCTGAAGTTCAAGGCCTGCTGAAAGACCCTGGTAAGAGTCCCTCAAGCAAGACTCTGTCTCAAAAAACAAACAAACAAACAAAAAAACCCTCAAGCTTTGGGTTGAGTCCCTGAGGGGCCACCCACTAGGAGTAAGGGCAATTGGAAGTAGACTGACCATCGTGAGAAGTGAAGCCAGCTGTGAAGCACTGTGATCCCTGATTACGGCAATCTGGGGTGGTGGGTGCCTCTGGCCTAGCTGCCTGCCAGAAGTAAAGATCCGTCTTCTCTGGAGGAAGGTGACGTCTCCCAGAGCCTCCAATTTCCTCTACAGTTATTCATGTGGGATGCCCCCACTCAATCAGAAATAACCAGGTATAGAATGGGACAAGATGTGATTGAAAATGAGAAAAAAATGGACAAAAGAGGCCAGGCGCAGTGGCTCATGCCTCTAATCCCAGCACTTTGGGAGGCAGAGGCGGGCAGATCACTTGAGGTCAGGAGTTTGAGACCAGCCTGGCCAACATGGTGAAACCCCATCTCTACTAAAAATCCAAAAAAAAATTTAGCTGGTCATAGTGGTGTGGGCCTGTAATCCCAGCTATTCGGGAGGCTGAGGCAAGCGAATCATTTGAACCCAGGAGGTGGAGGTTGCAGTGAGCCAAGATCACACTGTTGTACTCCAGCCTGTGTGACACAGCAAGACTCTGTCTCCAAAAAAAAAAAAAAAGAAACAGACCCTTAGGTGACCCAGATAACAAAGTGGCTTGTGCCTGTAGTCCCAGCTACCCAGGAGGCTGAGGTGGGAGGATCACTTGAGCCCAGGAGTTCAAGGCTGCAGTGAACCGTGATCATGCCACTGCACTCCAACCTGGGTGACAGAGCGAGACCCATCTCTAAAAAAATAAATAGCTTGAGTGTGGTGGCTCATGCCTACAATCCCAGCACTTTGGGAGGCCGAGGTGGGTGGATCACTTGAGATCAGGAGTTCGAGACCAGCCTAGCAAACATGGTGAAACTCCATCTCTACTAAAAATACAAAAATTAGCTGGGCATGGTGGCACACACCTGTAATCCCAGCTACTCTGGAGGCTGAGGCAGGAGAATCGCTTGAACCCGGGAGGCAGAGGTTGCAGTTAGCCAAGATTGCGCCACTGCACTCCAGCCTGGGTGACGGTGAGACTCCGTCTCAAAATAAATAAATAAATTAATTAATTAAATTAAATATTCTAGGCTGGGTGTGGTGGCTCATGCTTGTAATCCCAGCATTTTGGGAGTCCGAGGCAGGCAGATTGCTTGAACCCAGGAGTTTGAAACCAGCCTGGGCAACATGGTAAAACCCTGTTTCTACTTAAAAGTACAAAAATTAGCCAGATGTGGCACCTGTAGACCCAGCTACATGGGGGACTGAGGTGGGAGGATTGCTTGAGCCTCCCAGGAGGTGGAGGTTGCAGTGAGCTAAGATTGTGCCACTGCATTCCAGCCTGGGTGACACAGAGAGACCCCCATCTCAAAAAAATAAAAAATAAAATATTCAAGGAATTATAAGTCAAGATAAAAAAAATTTGGCAGGAATCTTGGAACTATAAGAAGGCCACATGGAAATTCTAGAACTGAAAAATATGATAACTTAAGAACTCAGTAGATAGGTTGAATAGTAGATGAGACACAGCTGGAGAGAGAATTAGTGAAGAGGGAGATAAATCAAGAGAAAATATCCAGATAAACAAAAGATAGTTCTTTGAAAAGAGTAATAAAATTGATAAACCTCTAATGAGACTGATCAAGAACAAGAGAAAGGAAGTATAAATAACTTGTGATAATGGCTGGGCACGGTGGCTCATGCCTATAATCCCAGCACTTTGGGAGGCCGAGGAGGGCAGATCACCTGAGGTCAGGAGTTCAAGACCAGCCTGACCAACATGGAGAAACTCTGTCTCTACTAAAAATGCAAAATTAGCCAGGCATGATGGCATGTGCCTGTAATCCCAGCTACTCAGGAGGCTGAGGCAGGAGAATCACTTGAACCCGGGAGGTGGAGGTTGCAGTGAGCTGAGATCGTGCCATTGCACTCCAGCCTGGGCAACAAGGGCAAAACTCCATCTCAAAAAATAAATAAATAAATAAATAAATAAATAAATAACTTGTGATAATATTAAAAAGAATAAAGAGGCTGGGCATGGTGGCTCATGCCTGTAATCCCAGCACTTTGGCAGGCTTAGGCAGGTGGATCACCTGAGGTCAGGAGTTTGAGACCAGCCTGGCCAATATAGCAAACCCCATCTCTACTAAAAATACAAAAAAGTATCCAGGCCTGGTGGTGCGTGCCTGTAATCCCAGCTACTCAGGGGGCTGAAGCAGAAGAAGTGCTTGAACCCAGGAGGCAGAGGTTGCAGTGAGCCGAGATCCCGCCACTGCACTTCAGCCTGGGCAAGAGAGTGAGACTCCATCTCAAAAAAAAAAAAAAAAAAAGAAGAAGAAGAAGAAAATAAAAATTACCTGTATTTTTATCATCTAAGAATAACTATTAATATTTTTGTCTATTTCATTCTGGATATGTATATATGTATATAAATCTCTGCGTGTGTGTGTGTGTGTGTGTGTGTGTGTGTGTGTGTGTGTGTGTATTAAAGAGGGGAGGTATACAGTCAGATCAGTGCTTTAGAAAGCCCTTAATAGGAATCCCAGAAGGAGGATTGTTTAGAATGGTAAAGTAGAGACTTTAGCTTAAGATTGTTAACTTTGAGACCCCAAGAAGAGGTGGTTAAGAAGCTGCCAGGAATGTAAGCACAGAGCTCAGGAGGGGGCCTGGACTAGAGGAAGAGCTATGAGAAACCACAGCATGGGCTGGGTGTGGTGGGTCATGCCTATAATCCCAGCACTTAGGGAGGCTGAGGTGGGTGGATCACCTGAGATCAGGAATTCAAGACCAGCCTGACCAACATGGAGAAACCCCATCTCTACTAAAAATACAAAATTAGCCGGGCGTGGTGGCACATACCTGTAATCCCAGCTACTCGGGAGGCTGAGGCAGGAGAATCACTTGAACCTGGGAGGCAGAGGTTGCAGTGACCTGAGATCACACCATTGCACTCCAGCCTGGGCACCAGAGAAGAGTGAAACTCCGTCTCAAGAAAGAAATGAAAGAAAGAAAAGGAAGGAAGGGAGGGAGGGAGGGGACGGTGGAAATCTTGGACTGCAGTGAGTGTAAGGGGAGAAGAGTCCACGTGGCAGGCAAAGGGGAGTTTCCCTCTGTCCCTCCATCTCTTAGAAGAATCCAGATCCATACTGTGGAAGATCCGTATACAGGAGTTCCCAGGGCCCCAGAACTGCTGTCCTGTGCTGGAGAAGGTGGTAACTCAGAGAATCAAAAGAAAGCCAGCAACTCGCATGCCTGTAATCCCAGCATTTTGGGAGGCCGAGGCAGGTGGATCACCTGAGGTCAGGAGTTCAAGACCAGCCTGGCCAACATGGAGAAACCCCCATCTGTACTAAAAGCACAAAAATCAGCAGGGCATGGTGGCAGGTGCCTGTAATCCCAGCTACTCAGGAGGCTGAGGCAGGAGAATCGCTTGAACCCGGGAAGCGGAGGTTGCGGTGAGCCGATATCACGCCATTGCACTCCAGCCTGGGTGACAAGAGCAAGACTCCGTCTCAAAAAAAAAAAAAAAAAGAAGGAAGCCAGTAACTCTAAGCCCCTGTAATTCCGTGTCTCCCTTACTGCCCTGTCTGGGGCAAGCACCAGCAAAAGTGCATTATATTGGTTATCCATTGCTGCATAACAAATGACCCCAAAACATACTGCCTTAAAGCAACAATCATTATTTCCCATAGCACTGTGGGTTAGGAATTGGAGAGTGAGCCGGGTGTGGTGGCTCACGCACACCTGTAGTCAATCCCAGCACTTTGGAACGCCGGGGCAGGTGGACTGCTTGAGCCCAGAAGTTTGAGACCAGCCTGGCCAACATGGTGCAACTCCGTCTCTACAAACACAAAAAGTAGCCAGGTGGCTGGATGTGGTGGCTCACGTCTGTAATCCCAGCACTTTAGGAGGCCGAGGCATGGGGTATCGCCTGAGGTCAGAAGTTGGAGATCAGCCTGGCCAACATGGTAAAACCCCATCTCTACTAAAAATACAAAAATCAGCCAGGCACGGTAGCACGCATCTGTAATCCCAGCTACTTGGGAGGCTGAGGCAGGAGAATCGCTTGAACTCGGGAGGCAGAGGTTGCAGTGAGCCAAGATCGCACCACTGCACTCCAGACTGGGCGACAGAGCAAAAACTCTGTCTCAAAAAAAACCAAAACCAAACAAACAAAAAAAGTAACCAGGCCTGGTGACTCACACCTGTGGTCCCAGCTACTCGAGAGGCTGAGGTGGGAGGATCACTTGAGCCCAGAAGGGCCATGCCTCAGTGAGCCGAGATGGAGCCACTGCTCTCCAGCCTAGGTGACAGAGTGAGACCCTGTCTCAAAAAAAAAGCGGGGGAGAGGCGGAATTTGGGAGTGGCTTACAGCTGGAAAGTTCTGGTTTGGAGTTTCTCACGAGGTTGCCGTCAAGACATCAGTGAGAACTGCATTATCTGAATAATCCTCTCGCAGGTGGTGTCCTCACACAGCTGACACGCTGCTGCTGCTGTTGGCGGAGGCCTCAGTCCTGTCCATGTGAGCATCTCCTCAGGGCTTCCTGAGTGTCTTCACAGTCTGATGACTTGCTTCCCCTAGGGTGAGCAGTCTGAGACCGAGGCAGAAGCTGCCTTTTTATGACCCCCTCACACGCTGGTACTTCCTACTTGACACCCAAGTCAGCGCTGACTCAGTGTGGTAAGGCCTACAGAGGCGTGAGCACCAGGAGATGAGGACAGATGGGGGCTCTCTTGCGGGCTGCCTACTGCATTTATAAATGCTGGTTGGGCATAGGGCCTGAGCTGATGAGAGGCCCCTGTCCTCACAGAGGTCAGGCCCCTGGCAGGGGCACCTACCAGGTGGTGCAGATAAACATGCCCGAGTGGGATGCCAGTGGGCCCAGGACCTGGCGGAGCTGGGCCATCCCTGGAGAAGGGGCTTTGCTGTGGCGAGAGGAGCAAGCGCCTTCGATGCTGGGGGAAGGGCCTCTGAGTCAGGGCTTGTTTCTGGCACGTGCACACGCTTGCTCACACACACACAGAACACCTCTGGATGGACAGACGTGCGCACAGCTGGTGACAGTGTTTACTCGCCTTTGTGCTATTTGTGGCACAAGGGCACGTGTTACCTATTTTGAAAAATTCTAAGAAAAAATTGAAGAAAGAGGCCCACGTGGGCCAGTGGATCCCACCGTGGGAACCACCATTGCAAGCGGTTTTGGTGCACAGGCTCTCTCCTCTTGCTGTAAACGACGCAGCACCATTTGAGCCTGATGTCATGTTGTCTATTCTGGGTGACCTTGAACCATGCACTGTCTCTTCCCTGGGAGGCACTCATCCGCCTCTTAATCACAGCTGCAAAGCCTGACACTCAGAGAACCATGAACACAGACAGAACCCTTGGGCCAATCACTGTGGAGACTAGCCAGAGAGTGAGGGAGTTAACTGGCCATTCAGAGGGTAAGGAACACTGACTGGCCAATCAGAGAGTGTGGGGCATCAACTGGCCAGAGTGGAGTCAACTAGCCAATCAGAGGGTGAGGGATGTGGCTGGCCAGTCAGAGTGAAGGAGTTGACTAGCCAATCAGAGCGTGAGGGAGTCCACTAACCAACCAGAGGGTGAGGGATGTGGCTGGCCAATGAGAGAGTGAAGAAGTTACCTGGCCTGGCTAAGTTCCACACGCCCCAGAACACGTGGAGGCAAGGTGGGCAGCTCTGTTCTGGAAGGGAAGGGTCAAGCAGCACACCCTCCCCACCACACACACTCTCCGGGAACGCTGGTGGTCCCAGCAGCCCCTCCCCGGTGTGTCTTCCCCAGTGTCCTATCCCCAGAGCCCAAGCACATCTGCCGTGAGAGGCCTGAAGTTAGGCTCACATCCCTGGCTTCCCAGCAAACCCCCAGGAGAAGCCTCATCAGCAGAAGTTGGGGGCCAGGAGGAGGAGAGGAAGAGTCCGCCACACCTTTCCTCCCAAGCTGAGAGGACATGCCCACGAAGCCAGCCCCCGTTTCCAAAACGGAGACCCAGGCCCCCCTCCCCACTCCCTGTGCTGATCTGGGAATAAGAAGTAGGCTTGTATGTCTACAGATGACTTCACAGTGGACACACACACACGTGCACACACGCTCTCAGAACACCTCTGGATGGACAGACAGACACGCGCACAGCTGGTGACAGTGTTTGCTCACGTTTGTACTGTTTATGACAGACAGGCATGTGTTACCTATTTTGAAAAGTTCTAAGAAAAATAAAAGGCTTATACTGCACACAGCACAAGTGATTTACTTAAGGACAAATTGGCACAATGGTCCCACATGGAATGGTAAACGTTCAAACACCAGGAGGAAGAGGAGGCCCTGCTCACCCCCCAGATTTGTCCTCACTGGGCCCCACCAAAACTGTGCCACCCCCTCAAGCCCCCAGGAGCTTCCTTAACCTTTGAATCAATAAAGAGACCTAGGGGTGGGGCAGGGTGGAGGAAGATCAAGCTACAAGAGGCTGCCACCTTCCCCAGCACACCTCTCAAGACCTCTCAAGACTCGGGAAGGGCCCCCAAACCCCAAACGGGGCCGTTTAGTGCTTCCACGTGTTGTACAGGCCCTGGGAACCCTTCTCCTGCAGCCACCTCAACTGTCCATCTGCATAACGGTGGGCGTGCCCCAGCCTTTGTGGCCCAAGGGGACTCAAGTGTGTGCTGGCCATCCCTCTTCTCACCTGTCTCACCCTGGGACCAGCAGTGGGCCTGCGGGCCTGGGCCTGCAAACTGAGCCCCTCCCAACCTGGGGTTCTGCCCTGTGTTTAACAAGCCTGCATCCCAAACTCCAGGCCCAGCCCTGCGCCACCCTAGGCAGCCCTGGCCCCTGTGGTCAAGAAGCACCCTCAGCCAGGCCCCCTTTGAGGCAGGCAAGGAGTGGCCCCAAACTCCTCCACCATGGCATGACACCCCCACCCCACCCTTCTGGGACTTCCATCTCTGCCAGCTCAGTGTGCCCACCAGGGCACTCACAGTGGCATACCTCCCCCGGGTTGCTGCAGAGAGGAAGGGTCGGGGGCCGGAAGCAGCAGCAGCCTGTGCCAGGACAAGGACAGAGATCTGGGTGCCTGCTCTTCCCGGAAGTGCTCAGTGAAAAGTACCTAGCAGGCTTGAGAACAAGGGAGGGGGCAGAGGGGTACATCTGGATCGCTCAGCTCCTTGCCCCCCACCCCTGCAAATCGGAGGGGCTCTCGGGCCCTCTCATCAGCCTCTTCTCCACCAAGCCTGCCCTTCGGGGAGAGTGGACAGAACAGAGGCCAGGGAGGCCTTGGCCTGAGACGGCATCTCTCTGGCGCCAGGCGATCTGGGTGGGTCCCTCTGCCGCTCTGGGCCTCAGTCTCCCCCTCTGTAAAATGGATAAAGGGTAGTCATTGAGTAGGGCCATTGCGGGGCTGGAGAGGAGCATGGAGCCCAGTCCTGCGGCATTTAACAGGCACCTACTTTTCTCCCAGGTCCTTAGGAATGGGGGCAGCAGTGACTCACTAGCCTGCTGGGGGAGGGGCGAGTTCAGGCCACACCCTTGAGAGGTGCCCCCACCCAACTCTGCCACTCAGCCTGTGTCACCTGGGCCACTTACTTCCTCTTTCTGGACTGGCTCTTCTCATCTCTAAGAGGCGGTTGAACCAATTAGTCCCTAACAAGCCTGCCGGGGCAGGGGAGCCTCCCCAAATATCTACAGAGAAACATGAGGAGCTGGATTCTTGGCTCTGCCCTCCACCCCTTGTCACCCCCAGCCCCTTCCTGGCCAGGACCCCAGCGAGGCCCAGAGAAGGGATTCCCAGACTCTCAAGGGGCCCTGGCCCTGACCGCCCAATCCCGGGAGGTGCAAAGGGAAACCCAGCCCCCTCTTACCTCCCTCCCACCTGCTGGGGACTCAGATGACCACAGATTGGGGGGCTCAGGCTGAGGGTCCAGGCAGCTGAGAGCAGGAGGGTTCCGCTGAATGCCTCCAAGGCACAGGAGCCCCAGGCCAGGGCCATGGACCAGCCGAAGCTGACGCGGACGCCCTGCATGTGCTGCGGGCCATACTGCTGCACCGTCTCCGCAAAGGCCAGGTGCGAGTAGCTGATGTAGATGCTGACCCCCGCCAGTGTCAGGACACCTGGGGGAGAGATGGGGAGGGCAGCTGCTCGGTGTCTGCTCTAGCGGGCCCAGGCCCAGGTGGTCCTGCAGACATGGCCTCAGCATCCCCGGCCCCGCTAGCATTCAGGCAGAGCTGCAGGCAGCACACCGCCCTTCCTGTCATGGTTAGCCCTGCCTGGCTGTCAACCTGGCCGCCTCTCCCAGACACCACCTCCTGCTTGGGGTTGGACAGGGCTAAAGGTAGTCAACTGCATTTGGCGGAGTGGAGCTTTAAGAGGCTCCAATTCAGTCCTCAAACCTCAGAGACCTCATCCCATAAAGCCTCCTGCAAACAGTGCCACCTGCCCCTCAACATGGTTCCCACTCACATAACTGCCCCCCACACACTCTGTACCCTCCATGGCCCCCAGCACACACATGCACATGCACACCTACACGAACACATTTGCACACATTCACACACACACACACACACACACACACACACACACAGAGCCATGGCCTCTGCTGGCAGCAGCGTTGCCCAGTGCTCTGATCAGAGTGAGTCCCTGCCCTGCACCCCCGCCTCCTCTTCCTCACACCTTTGCCCTCCCTACCTCCGGGGCTAACATCCCCCTCCCTCTGACTCCCCTTCCAGAGCCCCCCTGTCCTCCCAGCTCTGAGTTTCAGGCCCTTCCCCAGGGGAGGATGCCTGCCCTGGGCCCTCCTCTCTCCTCCCTCCCGCTCTCCACATGGTCAAAGCTGTTGTCAAAGGAATGAAGCTGGGCTTTGCACAGGGTGGCGGGCACCAGGCTTCATCCGGCAGTTCAGGGTCCAGCAACGAGCTAGGTAGGGGACTCGGCCCATGCCTCCAGGGCATTTTCCTGTCCACTGAGCTTGGAGGAACCAGCCCGGAGTGCCACCCCCTTCCCACAGCTTCAGGCTGATGAGAAAGCCTGTCCTTGGCGCCGACTG
Source organism: Homo sapiens (assembly GCF_000001405.40). NCBI lineage: Eukaryota > Metazoa > Chordata > Mammalia > Primates > Hominidae > Homo > Homo sapiens. Next base: position 78,238,088 of record NC_000017.11, on the reverse strand, counting down.
TAGGGAATGTTAGCCAGGGGGGCAGGTGGCCCTGATTTCCCCACAGGCACTTCCTGGGTGCACAGGGTCCCCTCTGGGCACTGCCCAGCCAAAAGAAGGCAACTGACCCAAGCTGACATTCAGGGCCAGGTCTGGATCTCACTGGTGCCCAGTGAAGGGGCACAACACAGCCTGGTCTTCTGTGATTCCTCCTGGGAACCAAACTTGGGAAGAAGAGTGGGACAGAGAGTGGGGAGAAGAAGGCATGGGGAGGCTGAGGGAGGGAGGACACACGGATGCCTGCCCGGCTGGGCAGCGTAGCAACAGAAATTATGGATTTATTTTGGGGAAGAATGTGAAGCCAAATTGAATGAAGCGGTCCCTGGGAGAAGCAGGGGTGGGGGTCAGCCCCCAGCAGCGGGGGCTGACCGTGCGGCAGGAGGTGCCTGTCTCTGCCTGTCTCTGCCTGTAGCACTGGCTGCAGCTGCAGCCCAAGGCCCCACTTCCTGGCAGGCCGCCCCACCAGCTGAGCCCTCTCCAAACACCAGCTGCCTCCTGTAGCCTGGCCGAGGACACGGCCTTTCTCCCAAAATGAAGGTGAAGAGTAAGCTCCCAAACTGGGACCTGAAGTACCTCCCAAATCCCTGGTGATGGGGCCCAGGCTCAGCTCCTGGCAGACCTCCTAAAGGAGGCCTCTGCGGCTGGCACCTGCAACCTCAAGCTGGGAAACTCTAAAGGACTCTGTCACCGTGGGCCCTGTCGGTCCCCCAGGCCCCCCAAGATCCTGTCTCAGGGAAGGGCACCCAATCGATCTGGGGCCCTCTATCTCCCTCCCCCTCCTTGCAGTGCTAGTGAGGGGTGAGGGCCGAGCTGACCCTGGGCAGGTGCCTTTGGTGTGACATCCTGAGAGCCCTCTGTGCTTCGGCCCACAGCTGACCCTCATACTAGGATGGAGGCCCCCTCTGCCTGGGGAGGCTGGAGTCGCAGTGGAACCCCCACCCATCCACCAGCTACCTCCGGCCCCTCCACCCCCTAGCCGGTGCCTTCGCTCCCAGGCACAATGCAGAGGGTCCGTGTCCCTGTAAGTTCTTCTGGTTACAATCCCAACCCAATTACACTCTAGTCGCTGGCTCCCGAAGGTCCTCTTAATTGGATTTTGAACACTCACAGATGGGCCGCAGGGTCAGGTCATTTGGATTCTTCCTGATTTCATTGTCTAGAGGAGACCTTGACTTCACTGTTGTTCTCATGTGGCCTGTGACCAATACCAAGGCTGCTGGTTTCCCCAATCTCTGCACCCAGTCGGGCCTCCTCAGTGACAGAGGCCTCCCAGAGAAACAGGGAGGGTGCCCCCAGCCCTGGATGGTCTGCTCCTTGTGGCCACAGCCTTGACAGTGGAGCTGGCCTGAGACATCAGGGCCTGGCTCGGGCCTAGCCTTGATTGACAGGGGCGGCTGAGGACAGACTGTCAGGAGCCCCTAGTCCACCTTCCGCAACAGCCAGTGCTGGGCAGTCGGTGGAAACTGAGGAGACAGCACCAGTGGGGGTGAAGGGGAGCCCAGGCCCTCGGCCCTCTCCAGGCCTCAGATTTCTCACCTGCAGCTGGGACTGGGGGGCCCTCGGAGGAGCCTTCGGAGGAGCACTTGGCCAGCACTCGGCATGTAGTCAGAGCTGGAGCCGCGTCAGTGGATGGGTGGTTACCGGTTACAGTCTCAGCCTGTGCTGGGGTCAGAGCTGAGGCCTCTGGTGCCCTGTCTCACCTGCCTTCATGCCTGGCCCTGCCTCATCTGTGCCAAACCCCGGAACCCTTGCTCCTCCCACCAGGACAGTACAGGAAGGAGAAGGGTGTGGTGAGGGGCTGGCCCCAGGCCCCCCCGCATGATCTGACCCAGTAGAGCAGGTCCTGGGGTTGCCCTGGAGGCCCTCATGCCCCCCGCACCAAGAAGCTTGGACCCCGGTGCTCCTCCCTGTCCCAGGCTCTGACCCACAACCAGAAGCCCTGCTCCTATCACGGTGCTAGGGTTTGGTGTCCCGGCCCGAATCGCATGTGGAATGATAATCCCCAGTGTTGGAGGGGGCGCCTGGTGGGAGATGACTGGATCATGGCAGTGGCTTCCCATGAATGGGTTAGCACCATTTCCCTTGGTGCTGTTCTCTGGATAGTGAGTGAGTTCTGAGATCTGGTTGTTTAAAAGTATGTAGCACCCAGGGCTGGGCATGGTGGCTCATGCCTGTAATCACAGCACTTTGGGAGGCCGAGGCAGGAGGATCACAAGGTCAGAAGATTGAGACCATCCTGGCTAACATGGTGAAACCCCATCTCTACTAAAAATACAAAAAAATTAGCCGGGCGTGGTGGCAGGTGCCTGTAGTCCCAGCTGCTCAGGAGGCTGAGGCAAGAGAATGGCATGAACCTGGGAGGCAGAGCTTGCAGTGAGCGAAGATTGCGCCACTGCACTCCAGCCTAGGAGACAGAGCGAGACTCCGTCTCAAAAAAAAAAAAAAAAAAACTATGTAGCACCCAGCTGGGAACGGTGCCTCACACCTATAATCCCAGCACTTAGGGAGGCTGAGGCAGGTGGATTACCTGAGGTCAGGAGTTCAAGACCAGCCTCACCAGCATGGAGAGACCCCGTCTCTACCAAAAATACAAAATTAGCTGGGTGTGGTGGCGCATGCCTGTAATCCCAGCTACTCAGGAGGCTGAGGCAGGAGAATTGCTCGAACCCAGGATGCGGAGGTTGCAGTGAGTCGAGATCATGCGATTGCACTCCAGCCTGGGCAACAAGAGCGAAACTCCATCTCAAAAAAAAAAAAAAGTGTGTAACACCTCCCTACTCTCTTCCTCCTGTCCCAGCCATGTGAAATGCTGGCTCCCTGCCTTGGCCTTCCGCCTGTGATTGTCATTTTCCTGAGGCCTCCCCAGAAGCCAAGCATCATGCTTCCTCTACAGCATGCAGAACCATGAGCCAATTAAACCTCTTTTCTTTATAAGCCCAGCTAATTTTTGTGTTTTTAGTAAAGATGGGGTTTTACCATGTTGGTCAGGCTGGTCTTGAACTCCTGACCTCAGATGATCCACCCACCTCAGCCTCCCAAAGTGCTGGGATCACAGGCATGAGCCACTGCTCCCGGCCTAAACCTCTTTTCTTTATAAATTACGCAGTCTCAGGCATTTCTTTATAGCAACGTGAGAACAAATATACATGGGTACCTTCTGGAACCACAGGGAGCTGCCTGCCACGGCTCCATCGCCAGACTCAGCACCCGCCCAGAAGGGAGCAGGGGACGAGGGCAACAGGAGAGGCAGCACCCCACTCCCGGGACCTGTGGCCCAGCTCCCATCTTTGGAGCCATTCCCCCAGGGCCCCAGACTCACTCCCCAGCAGGAAGTAGCAGCCGGTGAAAAGCAGCAGAGACACGCTCTGGGCCAGGGAGCTGAGCAGGCCGCAGATCCAGCCACACACGAGAAGGACCAGGCTCAGGGGCAGGACCACAATGACTGCACGGTGCAGCACTGCAGGAAAGGGGGCTCAGGTGAGAATTCTGGTCCAGGTGGGCCCTTCAGCACTTGTCTGCCGGAGGACAGTGACGTGGTGCTTCGTCTTCTCAGGAAAAGCGGCTGACGCCCATCTCTGTGGACACCACTGGACCCTCCCAGTGGCCCCCTCTGACTCTGGCAGGGGCTTCCTAAGGCCAGGAGGGGAGGCGTCCCCAGAACACTCCCAGCCCCCATCCCCAGGCCTCACATGTCCCCCAACCCGCCAGGTGGAAGGTGCCAGCCAGGTAGACAGCAGGCCATCTGGAAGAATCGAGTCCTAAATGGGGAGCCAGGAGTCTGCAAGGCCCGCAGGATCCAGCCAAGCTGGGAGCTGCCTGGCTTCCCCAATAACAAAGGGATGAGCCATCACCACTGAGAGGGAAACTGAGACAGGGGAAAACAGGATAGGCTGGGAGCTGGGCACCTGTGGTTAGGGACAGCAGCACAGCACTGGGACAGGTCTGCGTGGAAACGTCCTCTTGGAAACGCAGGGGCAGTGGAAGCAGTGCTGCGGGATGGGGATGGGGATGGCTGGGATCTGCCTTGCCTGAATATTTGGAAAGGATGGGGAGGTGGCCCCACCCAGGACTCACAGATGAGGTGCTGCACCGAGGTGGAGACGTCCAGGCTCTCACTGGCAAAAGGGTCGACCAGCGGGATGCAGCCGTTCTGCCCTGGGAAACATAGGCCTCGAAGCCTGGGGCCTGGACGCTGTGGTGCACCCAGCAGCCTACCCGAGCCCAGGGGACCCCCTGGCACCACAGGGCCCTGCCAGCTTCTCTTCTGCTGAAACTCAGGGCTGGGACTCCAAGTGGGATGAAAAGGCCCAAGACCTTTAGCCTTGTTTATTTTCTTTTTCTTTTTTTTTTTTTTGAGATGGAGTCTCGCTCTGTCACCCCAGGCTGGAGTGCAGTGGCGCGATCTCGGTTCACTGCAAGCTCCGCCTCCCGGTTTCGCGCCATTCTCCTGCCTCAGCCTCCCAAGTAGCTGGGACTACAGGCACCCGCCACCGTGCCCGGCTAATTTTTTGTATTTTTAGTAGAGACGGGGTTTCACTGTGGTCTCGATCTCCTGACCTCGTGATCCACCCGCCTCGGCCTCCCAAAGTGCTGGGATTACAGGCGTGGGCCACCGGGCCCAGCCTTCACCTTGTTTATTTTCACGTGCAAGTTATGCCTGCACAGGTGCATGTTTAAACTTTCAAACGCTCCATGGAGGCCCCCTCAGAGTCCCTCAGGCAGGGGTCCTTGTAATGCGTTTGTGTGTGGAACTCAGGCTTTGCCTGAAAGGAAAAAGGGTGTACAAAACGGGCTCCTGGGAAGCCTCGCTCTGGAATCTTCCTGACTCGTGTCATGTGGGCATACATACTCTCTGGTTCTCACACGCGTGCAGAGCCACCTGCATAGGCACAGGCGTGTGCACACGTGCACACAGGTGCATGTCAGGAGGTCTTTGGAGCACAGTTAGGCAGTCTGTTGGATGAACACAAGGCTCCTAACTCCTCCCCAGTTGCACTGAGGAAGCCACCAGCACATGTGCACCACCCACACATGCACTCACTCATATACATGCCCACACACTCTCACATGCACACACATGCACACTGACATGCTCACACACTCATATTCACATGCACACACAACTACATACACTCACACTCACATATTCATATTTACATACACAGCCAGGTGCTCACACATGTTCATGTTCAGCACATGCACACATATTCAGATGCACACACATGCTCACTCACACACACACCCCTGCCCTGCCAGCCCTCGCGCTGTGAAGGGGAAGCTCCCCAGGCTGGCCCCAGCTCCGGAGGAGGGAGCTGGGGGGAACGGAGGGGGCCCTGTGGACCCTCCAGCCTGCTGGGATCCCCTTCTCTCTCCCCGGACTCTGAAGCCTCTGTACACATTTGGAACCCCTGCCCCCGCGGCATCAGGAGGTGTGGGGTGAACAGCTCTGACAGTGCCTGACAGGGACGGGGACAAGGGGCTGCCAGGCCCAAACCCCGGGGAGCGTGATCAAGAAACAACCCCTGGTGACTTGGATGAGGCCCCCCAACTACACACCTCTAGGCTTCCCTCCCCCACTGTCGCCCCACAGCCCCCTCCTCCGGCTGTGAGGGGCCCCGAACTGGGCTCCCTCCCTCCTGTAGCCCTTGGGCTGTCAGTTTTGGGGGAAGACGGAGGGTGATGGGGAGGGAGCGGAGAGACACCCTGGGGCAGAGCGGGATGCAAGAGAGGGGTCCTGGAAGGGGGTCTGGCGGGGCAACACGAGCAGGGCGGGGTTAAGGGGGTGTCGGAGGGACGAGGTCGCGGAGGGAGGAGGGCCGGCGCGGTGGCCGGTTACCTTCGCAGATGCGCCAGAGCCCCGAGTGCGAGGAGAGCAGCTCTGCGCGCCCGGGCCAGGCGCTGCCATTGCCGGCGTCCGCCACCTCCAGGATGTACCAGTAGTCGCTGGCGACCGCGGCGGCCAGGAGCGCGAAGCTGAGCAGTGCACCCAGGGCGGCGGCCAGGAGCAGCGCGCCCAGCCGGGCCATGGGGGCGGCCGGCGGGAGGGGACGGGTCGGGGGTAGCAGGGCCCCGGGGGCGGCGGGGGGCGCGCGGAGCCGGGAGCCGGGGGACGGGGGGCGGGCGGGCGCGGCGGCGCCCGGCTCTTCTGAGCACGTCCCCGCTCCTGCCCGCGCACTGGCCTCGCGGGCCCCCTGGGGTCGCAGGGAGATCGACCCCACCTCTCTGCGGTCGCTGAGCTCGCCCCTGGGGGAAAGGAGAGGAAGTCGAGAGCCGCGCGGCGAACCTGGGGCTTGGGCTCCAATCCCAGCGTCCCCACGGGCTGGCCCCGGGTCCCTGGGCACGTTCCTTAATTTCCCTGAACCCCCGGCTCCTCAGCAGCCAAACAAGATGCACCTGCCTGGCCGGGCTGTGCAGGGCTTGAGAGGAGGAGGGAGGATCGGCCAGAGACCGACCCCAGGAGGATGGCCGGCCAGGCAGCAGGACCACCCACCCGTGCTCCTGGAAGCATAGGAGCCTGGCACGGGCTGGCCCTGGGGTCCTGGTCTGTATCAGTCCTGAGGACCAACCAGACGGCATCCGGTGAAGTGCAGTGGCTGGGCCCCACAGCCGGGCGGGGGGCTGCGGAAGGAAAAAACCTTGTTTTGGATTCACTCATAATTACAAATGCCCCCTCCAGCAAGGCCGGCCTCTGCCTGTCCAGTCACTCACGGAGAAAACAGGCAGAAAGAACCTTCTAGGACAGGCGTGGGGTGCCAGTGGGGGTGGGAGGCAGAGGAGCCGGCGAGAGGCCCCCACCCATCCACCCAGGACTAGCCCCATGAGCAACGCCCGCGTGGGCAGCCACACAGGCGGAAGGGACAGGCTGGGCAGCCATCGCCTAAGGTCTGGGGTTAAATCTCAAACGAAGGGGAGGCTTCCTCTGGGTTGCCACACAGGGCTGGGCAGAGCCTGCAGAGAGGGGATCAGAGGTCTGAGGACATCCTCCCGGATGGTGGCCCTTGGAGGTGAAGCCAAGGCTCTCTTCTTGGGGCGTTTTGGCCATGCTTTCCTCTGCTAGGCTCTTGTTGGTTTGAGGAATATAGTCAGGAAGGAAAAACCAGCCTAGCAGTTATTGAAACAATATTTCAAACAGAGTTCAGACAGAGTGACAGAATGGCTCAGGTATTTTGTAGCCGTCCTCACACCTGCAGCACCAGACTGTGTTGCCGCACGTGGGCAGCTCTGGGGTTTTCCAGCCCCCTTGGAGCTGGGGCTTCCCTGACCACAGCCCCTCTCTGGGAGCCATGTGGCATCCAGCAGCCCTGTTCTCTAGGGGTGGGGATAGCACATTAGATCTGGAAGGTGAAAGAACTCAACAGGTGCTCAGAGAGTAGCAGCCGTTATAAAGGCAGAGGCGATAGGGATAGGGGGTGGGGCCTCGTTCCCCCCCTAAACACACTGCAGCTGGGGAAAGAACGGTGCGTGATGAAAACTCGTGGTACTCTGACACTGACCCCACAATAAAGCAATATAACAAGAATCAATATTGCTTCGGTTGGATCAACACCTTTGTGCATGTGAAAGGTACGAACTGACTCTGCAGGGAGAACAGAGGAGCCCCATTTGGGCTGCGTGCTCCATGTGTGTCCTCCCGGTGACTTCCCCTTCTCTCTCTCACTCTATTTATTTTTTTAGAGACAAGGTCTCCCTATGTTGCCCAGGCTGGACTCAAACTCCAGGGTTCAAGTGATCCTCCTGCCTGGGCTTCCCAAAGTGCTGGGATTACAGGTGTGAGCCACCAAGCCCAGCCTCTCCTTTCTTTTTTTTTTTTTTTTTTTTTCAGAGACAGGGAGGGCAGGGGTCTCCCTATGTTGCCCAGGCTGGTCTCGAACTCCTGGGTTCAAGTGATCCTCCTGCCTCGGCTTCCCAAAGTGCTGGGATTATAGGCGTGAGCCACTGTGCCCAGCTTCCCCTTCTCTTGAGCTGAGAGCTGGTTTGAGATCTGTTATTGCACCCACATAAAGCTTACGTAGGGCCAGATATGGTGGCTTGTGCCTGTGGTCTCAGCTACCTGGGAGGCCAAGGTGGGAGGATTGCTTGAACCCAGGCAGGAGGTTGAGGCTGCAGTGAGCTGTGGCTGTGATCAACAGAGTGAGACCCTGTCTTAAAAAACAAAAAAAGGCCAGGTGCAGTGGCTCACGCCTGTAATCTCAGCACTTTGGGAGGCCGAGGTGGGAGGATCACTTGAGGTCAGGAGTTCCAGACCAGCCTGGCCAACATGGCAAAACCCTGTCTCTACTAAAAATACAAAAATTAGCTGGGAGTGGTGGCTCATGCCTGTTATCCCAGCTACTCAGGAGCCTGAGGCAGAAGAATCACTTGAACCCGGGAGGCAGAGGTTGCAGTGAACTGAGATCACACCACTGCACTCCAGCCTGGGCAACAGAGCAAGACTCCATCTCAAAAAAAAAAAAAATGCTTAACGCCACTGTTATCTAGGAGGAGGTTTTGGCCAGGTGCAGTGGCTCACGCCTGTAATCCCAGCACTTTGGGAGGCTGAGACGGGTGGATCATGAGGTCAGGAGTTCGAGACCAGCCTGGCCAATATACTGAAACCCCGTCTCTACTAAAAATACAAAAATTAGCTGGGCCTGGTGGCGTGTGCCTGTAGTCCCAGCTACTCGGGAGGCTGAGGCAGAAGAATTGCTTGAACCTGGGAGGTGGAGGTTGCAGTGAGCCGAGATCGCATCACTGCACTCCAGCCTGGGCAACAGAGCAACACTCTATCTCAAAAAAAAAAAAAAATGCTTAACGCCGCTGTTATCTAGAAGGAGGTTTCAGCGGGGTGCAGTGGCTCACGCCTGTAATCCCGGCACTTTGGGAGGCCGAGGCAGGCAGATCACGAGGTCAGGAGATCGAGACCATCCTGGCTAACACGGTGAAACCCTGTCTCTACTAAAAATACAAAAATTAGCCAGGCATGGTGGCACGCGCCTGTAGTCCCAGCTACTCAGGAGGCTGAGGGAGGAGAATTGCATGAACCCAGGAGGCGGAGGTTGCAGTGAGCCAAGATATCGCCACTGCACTCCAGCCTGGGCGACAGAGCAAGACTCCGTCTCAAAAAAAAAAAAAAAGAAGGAGGTTTCAGCATCACGGAGCCGCGTCTCTGTAGAATGGACACGTGTTTCACTCATGCTGCAGCGCTAGGAGACAGCCACCTTAGCAATCCACACCCCATCTGCATGAGAAAGCCTGGGTTCAGTGTTCCCAACTCTAGATGTGCAGCTGGAACCACTGATTAAATTGTCCCGTAGGCAGCAGGCACCAGTCTTCGAGGGGCTACTTTGATGAATTCTGCTAGTATATTTCCCTTGAAATGGACCCAAATTATACCCTAGCTCAGTATGAAAAGGCACTACTTTAGAACAACACATTATTTTTCATTATTCATCGTTCTTTCATCAACTTGGAACTCCAAGCCTGTCTCTAAGCTGTCAGGCCCTCTTCCAAGCCAGCATCAGACCCCTATCACTGAAATCAGTGCAGAATGGGCTTTTGATGGACGAAACTCTAGTTATAAGTGACAAAAAACAATGTGGCTTCCAAGCCTCTTCTTTTTTTTTTTTTCCCCAGAGATGAGGTCTTGCTCTGTCACCCAGGCTAGAGTGGTGCAGTGGTGTGATCACGGCTCACTGCAGCCTCAACTTCCTATGTGCGAGTGTTCCTCCCACCTCAGCCTCCAGAGTAGCTGGGACCACAGGCATGTCACACCATTCCCGGGTAATTTTTTAAATTATTATTTTGGTAGAGACAGGGTCTTGCTTTGTTACCCAGGCTGGTCTCAAACTCCTGGCCTCAAGTAATATTCCCACCCTGCCTCTCTTATTTTTATTTTATTTATTGATCTTTTTTTTTTAGAGTCTCGTTCTGTTGCCCAGGCTGGAGTGCAGTGGCATGATCCTGACTCATTGCAACCTCTGCCTTCCGGGTTCAAGCAATTCTCCTGCCTCAGCCTCCTGAGTAGCTGGGACTACAGGCACCCAGCACTATGCCCAGCTAATTTTTTTGTATTTTTAGTGGAGGCTGGGTTTCGCCATGTTGGTCAGGCTGATCTTGAACTCCTAACCTCAAATGATCACCCACCTCGGCTTCCCAAAGTGCTGGGATTACAGGCATGAGCCACCGCAACTGGCCCTGCCTCTCTTCTTTTAAACCCATATGTAACTACCTGGATCCAGTGGCTGGAGGACCAGCAGGCCTGGCCCTTGTGATGCCAGTGGGCACAGCCCTCTGCGCCAGGCTGATGACACCATCTGCCACCTCCACTACAGGGCTGGGGAAGCAGCTGGAGCCGTGGCTGAGTCACTGTCGGAGCAGCTGAGCGTCGCGTATGCTACAACTGATTTCACAGCATTTGACAAACGTCCCCCCACAGAAAATGAACCTCACTGAGTTTCCCTGTCCAACAAGTCAATTCATTAACTCAGGGCATTAGGACACTAATCCCCCCTGGGAGACTCAAAGCCACTGTTCGAGTCAAACCCCCACATTCTAAGGGCTCTTTCATGGTTGGGGCCATGGGTTAGAACCAGGCACCTTTTCATTTTTCGTGGACAGTGGTATTGTTTGTGAGATGTGGCCATGATTGGGAGGCAGCCAAAGAGCTGGGAGCTCTCCTCCCCAAGCACAACTCCCAGGCCTGTGAGGGGCTCAGCACGGTGACCCAGCCTTCCCCAGCACCTGCCCAGCGAGCCTGGCGGCCCAACAGGGTTCCATTCTCAGGGAGGCAGGCAGGCGCCTCCGAGGCCACAAGGGGTTTCTAAGGGACAAGCTTCTTCGGCAGCCGTGCCTTGGGCACTGCAGCACCTGCCCAGCATCCTGGATGGTGGCTGGAAATGATATCCTGGAGAAACAACTTCCTCAAAGGGAAATGAGTTCGTGTTTTCTAGAGTGAAAGTTCCTCCCCGGACAAAGCTGAGACCTGCACTGGCTTTGAGTGACTAAATGTCTTTCTGGGAGGCTTTGACTCACTGGGTAACGTGGAATGGGCAGTGCCCTAGGCTGCAAGGCTTCTCCGACATCATCCCGGAACCAGCCTTTGCTTCCTTCCTCACATCGCAGAGCGCACCTGCAGTGCCCGTTCCGTTCCCTCCGACCTGTGCATCCTCCCCTTCCCTTCCTGGTCCCGCTGGCAGCCTGCCACCTGTGCCAGGACAAACAGCTGCACAGGGATGCCCTTTCCTGTTGCCATCCAGGGCAGAGCTCACCGTCTTCTCGGTACTCCTGCAGACACCAGCCACACATGTGCAGACGTGCATGGCTATTTGCTGACCTGTCTTCCCACCGTTCAGAAAACAAAAACCCGGGGAGCTCACTGCAAGAGTTGTTCCTGGGCTTCAATTCCTGGATCTGGCACCTGGCGCACAGTAGGTGCACAAGCAAATACCTGAGTGAATGAATGGATGTCTCCTCTTTGGGGATCACGTGGAAACCCCAGAAGTCAAGGCCCCAGTTTGGTCCCATCCAGCTGAAAACAGGTGTAAATAATGTAGGCTAAGCCCAGCGGAGAGAAAATCTGCAGCTTAGTTAGTCCTTTGCTTTGTTGAGCTAGATTCAGCTGAGTCAGGAAATCCTTCGTGATGGCAAGACGGGCTTGGGGCAAGCTGGGCCGCACAACTCACCCTCTCAACACAGACCTTGGATGTTGAAAGTGAATACAGTGCACTGTCCTCACAACGGGGAAAAGGAGGAGAACGGTATGCGGGATCCCCTGTACTAGCCTTACAACTTCCTGTGAATTTTCATTTCAAAATAAAAGGTTACAATGTACAGAGAGGATCTATGAAAGCCTTGGGGAGGCAGGTGTCAGCTCCATATGACAGCCTTTCTGACAAAGCTGTCTGAAAATGGAATGGGGTGCTTTAAAGACAGCCCTCACTCCCTAGAATCAGACAGCCGACCATAGCCACCCTCCCAAGCTGACAGTGTCCTTCAGCAGTGAGGGCCCAGCTCTGGAGCCAGATTGCCTGGGTTCAAATCCCAGCTCTAAAAGTTACTTATTCGACTATCCTGGACAAGTTATTTCATTTCTACAAGTCTTCATTTCTGCATTAAAAAATGGTAGCTAGGTCAGGCCCAGTGGCTCACGCCTATAATACCAACAAGTCGGACGCTGAAGCAGGATGATCACTTGAGCCCAGGAGTTTGAGACCAGCCTGGGCAACAAAGTGAGATTCCATCTAAACAAAAAAAAAAATTTTTCAATTAGCCGGGTGTGATGGCGTGCGCCTGTAGTCCCAGCTACTTGGGAGGCTAAAGTGGGAGGTTCACTTGAACGCAAGAATTTGAGGTTGCGGTGAGCTGTGGTCATTCCACTGCACTCCAGCCTGGGAGGGCAAGGCCTTGTCTCAAAAAAAAAGAAAAAGAAAAAAAAAGTAGATAAAACCACATGAGACTTTATTGGCAATTGTGAGTTACTCTTTCCACATGGCGACAGCCTGCAATGGGGGCTCCAGTTTGGCTTGCTGGTCTCTTCTGGGCAGCGGGCACTGCTGTCTCTACTTTCCAGGATGGCAGTTGGCCCGAGGGGCTCTAACCTGCCATTGGAACCTCACCCATAGCCCAGAAGCCTCATTCACAACCCTTCCCAGACTCCACTCCAACTTAGAGAACCTGAAAAATGGACATGTGGACATGTATCTGAAAGAAAGTCTAGGCGGTTGCACTTAGACAAGGGCCTACGGCTTTATTAACAGATGTCGAGGAAGCTTTCAGGTGCTGGTAGCCATGAGGGTCTGGTTTTAAGGATGGCCTTTAAGGAAAGGCCGTGGCAGGCGGGCTGAGAGGGGCGGCTCCAGCTCAGCCCTGCCCACAGCACAGGCTCACAGAAGCCGAGATCCACATCACCGCCTGGCATGCAAAGGAGTTGAAGACAAAACCATTTTTTTCCAGCTTCTCTACAAAGCCAATTACTAAGCAACAGTTATTAAAGTGAAGTATCCATTTACAGACTGACACAAATATCAAAAATAAGCAGCTTAGATGAGTACAGAGGCTGGAGTGCATTTTCTGCTAACAAAAACCACTGTGATATTCTCCCAGTTTAGAGGGAAAAGTCTATCTCAGGCCGACTCAGATGTGGCAGAAATAAGTGGGTCTGAAGTGCATTTTCAGTTGTTTCTGCCCGGAAGGAGCCCGGATGATACAAACAGGTCTGGGGTTCGTGGCTCTGGCAAGCGCCCAGAGACAACTGCGTCTCTGCCAGGACGCTCATCCTCACTGCGGCTGTCTGGGCAGATGGCTGTTGGCAGGCTAGGGACGACGATGAAAAACTGACAATATTTTAAAAACCCAGTAGGGTCCACAGCAGTGTTTGAAATGACAGGCTTTTTATTTCTCAGGAACAGCCGAGATGACCTCCAGAGGTTTCCAGCGAAGCTGTAACAATCCACCCTGCAGCTCTATGACAGGGAGGAGGGCGAATCAAATCCATCATCTTACGCCAGACTTCAGCCCTGCGGGAGCTGCTGCCTCCAAAGAAAGCGGGGACCTGGGCGGACTGCGTCTCTCCCCCGTGTGGAGAACGTGACAGATGTGAAGGTTGGGCTGACAGACACACGGCCTGCAGCAGCCCAGCCAGTCCCCCACAGCATCGAGCCAAGTCATTTAAAAAGGATTTAGGCCACTGCCTTTTTCTGAGGGAGGAGCGGCCAGCATGTGCCCCGCGGCTCACTGGGCCTGTCTAATCACACAGCAGTGGCAAAAGGAGTATCTGCCAGACGCTTCCTATCACTCTATTCTGTCTCCTCATCCACCTGAAGTTCACCCCGTTTCCCCAATGACTTAGAATGGCTTTGTGCTTAGTTTTAATTGTAGTTTGTGCTATTCTGTGAATTAACAATTCAAACAAAATAAGAAAGCCATGTTGTTAAACAGTAGAGGAGCCAGGGACTCTGTCTCCATTCTCTCATCACACACAAGTCATGCATCTACCAAAAAAAAAAAAACAAAAAAACACAACAACAAAAAAACTGTCCTCTGAGGAGGCACAGGTGTGACAGATAAGGAACCTGCAGCTCAGATTCAACAGGCACCTGCCAAGTCCACACTCAGGACTGTGACAGCCTCAACAACATGAGGTCCAGACACATTCACTGTGGAAGGCTCTGCCCACGCGAACAAAGCTGTCAGCTCTAGCAAAAGGGACACTGCCTTCTTCCTCCCTCACTTCTCACCTGGTAAGCCCGGGAATCAAAACAGCAAAAATGAGCCCCCAAAAAAGAGAGAGAGAGAGAGAAGCAGCCACTGTTACCAGCAGCACCCGCTGCACAGGCAGAAGCACCTCTGGTGCCACTTTCAAGACAAAACAAGAGCACAGTTGAAACATCTAATTTGAAAATGTTGATCTCCTTTCCTAAGACATTGCTAAGGGGCCCACAGGAAGGCTGGTGGCACCAGGGAATAAACCCTGGAAGTGGTGCAGCCACTCTGGGACCAGGCAGCTCCGGCCAGAGGCCTCAATCCATGGCAGCCAGCTGCTCGATGGCACGGCGCACTTTCTCCGCAGTTTCCTCAAATTCTTTCTTCTTATTGTTGGTTTCCTTTGCCTGGAAATAAAGAATAGACACATGACACTGAAACCAGAGCTTCCCAGTCACATCCTGTAGATAAGATGACAAAGGAAAAAACAATCAGGGAACACTGAGAGAGCACCTAAATAAACTGGGCACTGGGCTAGGCAGATTCCCAGCTACCTGGGACAAACATCCTGATTCAGCTCAACTCCCTCTAGTTTAAGCTGCCTCCTAATCATCGAATAACAGGAAACACTGACGGAGTGCTTGGTATGCACCCAGCACCACTCTACCTGCTTCCTCCATTAACTGATTTATGTTCACAGTGATCCTGCGCTGGGTGCTCCCATATCTCTACTATACAGGTGAGGAAACCGAGGTCCAGGCTGAAGGAGCCACTCAAAGTACCCAGCTAGTCTAGGCACCCCAGCTAGTCTGGGCACCCCAGCTAGTCTAGGCACCCCAGCTAGTCTAGGCAGAGCTCTGCTCTTAACCACTGCCCTACCTTTCTCCTGAAACTCCTGGAGGAAAGTCCAGAGCCTTCCTCTTCATGTCCAGTTAAACAGACCCTGGCAAACATCAGGCTCTTCCTCGAACAGAAATTCTTTTGCTTCCAGTCCCTCCCTGAATCTGGCTTCCAATTTTTTCATTCTGCTAACAGAGCTCTCTCCTAAGGGGCAAATGACAATCACATTAGCAAATCCAGGGACCCCCTTCCCTACCATATTTTTTATAAACCCTAACTCCTCTACTACATTAAAAAACAAAGACCTTTATTGGGTTAAATTTGTTTGCTGACAGAGGTTAACTTAAAAAAAATTACTTTTTTTTTGAGACGGACTTTCGCTCTTGTTGCCTTGGCTGGTGTGCAAAGGCACGATCTTGGCTCACCGCAACCTCTGCCTCCCGGGTTCAAGAGATTCTCCTGCCTCAGCCTCCCGAGTAGCTGGGATTACAGGCATGCGCCACCACCCCGGCTAATTTTGTATTTTTAGTAGAGATGGGGTCTCTCCATGTTGGTCAGGTTGGTCTCGAACTCATGATCTCATGTGATCTGCCCGCCACGGCCTCCCAAAGTGCTGGGATTACAGGTGTGAGCCACTGTGCCAGCCAAAAAATTACTTTTCAATATGTACTTTATATATCCTAAGTTTTACCTCATGTATAAGTAATAAAAATTTGTCATTTTTTAATATAAATTTATAATTTATAAATTATTAAAAGAAAATTTAATTTAAAAATAATAAATTGATAAGAAAAAAGAAAACAGTGCACCGTTTGGTTTTTTTTTTTTTAGAGACAGGGTCTCGCTCTGTCATCCAGGCTGGAATGCAGTGGCAAGATCATGGCTTACTGCAGCTTTGACCTGCAAGGCTCAAAGTGATCCTCCCACCTCAGCCTCCTGAGTAGCTGAGACTACAGGCACGTGCCACCATGCCTGGCTAATTTTTTGTGTATTTTTTGAAGAGATGAGGTCTGGCCACATTGCCCAGGCTCGCCTCAAAACTCCTGGGCTCAATGAATCCTCCTGCCTTGGCCTCCCAAAGTGCTGGGATTCAGGCACAAGCCACTGCACCTGGCCCAGCAGCGCACTTATAATGGACTGTGATGGACAACTCTGCAGTCCCAGGGAGCCTCAGCTTTACTGATATGGAAAGATGACCATGGCTTTTAAAATATATATACACACATGGATTATTCAGTTTCTTCTCTTTCAAAAAAGCCTTAAATTAGCGAAGCTCCTTTGCATACATGCTATAATTTAACCACCCCAATGTGGAGGTCAATATCTCCATTTTATACATTTTTCCACTAAAGGTAGGGGCGAAGCAAACACAACTCTTGCTATTGAAAGACAAAACAGGCCGGGTGCGGTGGCTCACGCCTGTAATCCCAGCACTTTGGGTTTGGGTTTGTAATCCCAGCGCCTGTAGTCCCAGCTACTTGGGAGGCTGAGGCAGGCGAATGGAGTGAACCTGGGAGGCGGAGCTTGCCGTCAGCCGAGATCACGCCACTGCACTCCAGCCTGGGCGACAGAGTGAGATTCCATCTCAAAAAAGAGAAAAAAAAAAATTTAAAATTAGCCAGGCATGGTGGCATGCGCCTGTAGTCCCAGCTACTGGGAGGCTGAGGCAGGAGGATTGCTTGAGTCCAGGAGGTCGAGGCTATAGTGAGCTGTGATTGCGCCACTGTACTCCAGCCTGAGCAACAGAGCAAGACCCTGCCAAAGAAAACAAACAAAACACTCCTGCCACCCAGGTCTACAACTCGCCTCTCCTTCTAGTGCTTCGTTTTGTCCTCATCACAAGTATTTACCAAGTAAACTCTTATGAAGAACTAAGTTGTTCAGTTTATTTCCACATTAAATTTATTTCCTGATCGATTTTCACACTGGTTCTAATTTATTTCATTGTTTCAAAAGCTAAGCACCGAGGCAGCAGCAGGAACAAGAATCAGCGCCCAATGCATCGCCCTGGATGGCCGGGCCTCAGCTTCCACAGCAGCGCCCTCCTGGCACCCTGGCAAGGCAGCAGACAGGGGCATCCTGCCATCAAATCTGGGATCTTGGGAATCCCCAGCATCACCAGCAACAGCATCCTTGTCTTCAGGATTTGTATAGCGCAACACACGCACCTGTGGTCCCAGCTACTTGGGAAGCTGAGGTGGGAGAATCATTTGAGCCCAGGGGGTCGAGGCTGAGGTGAGCCAAGATCACACCACTGCACTCAGCCTGGGTGACAGAGTAAGACCCCGTCTCAAAAAAACAACAAAAAAAAGATTATATTGTTTCAAAATTAAAGTAATAAAAACAAATCCATAAAAGTATTCTGTATTCTGAATTGGGGAAAACAAACAAACAAAAAAAACAGTTCAAAATAAAAGCCAAGCAGTTTTTAAATCTCCCTACTTTTCTTGCAGGCTGTAATGTCTCCCCTCTTTCCAGTGTGGCTGGGTCTGACTATCAGGAGATAGAGACCGAGAGGTCTCCTGCAGGGACTGAGGCCTCTACTTCTGCCTACTGCGCCTTCAGCTCACACATCATGAAAGCCTACTTTTTTTTTTTTTTTTTGAGACGGAGTCTCGCTCTGTCGCCCAGGCTGGAGTGCAGTGGCGCGATCTCGGCTCACTGCAAGCTCCACCTCCCAGGTTCACGCCATTCTCCTGCCTCAGCCTCCCGAGTAGCTGGGACTACAGGCGCCCGCCACCACGCCCAGCTAATTTTTTGTATTTTTAGTAAAGACGGGGTTTCACCATGTTAGCCAGGATGGTCTCGATCTCCTGACCTCGTGATCCACCCGCCTCGGCCTCCCAAAGTGCTGGGATTACAGGCGTGAGCCACCATGCCCGGCCCTGAAAGTCTACTTTTCTTAATCACATCTTCCAACAGGTGAGTGGACTCCCCCTACCAGACTGCATCTTCATCCCTGTAACCCTAGAGCGGAGCACCCCGCAGCGTCCACCAGCACTTCAGGGCTTTCTGGAACTGGATGGTGTCAGATTTCAGTTGCTCTATTTGCAAGGGCAAAAACCCTCTGTCTTTCTCAGCGCTCTGGGACCTGGTTTCCAGCTCACACCTCCACATCCACTCTGCTCCTCCCCTGTGCCCATGATGGTTCCAGGCACACAAGCTGCTCCTTGTCTAAAACAGGGCTTGGCAAGCAAGGGCCTGCTGGGCCAAATCCATACAGCCCGTCATGGCCTTTTTTTGTCCAGCCCACGGGCTAAGAATGCTTTTTATGTTTCTAAAAGGTTGTGAAAAACAACAAAAGACAATATGCAACAGAGACTCTGACCCACGAGGGCTAAGAGATGGTCTATGGCACGCTGCAGAAAAGCTGGCTGACCCCTGACCTGGAAAAAGATGATCCCCAGCCCACTTTCCAGTTCCCACGCTGCAGCTCCCACAACCTCAACCAGGTGACAAGCTCTCTCACAGCATGCTTCACCCACAACTGGCCTCTTCCTGACAAAACACAATCTCAGTCCTTAGCACTTAAAAGCCACTATATTGAGGCCAGGTGTGGTGGTTCACACCTGTAATCCCAGCACTTTGGGATGCCAAGGCGGGCAGATCACTTGAGGCCAGGAGTTCGAGACCAGCTTAGCCAACATGGCAAAACCCTGTCTCTACTAAAAATACAAAAGTTAGCTGGGCCTGGTGGCACACACCTATAATCTCAGCTACTTGGGAGCCTGAGGCACGAGAATCGCTTGAACCTGGGAGGTGGAGGTCGCAGTGAGCCAAGATCGCACCACCACACTCCAGCCTGGGCGACTGAGTGACACTCTGTCTCAAATTAAAATAAAGCCACATATAAGGACAGAATTATTTTACGCTGATCTCTACAAAGGAATACAATTTTCAAGCTGAAAAGCAACCTGAGAAACCATGGGATAGGGGGTCTAACCTCTATTTAGCAAGGAAAGCATGAGCACGACTGGCTTAAACTCAAAGTCTGCAAGTGGCAGAGACAGAACTACAACATCTCCTGACTCTCCACCCAGGGCTTTGCTACAAGGATATGGAATCCCCCAGTACTTATTCTGTGTGGGGCTGCCAGACTTAGCAAATAAGAATATATGACGCCCAGGCCTGGTGCAGTAGATCACACCTGTAATCTCAGCGCTTTGGGAGGCCGAGGCAGGCAGATCACTTGAGGTCAGGAGTTTGAGACCAGCCTGGCCAACATGATGAAACCTTGTCTCTAATAAAAATACCAAAAAAAATTAGCCAGGCGTGGTGGTGGGCACCTGTAGTCCCAGCTACTCAGGAGGCTGAGGCAGAAGAATGGCGTGAACCCGGGAGGCGGAGCTTGTAGTGAGCTGAGATCGTGCCACTGCACTCCAGCCTGGGCGACAGAGCAAGGCTCTGTCTCAAAAAAAAAAAAAATCAAAAAATTTTAAAAAGACCACGCATGGTGGCTCATGCCTGTAATCCCAGCACTCTGGGAGGCTAAAGCGGGCAGATCACAAGGTCAGGAGTTTGAGACCAGCTTGGCCAGCATGGTGAAACCCCGTCTACTAAAAATACAAAAATTAGCCAGGCATGGTGGTGCGTGCCTGTAGTCCCAGCTACTCGGGAGGCTAAGGCAGGAGAATCGCTTGACCCCGGGAGGCAGAGGTTGCAGTGAGCCGAGATCGTGCCACTGCACTCCAGCCTGGGTGACAAAGTGAGACTCGTCTCAAAAAAAAAAATTAAAAATAAATAAATAAATAAATAAATAAATAAAGCCCAGTTACATTTCAACTTCAGATAAATGACTAAGTTTCTAGTAAATACTGACACAAAATGTGGGATTTACTTATACCGGTATATACTTATACCGGCCACACTCCAGGAGCTTTAAAATCACACAGACATCCTAGGGGCTTTAAAAATGATTCCTAGCTGGGCACGGTGGCTCATGCCTGTAATCTCAGCACTTTGGGAGGCCCAGGCAAAAGGATCCCTTGAGCTCAGGAGTTCAAGACCAGCCTGGACAACACAGGGAACCCTCATCTCTATGAAAATAAATAAATAAATAAATAAATAAATAAATAAGGTGGGCATGGTGGGGTGCGCCTGTAGTCCCAATTACTTGGGAGGATGAGGTGGGAGGATCACTTGAGCTCAGGAGTTCGAGGCTGCAGTGAGCTATGGTGTACCACTGCACTGCAGCCCAGGTGACAGAGTGAGTCCCTGTCTCAAAAAAATAAAAATAGCCGGGTGTGGTGGCTCACACCTGTAATCCCAGCACTTTGGGAGGCCGAGGCAGGCAGATCACGAGGTCAGGAGATCGAGACCCTCCTGGCTAACACGGTGAAAACCCGTCTCTACTAAAAATACAAAAAAATTAGCCGGGTGTGGTGGCGGGCGCCTGTAGTCCCAGCTACTCGGGAGGCTGAGGCAGGAGAATGGCTTGAACCTGGGGGGCGGAGCTTGCAGTGAGCCGAGATCCCGTCGCTGCACTCTAGCCTGGGCGACAGAGCAAGACTCCATCTCAAATAAATAAATAAATTTAAAAATAAAAATACTTCCTGAGGCCAGGTGTGGTGGCTCACACCTATAATCTCAGCACTTTGGGAGGCTGAGGCGGGTGGATCACCTGAGGTCAGGAGTTCAAGACCAGCCTGGCCAACATGGTGAAACCTCGTCTCTACCAAAAATACAAAAATTACCTGGGTGTGGTGGCACATGCCTGTAATCTCGGCTACTTGGGAGGCTGAAGCAGGCAAATCACTTGAGCCCAGGAGGCGGAGGTTGCAGTGATCCGAGATCAGGCCACCCCACTCCAGCCTGGGTAACAGAGTGAAACTGTGTCTCAGAACAAAAAAAAAAAAGCCAGGCGTGGTGGTTCACGCCTGTAATCCCAGCACTTTGGGAGGCCAAGGTGGGCGAATCACGAGGTCAGGAGTTCAAGACCAGCCTGGGCAATGTGGTGAAACCCCATCTCTACTAAAAATACAAAAATTAGCTGGGTGTGGTGGCACTTCCCTGTAATCCCAGTTACTTGGGAGGCTGAGGCAGGAGAATCACTTGAACCCGAGAGGCAGAGGTTGCAGTGAGCCAAGATTGCACCATTGCACTCCAGCCTGGGCAACAAGAGTGAAACTCTATCTCAGAAAAAAAAAAAAAATGCTTCCTGAGGAAAACACAGAGTCCCTTTGAGGGACTAGGTAGTTTAGTGCTAAAGACATTGAACAGGGTTTGAGCAGTTCTTATTCCCAATACATACAATTTTGTTCTTGGCTCTTTCTCTGTCCAGTTTCAAAAATTCACCAAGGGTTAATTCTTCAAACTGCTTCTTGACAGAAAGGAAAGCGCAACCGGACGAATGCTTTTTATGTTCCTCTCTAGAAAAATCAAAACAACAGCGGAAAGGCAGCTGAAGGGATTAAAGCGGCAGTCCACTCCCCACGGGCCACCTCCCCACGCCCTCCACAGGCACACCCTGCTCTGCCTCAGGAGTAAGACGTCAAGTCTGAAGTTGATGGCATCAGTGCTTTGCCCAAGCCACATTCCCATATGGCACCTCTTAGCACCTTCTCTCTCCCTGTGGACATCTCCCCCCACATCTGTGTGGCTAATGTATCTATTTTATCTGGACTTCCTTAGCAATTAGTTGGAAAAGTGTTACATGGTATATGTCCAAAGGAATTACATGTCAAATCCCTCCAACATTCTCAAGGAACTGTTTGAAGTAATTTCATTTCACTGGAATTGTTATGTAATCCACTGTAAAGATTTTTTTCTTTTTTTTTTTTTTTTGAGACGGAGTCTCATTCTGTCGCCCAGGCTGGAGTGCAGTGGTGCAATCTCGGCTCACTGCAAGCTCCGCCTCCTGGGTTCACGCCATTCTCCTGCCTCAGCCTCCCGAGTAGCTGGGACTACAGGCGCCCACCACCACGCCCGGCTAATTTTTTGTATTTTTAGTGGAGACGGGGTTTCACCGTATTAGCCAAGATGGTCTCGATCTCCTGACCTCGTGATCCGCCCGCCTCGGCCTCCCAAAGTGCTGGTATTACAGGCGTAAGCCACCGTGCCCGGCCCACTGTAAGGATTAAGGGCAGAGAAGGGCATTATTGCCCCGGGTTCCCCAAGGGACCCCCTAGCTCACACTCTCATTTTCTGCTAGGGGAGTCTCCCTGTATAACTGACTATCACCGTTACCAGAACTGCATTACAATGAAAACATGGCCACACAAAGTCCAAAAAGACAGCCAGTTGTAACTCTAATCTGAAAATATCATAACACTTATTCATTTTCAAGAAGAATACCACTGATCTTTTCCCAGTGATTACGGGGATGCAGTATAACCACCATAGCAAACATACTAAGAAAAAAAACAGCTACTCTCTTCTGGCCAAAAAGAAAAACAACTGGGGTGATTCTCCAGGGGAAAAAAATTAAAGCTGTGGAAGCAACTGAATCCGACAGAAAAAAAGGTGAGAAAAGAATATGGCATTACAGTGTGGAAAGACAGATACCATCCGAGTACAGAATTTCATTGTCATTAACTAGGCATCTTGAAGAAAAAAATCCAGAACAACACTGAAGTATATGCTTTCTTTCTTTTTTTTTTTTCAATTTTTTATTTTTATGACGGAGTCTCGCTCTGTCGCCGAGGCTGGAGTGCATTGGCACAATCTCGGCTCACTGCAACCTCCGCCTCCCAGGTTCAAGCGATTCTCCTGCCTTAGCCTCCCGAGTAGCTGGGATTACGGGCGTGCGCTACCATGCCCGGCTAATTTTTGTATTTTTAGTAGAGACGGGGTTTCGCCAAGTTGGCCAGGCAGGTCTTGAACTCCTGACCTCAGGTGATCCGCCCGCCTCAGCCTCCGAAAGTGTGAAGTGCACACTTTCAAAGGGTAATTTTTGTGCTGTGTAGGTTATATTTCAATTAAACTGTTTTTTAAAAAATCTCAAAAAAAGCACTTGGACGTTCCTGGGAGTTCACAACAACAGGGTCTGCTGATGTATTCTGTTGAACATGAAAGGCATCAGGCATCTTACGTCCACCCCAAGGCATTTTGGTCAAATGAGATTTAATTAGGTTGTAAGCATCACCAAGGCACCAGCATATAGAGAGGTATCCGTTCACAACAGCTGTTTAAGAAGCAATGAGGGTGGAAAGCAACCCTCCCATACTAAGTGTCTTTGCAACTCAAATCTTTTGACAACTCAGTTCAAAACAAAGCCCATCGAGGCTGGCCAGAGAAGACTTACATGGGGTCGTCATCTGGCTCCCAGCCTTCCAGCTCCTTGAAGCAGAAGAAACACTGGGCCAAGTCTGGCTCGTTCTCAGTGGGGCAGTGGATGAAGCCAGCCTCGGCCATCTGCAAGGGACAGCACAGCTCGTGAGTGGACGTGGCAGCCCGGAACCCCGAGGCCCAGCCACAAAGGCCTCGATGGGGACAAAGCAGGGAGGGGAGGCCGGCCTGGACCCAAGGGGCCCAGCCACAGTGGCCTCGCTGGGGACAGGACGGGGAGGGGAGGGCGGCTTGTACCCCCGAGGCCCAGTCACAGTGGCCTCGCTAGGGACAGGGCAAGGCGGGCGTGGGGGACCCCAGGAGGCCGGGCAGTCTCACCCGCTCCGGGGTGCAGGCGCAGCCCTCCAAGAAGGGCCAGTTCTTGAATGTAGAGATGCGGTGGTCCTTGAGAAAGGGCTGCCAGGCAGGGGGCAACGTCGGGGCACCCATGCCGCCGCCGCCACCTCTGCCAACGGGT
The DNA here is from genome assembly GCF_000001405.40 of Homo sapiens. Lineage (NCBI taxonomy): Eukaryota > Metazoa > Chordata > Mammalia > Primates > Hominidae > Homo > Homo sapiens. The sequence continues at coordinate 78,214,288 of NC_000017.11, read as the reverse complement.
CCCGCGATTCAAATCTGGCGGTTAATGGCGCGCCGCGGGGCATGTCGGGAGCGCACGCCCTCTTAGGCGGTCCACCCCCCGCGGCCTTCTGGGAGTAGAGGCGGGGCGGCGCGGGGTGTGCCGGGAGTTGTAGTCCTCCCGCCGCGTGGCTCTGCCCGTGGTCGCGGTGCACCCAGCGACGCCGCGCCAGCTCGTCCCTGCCCACACCTAGCGCCCCCTCGACTGCTTTCAAAGAACGCGTGCAGGCCGGGTGCAGTGGCTCACGCCTGTAATCCCAACACTTTGAGAGGCCTAGGCAGGAGCATCACTTGAGTCCTGGAGTTCAAGACCAGCCTGGCCATCACGGTGAAACCTTGTCTCTACTAAAAATACAAAAATTAGCTGGGCGTGGTGGTGCATGCCTGTAATCCCAACTACTCGGGAGGCTGAGGCAGGAGAATCGCTTGAACCCGGGAGGCAGAGGGTGCAGTGAGCTGAGATTGTGCCATTGCACTCCAGCCTAGGCAACAAGAGCAAAACTCAGTCTAAAAAAAAAAAAAAAGTCAGACAGGAGAGCTTTACAGGGTGCCACCTCTGCAAAAAGCATCTACTCCAGACGGGCATGAAGGACAAATGAACAGGGGAGGGATGGAGTGCAGCAGACATCGCTGTCCCGGCGAGTACATCGTTGACTGCACGACCTGGGTTTCCAGGAGGGCCACCTTCTGGAGTCAGGGGCCAGGGACTGGGCCACTACCGTGATAAGAAGACAAGGGAGCTGGGGAAAGCCCAGTGGAGGGTGGGGGCCTGTGCTCAGGGCAAACTCCTCCTTTCCCTTCGCAAAGCAGGGCGTCCCACCAACAGTAAGTCCTGCAGCCTATTAAAAAAAAAATCAGTGTGTCCTCTGCTTTGGAACAGGGTGTTCTGGAGTCACTTCTGGAGCTGGGCATCACATCCACTCACTTCTCTGGTTCTATGGCCAGAGATAAGAGGCCTGGCCTTATTAGCCCTCCAGCCCCACGCAGGCCTGGTGCCTCCACTGTCTTTTTCATTTTGGGGTTTATTTATTTATTTATTTATTTTTGCAACCTCTCCCCACCCCTCCCACCCCGCCCCCATTCTTTAATACAGTAACTTTTTATTTTGATGTTTATTTATTTATTTGAAACTGAGTCTCGCTCTATCGCCCAGGCTGGAGTGCAGTGGCATGATCTCAGCTCACTGCAACCTCCTCCCCGCCACGGGTTCAAGCGATTCTCCTGCCTCAGCCTCCCGAGTAGCTGAGATTAAAGGCATGCACCACCACACCAGGCTAATTTTTGTATTTTTAGTAGAGATGGGGTTTCACCATGTTTGCCAGGCTGGTCTCAAACTCCTGACCTCAAGTGATCTGCCTGCCTCGGCCTCCCAAAGTGCTGGGATTACAGATGTGAGCCACTGCGCCCGGCCCGATGTCAATTTAAATAAAAGATAATTGCAAGAATAGTACAAAGAATACTCATATACCCTTCACCCAGATTTTCTGTTTATGTTTTGCCTGTTTCCTTTAACATTCACTCTCTGCTTCTTCCTCCCTTTCTCTCCTCCTCTCCCTCTCTTACCCCTTCCCTCTCTCTACTCCCCGCTCTCTCTCTGTCTCCTGTTTTCCTTTCTCTCTCCCTCTCCCCAACCTACTTTCTCTCCCCTAGTCTCTCTCCCCTCATATATGTGAACACACACACATCCCTGTATGTGTATATATCACATGCATGTATATGTATGTATATGGGTGGTTTACCTGAACCGTTTGTAAGTTGAAGGCATTACCATACTACCCCGAAATACTTCATTCTCTTACACAACCACAACACAATCATCAAAATCAGGAAACTTAACTTCGCTGCAGTTATCAAATCCAGTTGACTTTGGCAGGTCGCCCCTGGGTCCTGCTGATTGGCTCGCTAACCGGGCCCTGGCACCACCATGGCCTCTGCTGGGGTGGCCCCCAGGCACAGACCAAGGACGCACCACCTCCACTGGCAACCGCAGCAGTTGCCTGCCCTCAGGAGGGAGGAAAGGAACAACTCCTTTTCACTTTTTTTTTTTTTTTTTGAGACAGAGTCTTGCTCTGTCGCCAGGCTGGAGTGCAGTGCAGTGGCACAATCTTGGCTCACTGCAACCTCCATCTCCTGGGTTCCAGCAATTCTCTGCCTCAGCCCCCCCAGTAGCTGGGATTACATGCGCCCGCCACCATGCCCGGCTAATTTTTTTGTATTTTTAGTAGAGACGGGGTTTCACCATCTTGGCCAGGCTGGTATTGAACTCCTGACCTCGTGATCCACCCGCCTCAGCCTCCCAAAGTGCTGGGATTACAGGCATAAGCCAGCATGCCCGGCCTAACTCCTTTTCACTTCTGCACACAATGTCATCAAATGCATGGACAAGGACAGCCCAGGTGTCCACCTGGACCTGAACACCCTCAAAACCGAGTTCCAGGAGCTTCAAAAGCTCATGGGCACCGGGCCCCCAGCATCCTCCCGAGCCCGAGCAGCAGCTGCAGCCCCACAGCATCCAGGTGTAAGTTAGGACCAGAAGGGGCTTCTACAAAAGTGCCAGAGTCTCTGCACATTTGAAATCCCTGAGAAGCAGAGTGAGGCTGACTTCAGGAATGGCTGAGAAAGACGGGGGGAAGCAGTGGCCTGTGTGCCCCGACCCCCACACAGTCCCTCGGGGTGTGGTCCCTTTGGACCCCAGCTCTGATTTCAAGCTGCCTGGGGTGGGGCTGCTGTGCTGTGCCCAGCTTGAATATATCCGCATGTCTAGACGCATAACTTGAGTGCCTGAAGGCAGGAGTCAGGATGGTCCTGGAGGCTGGGGAGTGGGTGGAGGATCCTCCCCTGTCTCTGGGAAGGGGGCCATCTGCAGCGAGCCTGGGCCCCATCGGCACATCTGAAGGTGCACCAGGAAAGGAGGGGGCTATTCTTTGCTTCCTTGCCCTCTCTTCTCCCACCCCGAGGTACGATCAGTGCGTACCAAGTACATATCATTCCTGCGATCAGCAGGTGCATGAAATATTTGCATAGCATTCACTGGACAAATTAGGCCTGCGGTGTGGACTTAATATGACAAGAGAAGGCTGTGAGAGAACGAACATAGTTTTTGAAAGGGCAGAGGGGTCAGGCTGGGCACGGTGGCTCACGCCTGTAATCCCAGGACTTTGGGAGGCTGAGGTGGGCAGATCACAAGGTCAGGAGTTCGAGACCAGCCTGGCCAATATGGTGAAACCCTGTCTCTACTAAAAATACAAAAATTAGCCAGGCGTGGTGGTGCGCGCCTGCAGTCCCAGCTACTCAGGAGGCTGAGGCAGGAGAATCGCTTGAACCCTGGAGGTGGAGGTTGCAGTGAGCCAAGATTGCGCCACTGCACTCCAGCCTGGGCAACAAGAGTGAAACTCTGTCTCGGAAAAAAAAAAAAGAAAGAAAAAAGAGCCAGGCGCGGTGGCTCACGCCTGTAATCCCAGCACTTTGGGAGGCCGAGGCGGGCGGATCACAAGGTCAGGAGATCGAGACCGTCCTGGCTAACACGGTGAAACCCCATCTCTACTAAAAAATACAAAAAAATAGCCGGGTGTGGTGGCAGGCGCCTGTAGTCCCAGCTGCTCGGGAGGTTGAGGCAGGAGAATGGCGTGATCCCGGGAGGCAGAGCTTGCAGTGAGCCGAGATCACGCCACTGCACTCCAGCCTGGGCGATAGAGCAAGACTCTGTCTCAAAAAAAAAAAAAAAAAAAGAAAGAAAGAAAAAGAAAAAAAGAAAAGGCAGAAAGGCAGAAGAGTCTTTTCCTCCCACAATAGTTGGGTTCCTTTTATGTTTGAGCCCCAGTGAACTGTATCCGTGGGGGTGTCAGCCCCGAGCCCGCTGCGCAGCCCCTGTCTCCTGGGTCCCCACCTCCTTTCTCCTTACCTTCAGCTCACCCCCTCCAACTCCTGCCACCTTTGGAGAGTGACCAAGCCTCTTCCCATCTGCAGTGCTTCCCGATGCTGGCAGGTGCTGTCCTGTCCACCCAGGCTCAAACAGGATGTCAGGCGAACAGATCTTTCCTCAAATGGCATTTCAGATTCACATTGCCCTCGTTTAAAAAAGTATTTTCCAGCCCGGGGCGGTGGCTCACGCCTGTAATCTCAGCACTTTGGGAGACCAAGGAGGGAGGATCACTTGAATCTAGGAGTTCAAGATCAGCCTGGGCAACACTGAGACCCCATCTCTATCAAAAATTTAAAAAATTAGCCAGGAAAGGCCATGCCCGGTGGCTCACGCCTGTAATCCCAGCAGTTTGGGAGGCTGAGGCAGGTGGATCACCTGAGGTCAGGAGTTTGAGACCAGCCTGACCAATATGGTGAAACCCTGTCTCTATTAAAAATACAAAAAATTATCCGGGCATGGTGGTGGGCACCTGTAATCCCAGCTACTCGGGAGGCTGAGGCACGAGAATCGCTTGAATCTAAGAGGCAGAGGTTGCAGTGAGCCGAGATCCTGCCATTGCACTCCAGCCAGAGCAACAAGAGTGAGACTCCGTCTAAAAAAAAAAAAAAAAATCAGTCGGGCGTGCACCTATACTTCCAGCTACTCGGGAGGCTGAGGTGGAAGGATCACTTGATCCTGGGAGGTCGAGGCTGCAGTGAGCCATGATTGGGCCACTGCACTCCAGCCTGGGAGAAAGAGTGAGATACAGTCTCAAAAAAAAAAAAGACTTTCTTTTTTTCTTTTTTTTTTTTTTGAGATGGAGTCTTGCTCTGTGGCCCAGGCTGGAGTGCAATGGCATGATCTCGGCTCACTGCAAACTCCAGCTCCTGGGTTCGAGTGATTCTCCTGCCTCAGCCTCCCAAGTAGCTGGGATTACAGGCCTGCACCACCACGCCCAGCTAATTTTTTGTATTTTTAATAGAGACGGGGTTTCACCATGTTGGCCAGGCTGGTCTTGAACTCCTGACCTCAGGTGATTCACCCACCTCAGCCTCTCAAAGTGCTGGGATTACAGGCATGAGCCACCGTGCCCTGCCAAAAAAAGGATATTTTGAGAGAAAGAGAGCAACCCCATAAGTTTGTTTTGTTTTGTTTTGTTTTGAGACAGAGTTTCACTCTTGTTGCCCAGGCTGGAGTGCAATGGTGTGATCTTAGCTCACTGCAACCTCCGCCTCCCAGGTTCAAGCGATTCTCCTGCCTCAGCCTCCCAAGTAGCTGGGATTACAGGCATGTGTCACCATGCCCGGCTAATTTTTTTTATCTTTAGTAGAGACGGGGTTTTGTCATGTTGGCCAGGCTGGTCTCCAACTCCTGACCTCAGGTGATCCACCTGTCTCAGCCTCCCAAAGTGCTGGGATTACAGGCATGAGCCACAGCACCTGGCTTCACATAACTTTGATCACAGTATATTGTTTTAATCGTTCTACTTTATTAGTTATTGTTAATCTCTTAGAAGGAATATTTATATACCCTTTGCCAATTTATAAATTAAACTTTATCGTAGGTATGTATATACAAGAAAAAACATAGTGTATATAGGGTTCAGTATTATCCATGGTTTCAGAGGGTCTTGGAGTGAATCCTACAGATAAGGGAGGCTACTGTGGCTCTTGGAGATATTCCACATGGTCAACATAGATCTCTTTGTAATGGCTGCAGGGTTTGATGCTGCTTGAATGCGTTTATTCCCTAATGAACACTAGGCTGTTTCTTGTTTTTTTTTTTTTTGCTATACTCAATAATGTCACGGTGGAAATTCTTTTTTACCCCCCCCCCCAACTTTTACTTTAAGTTCCAGGGTATATGTGTAGGATGTGCAGGTTTGTTACACAGGTAAATGTGTGTCATGATGGTTTGCTGCACACATACAGTGGAATTTTTTTTTTTTTCTTTGAGATGGAGTCTGGCTTTGTCACCCAGGCTGGAGTGCAGGGGCACAATCTCAGCTCACTGCAACCTCTGCCTCCCGGATTCAAGAGATTCTCCTAACTCAGCCTCCCACGTATCTAGGATTACAGGCGCCAGCCACCACGCCTGGCTAATTTTTGTATTTTTAGTAGAGACAGGGTTTTGCCATGTTGGCCAGGCTGGTCTTGAACTCCTGACCTCAGGTGATTCGCCCACCTCGGCCTCCTAAAGTGCTGGGATTACAGGCACTAGCCCCTGCGCCCAGCCCACAGTGGAAATTCTTGAATGCTATTCGGTGTGAGAGAAAGAGGCGGTGTGGTGGGGTGGGTGGTGGATGGATATAGCTGGCTTCTTGGGACATGCACACCACTCTCGGGTGCAGAGGAAGCTTGTCCTACATGTGGGTAGCATTGTCCTGTCAAGGTCAAGGTGTTGGCCCCAACGCTGAGACCCCGGGGCATTCAGGGACAGACCCAAATGTCAGGGAGATGGAGGACAGAGCAGACAGGAGACTGAAGCAGAAGGCAGAGGGTAGCTGGCTTGGGGAAGCCCTTACCCAGGGGTCCGCAAACTTTTCCTGAAAAGGGCCAGATAGGAAATGCTTCAGGCACTACGGGCCAGGAGGTCACTGTCACCACCACTCAGCTCCACCCTGCAGCTTGAAAGCTGCCCTAGACAATACGTAAATGAACGAGCAGGGCCGTGTTCCAATACAACTTTATTTATCAACATGGAAATTTACGTTTTATATAATTTTTACATGTTATGAAATAATATTCTTTTGTGCTTCTTTATGAACTATTTAAATATAATGCCATTCTGGCCGGGCGCAGTGGCTCACGCCTGGAATCCCAGCACTTTGGGAGGCCAAGGCGGGCGAATCACAAGGTTAGGAGTTTGAGACCAGCCTGGCCAATATGTTGAAACCCCGTCTCTACTAAAAATACAAAAATTAGCCAGGCATGATGGCAGGCGCCTGTAGTCCCAGCTGCTCAGGAGGCTGAGGCAGGAGAATTGCTTGAACCCGGGAGGTGGAGGTTGCAGTGAGCCAAGATCACGCCACTGCACTCCAGCCTGGGTGACAGAGTAAGACTCCATCTCAAAAAAAAAAAAAAAAAAAAAAAAAAAAGAAGTAATGGCATTACTTTTGAGCGTCATCTTTGTCATGCTCTGTCAGCAGGTAGATGGGCCAGACGAGTCTAAGAGGCAGCTCCGGGCATCTCTGAGCATTGACTTGCGGACGTTCCCCAGCCCTGGAGCTCCATCCAGGCTGGGAAGAGGGAGGACGTGGAGATTTTCATGAGTGTCCCAGCAGTGAGAATGGACTCTTGCCGGGCAGACAGACACAGCAAGGCTCTCCTGGGTGCTGGGGGAAACTGAAGCTGTCAGTGTCAGCTCCGAAAGCTCTTTGGAGAGGCTTCCCAAGGTGGGATGCACGTGGACCAGGCTCCAAGTATCGTCAGAACTACTGGAAGATTGTTTTCAAGATAATCTGGAACAGGAAGAGAAGACACAAAAGCCCCAGAATCAGAGCAGCTCTTTGCAGGAATTTGATTAAGGAAATGAGACAGGGCTGGATGCAGTGGCTCACGTCTGCAACCCCAACCCTTCGGGAGGCTGAGGTGGGAAGATCACTTGAACTCAGGAGTTGAAGACAGTCTGGTTAGAGGTATAATATGCTGAGATGAAGGAAGAAGAAGAAGAAGGGGGGGTAGGGGGAGGAGGAGAAGAAAGAAGATGAAGGAGGAAGGAGGAAGAAGAAGAAGGAAGACGACGACGACCAGCCTGGGGAACATAGAGAGACCCCATCTCTACAAAACATTGAATAATTAGCAGGGCACAGTGGCACGCCTTTGTAGTCCCAGCTACTCGAGAGGCTGGGGCAGGATAACCACTTGAGCCCAGGAGGCAGCAGAGAGCTAAGATTTTGCCACTATACTCCAGCCTGGGTGCAAGAGAGGAGACCCTGTCTCTAAAGAAAAAAAAAAAGAAAGAAACAAGATGGTCTTTCTTAGGTTCTTTCTTTCCTAGGTTCTCAGGTCTTTTTTTTTTTTTTTTTTTTTTGAGACAGAGTCTTACTCTGTCGCTCAGGCCGGAGTGCAGTGGTGCAATCTTGGCTCACTGCAATCTCTGCCTCCTGGGTTAAAGCAATTCTCATGCCTCAGCCTCCTGAGTAGCTGGGATTACAGGCACGTACCATCACATCTGGCTAATTTGTTTTGTATTTTTAGTAGACACGGAGTTTCTCCATGTTGGCCAGGCTGGTCTTGAACTCCTGGTTTGCACATCTAAGGGGCTGCGACAGGACCTGTGCTGTCTACCATGAAAGGGCTGCCAGGGATGAGGCCCCACCTGGGTGAGCACGTTGTCCTTCTGGGTCAGATTCTCAACAATTTCAAAGTGGTCCACATCGTGGAGCTCTTCAAATGAGGCTTTCCACTCTCCTTGACACAGGGTCTGGGCAGGGGAGACATGGGAAGAGGGGCCTGAGCAGTGGGAGGGGAGGTGGGGCAGGACATGGGGCCATGCCTGGCACAGGTCAGGGTTCACTCAGTACGTGTTAAATAAATGATGGAGGGTCTTGTCCACTTGGGTAAAAGAAAGAGGAAAATAATGAGCCCACATGACCCTCGACCTCTGGCCACAAACCTGCACTGGGAGTACCTGGTAAAACTCCCAGGACTGTCGGTGGAATTCGGGGGAGTCGAACTGGCCCACGACCACCAGCACACGGCAGGTGGGGTCCACCGGCTGTGCCTGGGCCACCTTCAGCTGGGGGCTATTCCTCTGAGCGTCCTCCCTGGGGTGGGGAGTGGACAGGGGTCAGGACAGAGAGGAGCCAGGCTCCTGGTGAGCCAGGGGAGGTGGTGGCCAAGTAACTCACAGGGTCAGCTGGAGAGCAACGTTCTGTGAAGTATACACGATGGGCTCCAGGTCAAAGACCCCACTCACCAGGAAAAAGCCTGTGAAGGTACAGAATTGTCACAGGGCCAGGCTCCAGGCGGAGCAAGGCAGGGCCAGCCCACCCCCACCGCCAGAGGGGCAGGACCAGGGGAAGGGGCACAGAGGAGGCAGAGAAGGCCTTGCTCAGAGGGCTCGAAGCCCTGCGGTCAAGCCACTCATGGCCGGGAGGATTTCAAGCAGTTGGCCCAAACCCCAAGGCTCATGGGGAGATGAAGGTTGCCCAGCCAGGCTGTAGCTCCCATGGAAACCTCTGAGGTTGGGCGTGACCCCATGCTTGGTCCAGTCGGCCAGGAGCATCATGGCAGCCAGGTGGGCCCCGGCTGAGTGTCCACACAGGTAAATTCCCCTGGGAGGGGTCAGAGCAGAGAGCTGGATTTGCACGCAGTTTCCCCACAACATCAGGCCCCCTTCGAAGAGTCCCAATTTGCTTTCTGCTCCACAGGCCAGAGGGGCAGCTTGGCTGTATCCTAGGTACTGATTGCACTGTCCTCCCACCCACTGAGGTCCAACAGGAAGAAAATCTACTGGCAACACCCACTTGTTGCTTGGATACCGCTTCTGGACAAACGCAACGCTGCGGGTCACCTGGTCTACCATGTGGTCCAGGGTGCCTGCACAGAGAGCATGAGCTGGGTCAGGGATGCACTTCCTCCTAAAGCCCACCGGCCCTCGGACCTGCAGCAACCACTCCTATTACCTTTGGGGGCGATGCCGTAAGCCACTATTACCACGGCCACTCCCTGTGCCGTCAGCGGGTGGACCATGAAGGCAGACTCATCCTTACTGCAGAGACACACAGATGTGACAGCTGGAGGCAGCTTGGCCACTACGCTGCTTCCTGTGTCCTGGACACACCACTTGCCAGATGTCCTGTCCACGCACAGCATCACCCCTTTCTGGTCCCATGTGAGAGAGTGAAGCGGACAGGCTCTCTCCCTGCCACATCACATGCTAGCTACGGGACCTTGGGGGAACTTCATGTAACTTTTTGTTTTCTAAGCGATAGGGCCTCGCTCTGTCGCCCAGGCTGGAGTGCAATGGTGCGATCATGGATCACTGTAGCCTCGACCTCCTGGGCTCAAGCGATCCTCCTGCCTCAGCCTCCCAAGCAGGAGTATAGGTGTGCACCACTATGCCCAGCAAATTTATCTTTTCTTTTGTAGAGATGGGGGTCTTGCTATGTTGACCAGGCTGGTTTCTAACTCAATCCTCCTGCCTCAGCCTCCCAATGTGTGGGATTATAGGTGTGAGCCACTGTGCAAGGCAATTTGTGTAACTTCTAAGCCTGGTTTTGTCATCTGTAAAATAGAGGCAATTATGTTCCCTCTCTCAGGGAACTGTTTTTGAGAATTAAAGACTAGCAGTGTAGAGAGTTTTGTGTGCAATAAATGTAAGCTTTTTTTTTTTTTTTTTTTGAGACAGAGTCTCGCTCTGTCACCCTGGGTGGAGTGCAGTGGCATGATCTTAGCTCACTGCAACCTCCGCCTCCTGGGTTCAAGTGATTCTCCTGCATTAGCCTCCCGAGTAGCTGGGATTACAGGCACACACCACCACGTCCAGCTAATTTTTGTATTTTTAGTAGAGACAGGGTTTCACCACGTTGGCCAGGCTGGTCTCGAACTCCTGACCTCAAGTGATCCGTCCGCCTTGCCCTTCCAAAGTGTTGGGATTACAGGCGTGAGCCACCGTACCTGGCCATTAAATGTAAGCTATTAACATGAACATGCTTGAAGGCAACTCTGTAGGAAGACCCTAGGGAACAGCAGTGTCTGCCAAGATCCCAAATTCCCAAATACCCACTGCTTAGCTTACAGTGACCAACTGTCCCATTTTACCTGGGACTCTCATTTTTTTTTCCTAAAGTACTGAAAACCCCATGTCCTGGGAAACCCCTCCTCAGTCCCAAGCAAACTGGGACAGTGGTTGGTCACTCTGGCTTTTCCCTTGATTCAAGAGGAGGCTGAACATGCTTCTCACTGGGTGTAGTGGGTTGAACTGTGTCCCCCCAAAAGATATGTCCAAATCCTAACCCCAGAACCTGTGACTATGACCTTATAAAAAAAAAAAAAAAAAAAAGGAGGCTGGTGTGGTGGCTCACGCCTGTAATCCCAGAACTTTGAGAGGTCAAGGCAGGAGGATCACTTGAGCTCAGGAGTTCAAGACCAGCCTGGCCAACATGGTAAAACCCTGTCTCTACTAAAAATACAAAAATTAGCTGGGTGTGGTGGCGTGCACCTGTAATCCCAGCTACTTGGGAGGCTGAGGCAGAAGAATTGCTTGAGCCCGGGAGGCAGAAGTTGCAGTGAGCTGAGGTCGCACCACTGCGTTCCAGTCTGGGTTAGAGTGAGACTCTGTCTCAAAAAAAAAAAAAAAAAAAAAAAAAGAGAGAGGAAGATTTGAGACCCAGGAACACCAGGATCACATGTGAATGGAGGCAGAGGCTGGAGCTATGCAGACACAAGCTAAGGGCTGTCTAAGGCCACCAGAAGCTGGAGAAGGCAGGAAGGACCCTCCCTAGGAACCCTGCCCACATTTGACTTGAGACTTCCGTTCTCCAGCGCTGTGAGACACAGCCCTGCAAGGAGTGCCCAGCTTGTGGCAGTTTGGTTGCGGCAGCCCTGGAGGAGGAGTCCCCCAGGGAAAGTGGAATCTCTCTTGCAGTCCACCATCCACATCCCCCGACTCACCTTCCGCTCTGCCAGTATCCTCCGTGAAAGAACAGGAAGAAAGGCAAGGCTGCAAAACCAAGCACAGGGCGTGTGAGCAAGGCCCGCCCTGCTGAGCTCTGCCACTGGACCCCCAAGCCCCGGGACCCCCAGCCCCTTCACCGACAACCTTCAGACGACTCGTCGGGGAAGTAAATGTCCACTTTCTCCCCTTCGCCGTCTCCATAGGGGACATGCAGCAGGCTCTTCCTGGTGGCCCGGGCCCTTGTGGTGGCTGTCTCAGAAATGGACAAGTCGCTGTCAGCACAAGCTCAGGTGGTAGAAATTTTTCTTTTCTTTTTTTTGAGACGAAGTCTCACTCTGTTGCCCAAGCTGGAGTGCAGTGGCGCGATCTCGGCTCACTGCAATCTCCACCTCCCCGGTTCAAGCGATTCTCCTGCCTCAGCCTCCCAAGTAGCTGGGACTACAGGTGCACGCCACTATGCCCAGCTAATTTTTATATATATATATATATTTTTTAGTAGAGACAGGGTTGTTGGCCAGGCTGGTCTTGAACTCCTGACCTCGTGATCCACCCACCTTGGCCTCCCAAAGTGCTGGGATTACAGGCATGAGCCACTGTGCCCAGCCAGGTGGCGGCAATTTCTATTTCAGCTCAGGTAGAAACATTCCAGCTGAAAGCTCCCTTAAGTTGGCGTGTTGAGCTTCAGCTCTGAGCACCTCCCATCGAAAGAGGACTGCCAGGCTGGGTGCAGTGGCTCACGCCTATAATCCCAGCACTCTGGGAGGCCGAGGCGGGTGGATCACGAGGTCAGGAGATCGAGACCACCCTGGCTAACATGGTGAAACCCTGTCTCTACTAAAAATACAAAAAATTAGCCAGGCGTGGTGGCAGGTGCCTGTAGTCCCAGCTACTCAGGAGGCTGAGGCAGGAGAATGGCGTGAATCCGGGAGGTGGAGCTTGCAGTGAGCTGAGATCACGCCACTGCACTCTAGCCTGGGGGACAGAGCGAGACGCCAACTCAAAAAAAAAAGACTGCCAGTCCTGACGTCTGTCAACAAGTGAACTGTGGTTCTGCGAGGACCCTTTTCAGCACGACTTTACTACACACTTATTATGTGCGCTATACTTTTTTGTTTTAAAGGACAGGGTCTCACTATATTGCCCAGGCTGGAGTACAGTGGCTATTCACAGGTGCAATCAAAGCATACTACAGTCTCAAACTCCCGGCGCCAAGCAATCCTCCAGCCTCAGCCTCCTGAGTAGCTGGGATTATGGGCCCGTGCCACCACACCTGGCTAATTTTTGTATTTTTAGTAGAGACGGGGTTTCACTGTATTGGCGAGGCTGGTCTCGAGCTCAACCTCAGATGATCCATCCACCTCGGCCTCCCAAAGTGCTGGGATTACAGGCATGAGCCACTGTGCCTGGCCTCTTGCTTTATTTTTTATCCTAGCATTCATCGTTTTTTTTTTTTTGCGACGGAGTCTTGCTCTGTCACCCAGGCTGGAGTGCAGTGGTGCCATCTTGGCTCACTGCAACTTCTGCCTCCTGGGTTCCAGCAATTCTCGTGCCTTAGCCTATATTTTCTAAAAATTAAAAAAAAAGTTATCTGGACGTGGTGGTGGACACCTATAATTCCGGCTACTCGGGAGGCTGAAGTGGGAGGATTACTTGAACCTGGGAGGCAGAAGCTGCAGTGAGCTGAGATTGCACCACTGCACTCCAGCTTGGGTGACAGAGCGAGATTCTGTCTCGAAAGAAAGGAAAGAAAGAAAGAGAGCATCCAGACCACTGGGAATGATCAGTCAGTAAACCCTGCCTCCCCTCCCACCGCAGCAACGCACTCCTAGTATTCACAGCTAGGACACTGCGCTCTTGGGAGAAGGAACCTGGTCTAGTCATCTTTGCAGGAACTCCCTGCTTTGCTGAAAATAAATATTGCATTTGTTTACCAGGGCAGCTGTAACAAAGTACTGCAAATTGAGTGTCTCACAGCAGTAGAACGTGATTCTCTCACAGTTCTAAAGGCCAGAAGTCTGAAATTAAGGTGTGGACACTGCCACACTCTGCCAATGCCTCTTTTGCCTCCTGCAGCTCCTGGTGGCTCCAGGCGTTCCAAGGCCTGGGGCTACGTCACTCCAGTCACCTCTGCCTCTTCCCGTCTCTGCCTCCGTCTTCACGTGGTCCCCTCCCTGTGTGTCCCTCCCTCTTCTGTCTCTTAGCAGGATAGCAGTCAATGGCATTTAGGGCCCACCCTAACCCAGAATGACTTGACTTTAGCTAATAACACCTACAAAGATGGTCTTTCCAAATAAGGAAATACCAACCGGGAACCTGCAATCCCAGCTGGTTACAGGGAGGCTGAGGCGGGCAGATCACTTGAGGTCAGGAGTTGAGACCATCCCGGCCAACATGGTAAAACCCTGTCTCTACTAAAAATACAAAAATTATCTGGGCGTGGTGGCGCGTGCCTGTAATCCCAGCTACTTGGGAGGCTGAGGCAGGACAATCGCTTGAACCCGGAGGCAGAGGTTGCAGTGAGCTGAGATCACACCACTGCACTCCAGCCTGGGCGACAGAGCAAGACTCTGTATCAAACAAACCAAACCAAACCAAACCAAAACAAAACACACCAAATAAGGAAATACCTTCATAGGTTCCCAGGGTTAGGATTTTCATAGGTTCCCAGGGTTAGGATTTGGACATATCTTTTTTTTTTTTTATGTCGTTGTGGGGGTCACCTTTATTTGGCACTGCAGATGCTAAACGTCTTACATAACACAGTTTTCAGAATTCTAGCTAGTCAGCAGAGACCTAAGGCCTCTGGGGGCCAGCCTGCAGGCCCATGCTCCACCTCTCCCATCCTGTCACCCCAAGGATCCAGATACCCCCTTCTCACAGCTGTGCTCAGGCACCATCAGGGGATCCTTGGGCTGCTGGGTTGATCTCCCCAAAAGAGGTGGAATCCAGTTCCCTGTAGAACCTGCATCTCAGAAAGGGCTCCGTGTATTAACGTGCAACTTGGGATCCCTGTCCCTGGAGGCCCCCTGGTCCCCAGCCTTGGTGGCCACAGCAGGCCTAGAGAAAAAAAAGCCTGGCCGGGCGCGGCGGCGCACACCTGCAATCCCAGCACTTTGGGAGGCCGAGGCGGGTGGACCACAAGGTCAGGCATTCGAGACCACCCTGGCCAATATGGTGAAACCCCATCTCTACTAAAAATACAAAAATTAGCCAGGCGTGGTGGCGCACACCTGTACTCCCAGCTACTCAGGAGGCTGAGGAAGGAGAATTGCTTGAACCAGGAAGCAGAGGTTGCAGCGAGCCGAGATTGCACCACTGCACTCCAGCCTGGGCAATAGAGCAAGACTGTCTCAAAAAAAAAGAAAAGAAAAAAAAAAACAACCGTGCTTCCCTCGGGTGGGTGATTCATTCTGCAACTCCAGAAGGGTAAACACGGCAGAGGAAGAAAAAGCATGGGGCTGAGAGCTTGTACGAATTGCGTCTATGCCAGAATGCAGAACCATAAACCGGGCTGTCTCCACTTCAGCTGGATGGATTAAAGCTGAGGGAAATCAAAGGGAAGTTGCCCATGGGCCAATCCAGGCAGGAAGCTGCCTTTGCAGAACGCCAGTGAGGTTGCAAAACCTGTTTTGCCAGCACCCACGTTACCAACCACTTGCCCCTGCAGGGCTCCCTGCGTACTGACGTACTGACGAGAAGCTATCTACGTACAGATGAGGAAACATCTCCAAGAAATACTAAGTGAAACTGGCAGGGTGGAACTGTGTGTACTACGGGGCCATTTGGATGAAAGGGAGGGGGAGTCTATATCCATATGAAGAACAGTGGCCACCTTGACGGGGGCCAGGGGAACTGGGCACACGAAAGGGAAGAGGAGTGAGCATTTCACTGAAAAGCCTTGTGTGGTTTTGGTTTTGTTTTGTTTTGTTTTGTTTTTTTGAGACAGAGGCTCGCTCTGTCGCCCAAGCTGGAGCCCACTGGTGCAATCTTGGCTCACTGCAACCTCCGCCTCTGGGGTTCAAGTGATTCTCCTGTCTCCTCCTTCTGAGCAGCTGGGATTACAGGTGTGCGCCACCACACCTGTCTAATTTTTTTTTTTTTTTTTTTTGAGACAGAGCTTTGCTCTTGTCACCCAGGCTGGAGTGCAACGGCGCAATCTCCGCTCACTCCAACCTCTGTTTCCTGGGTTCAAGTGATCTGCAACCTCTGCTTCCTGGGTTCAAGCGATTCTCCTGCCGCAGCCTCCCAAGTAACTGGGATTACAGGCACGCACCACCATGCATGGCTAATTTTTTTTTTTTTTGTATTTGTAGTAGAGATGGGGTTTCACCATATTGGCCAGGTTGGTCTCGAACTCCTGACCTTGAGTGATATCCCCGCCTTGGCCTCCCAAAGTGCTGGGATTACAGGTGCGAGCCAGTGCATCTGGCCCAGGCGAATTTTTGTATTTTTAGTAAAGATGGGTTTTCACGGTGTTGGCCAGGCTGGTCTGGAACTCCTGAATTCACTTTTTATTTTTGAGACACGGTTTCACTCTGTCACACAGGCTGGAGTGTAGTGGTGCAATCTCGGCTTACTGCAGCCTTAACCTCCTAGGTTCAAACAAGCTTCCCACCTCTGCCACCAGAGTAGCTAAGACTATAGGCGTGTGCCACCACGCCTGGCTAACTTTTGTATTTTTTGTAGGGACAGGGTTTCGCCATGTTGCCCAGGCTGTTCTCGAACTCCAGGGCTCAAGTGATCCTCCCACCTTAGCCTCCCAAGCACCACCACACCCAGCTAATTTTTAATTTTTTTGTAGAGACCAGGTCTTGCATGTTGCCAGCTGGTTTCGAACTCCTGGGCTCAAGCGTCCTCCTGCTTTGGTTTCCCAAAGTCTGGGATTACAGGCATGCGCCACCGGCCCCCTCTCTTTCTCAAACCACATCTGATCATCAGGAAATCCTTGGATGCCCCCTCCACTGCTTGTCCTGGGTCTAGAGTCTCCTCCCCATCTGCACTGAGACCACTCTGGTTGGATACCCTTTGACCTGTTCCCTGGAAGGCAGCAGCCACCCCTCTAGGCTCTTCCAGCTTCTACCCGGACTCCCTACAGCCACAAGCGTGAGCTGGTTATAACACGCTCACATCCATCCTGGGCTCCTGTCTGAGTCAGCCTGGGCGGCTATAACAAAATACCAGACTGGGGAAACTTAATGGAAATTTTATTTTCTCACAGTTCTGCAAACTGGAAGTCCAAGATCAAGGTGCCAGCAGGGTTGGTGTCTGATAAGCCCCAGGGCTGCAGACCTGCCACCAATCCTTTGCTGAAAGCCATCTGGGCTGTCTCCCAGGCCATGCTACCACAAACACCCCTGCTGTGAATAGCTTTGTACATCCATTACCATACCACTTGCAAGCATCTGTAGGACGCACTCTCAGGGGTAGAATTCTGGGTCAAAAGGCAGACGCATTTGTCACTGTGAGGCCATTGCCGGCTGCCATCCATGGGGGTTTGCCAACAACCCTGCCCCAGCACAGTGTGAAGACAATGTGCCTCACAGGCTCATCGGAGTGGCTTCATCAGAAGGTCGTGATTTAATTCACACAGGAGTTCTCAAGCCTATAAATGGACTAGATTAAAGTTGTGCTACGATTAAGAAAAACATCATGGAATTTATGTTCTAAGTGGAATGGCCATTAAAACCAAGCAGCTATAGGTGTTCATTATCATGCATAAGCCTCTCTCAGATATTAAAAAACTCTACTAACCTCGGGAAAGAGAAATTGCCTCTCTCTAGGAGAGGACAGCTGGGGTGCAGAGACAGAGAATGAAGTGACTCATGCCCCCCACAGAGGGCCCTCCAGTCCCTGAACCCCAGGGCAAGAACACAGGAGGGCTTCAGCAAGACACCCCAGAACAAACCTTATGGCAAACTTCCTTTCTCATTAAAGCAAAAGCTTCATTGCTATTATTTACAACTCAGGCTATGTGGAAATGGTGCTACGAACACGCGTGTAAAAATGCTTGTTTGAGTACCTGTTTTCAATTGTTTTGGGTTAGAAATAATTTCTGGGTTTTTTTTTTCAGATGGAGTTTCATTCTTTGTTGCCCAGGCTGGAGTGCAATGGCGTGGTCTCGACTCACTGCAACCTCCCCAACCTGGGTTCAAGCTATTCTCCCACTTCAGCCTCCCCGGTGGCTGGGATTACAGGCATGTGCCACTATGCCTGGCTCATTTTTGTATTTTCAGTAGAGAAGGTGTTTTGTCGTGTTGGCCAGGCTGGTCTCCAACTCCTGACCTCAAGTGATCTGCCCCCCTCTGGCCTCCCAAAGTGCTGGGATTACAGGCGTGAGCCTCTGTGCCTGGCTGGGTAGAAATAATTTCTTTTCTTTTTTTTCTGAGACAAGGTCTCGCTTTGTCACCCAGGCTAGAGTGCAGTGGTGCAATCTTTGCTCATTGCAACCTCTGCCTCCTGAGTTCAAGCAATTCTCTTGCCTTGGCCTCTCAAGTAGCTGAGATTATAGGCGCACGCCACCATGCCTGGCTACTTTTTGTGTTTTTAGTAGAGATGGGGTTTCACTATGTTGGCCAGGCTGGCCGTGAACTCTTGACCTCAAGTGATTCCCACCGCCTTGGCCTCCCAAAGTGCTGGGATTACAGGGATGAGCCATGGAGCCCAGCCTGGGTTAGAAATAATTTCTAATGCTACCATCCTGGCTAACACGGTGAAACCCCGTCTCTATTCAAAAAATTAGCTGGGCATGGTGGTGGGCGCCTGTAGTACCAGCTACTTGGGTGGCTGAGGCAGGAGAATGGCGTGAACCTGGGAGGCGGAGCTTGCAGTGAGCCAAGATCTTGCCACTGCACTCCAGCCTGGGTGACAGAGCAAGACTCCGTCTCAAAAACAAAAATAATAATAATAATAATAATTTATAATGCTGTGCATGGTATTAAAAACAGGACTGCAAGGCCGGGCGTGGTGGCTCTTGCCTGTAATCCCAGCACTTTGGGAGGCGGGCAGATGACCTGAGGTCGGGAGTTCCAGACCAGCCTGACCAACATGGAGAAACCCCATCTCTACTAAAAATACAAAATTAGCTGGACGTGGTGGCGCACGCCTGTAATCCCAGCTACTTGGGAGGCCAAGGCAGGAGAACTGCTTGAACCCAGGAGGCAGAGGTTGCGGTGAGCTGAGATCGCGCCATTGCACTCCAGCCTGGGTAACAAGAGTGAAACTCCGCCCCAAAAAAAAAAAAAACAGGACTGCAGGGCTGCACGCGGCAACTCATGCCTGTAGTCCCAGCACTTTGGGAGGTCGAGGCAGGCGGATCACCTGAGGCCAGGAGTTTGAGACCAGCCTGGCCAACATGGCGAAACCCTGTCTCTACTAAAAACACAAAAATTAGCCGGGCGTGGTGGTGCACATCTGCAATCCCAGCTATTCGGGCAGCTGAGGCACAAGAACTGCTTGAACCCAGGAGGTGGAGGTTGCAGTGAGATGACATAGCACCACTGCCCTCCAGCCTGGGCAACAGAGTGAGACTCTCCCTGTCTCAAAAGAAAAAAAAAAAGAAAGAAACTGTCCCCTTTAAACACTCACTCCCCATTCCTCCCTCCCCTTGCCCCTACCAACCACCATTCCATTTCTTGTCTTTATTAATTTGACTTCTCTAGGGACCTCATTTAAATGAAATCATACAGAATTTGAACTTTTGTATCTGGATAAAAAATATATACAGCATTTTGCTGACTGTAAAATGTATTTTTTTGGGCCGGGTACGGTGGCTCACGCCTGTAATCCCAGCACTTTGGTAGGCTGAGGCAGGTGGATCACCTGAGGTCGGGAGTTTGAGACCAGCCTGACCAACATGGAGAAACCCCGTCTCTACTAAAAATAAAAAATCAGCCAGGCGTGGTGGCACATGCCTGTAATCCCAGATACTCAGGAGGCTGAGGCAGGAGAATCGCTTGAACCTGGGAGGCGGAGGTTGCGGTGAGCCGAGATTGCGCCATTGCACTCCAAGCCTGGACAACAAGAGCAAAACTCCGTCTTAAAAAAAAAAAAGTATTTTTACTGAAGGTCACAGTAAAACTAATTTAAAAGCTAGTGGTAAAGGAAATGGTTCTTAAACCCCCTCTCTGCCAGCCTCCTGCGCCCTGACCATACTCACACAGCAGTTAGACTTTGTTCTCCCTGAGCCCAGATGAGGGCGGCCAGGCCTTGATGGGGATGAGGCTGTCTACTCATTAAAAGCGAACATCCCTCATTGCAAGTTAACAGGCTGGCATTGTAAGGACGAATACAAATAAAAAATGAGAAAAAATATAATTCTCCCTGGTGCAAAGAAGGCAAAGTGTGGCTCACGCCTATAATCCCAGCACTTTGGGAGGCGAGCAGATCACTCGAGGCCAGGAGTCCCAGACCAACCTGGCGAACATGGTGAAACCCCGCCTCTACTAAAAATACAAAATTAGCTGGCGTGGTGGCACGCGCCTGTAAATTCCAGCTACTCGGGAGGCTGAAACACAAGAATGTGAGACACAAGAATGGCTTGAACCCAGGAGGCAGAGGTTGCAATGAGCCAAAATCACGCCACTGCACTCCAGCCTGGGTGACAAAGCGAGGCCTTGTCTCAAAGAAAAAAAAAAAAAACCCAATACATAAAGAAATATGCAGCCTTGAACTCCAAGGCAGCAGTAATCCTCCCACTTCAGCCTCTCAAGTAGGTGGAACTGCAGGTGCACACTACGGCACCCTGCTAATTTTTAAATTTTTTTTTTTTTTTTTGAGATGGAGTCTCGCTCTGTCGCCCAGGCTGGAGTGCAGTGGCATGATCTCAGCTCACTGCAAGCTCCACCTTCTGGGTTCAAGCCATTCTCCTGCCTCAGTCTCCAGAGTAGATGGGACTACAGGTGCCCGCACCACGCCCAGCTAATTTTTTGTATTTTTAGTAGAGACAGGGTTTCACCGTGTTAGCCAGGATGGTCTCAATCTCCTGACCTTGTGATCTGCCCACCTCAGCCCCGCAAAGTGCTGGGATTACATGCGTGAGCTGCCACGCCTGGCCTTTAAATTTTTTGTAGAGGCAGGTTATTGCTATGTTGCCCAGGCTGGTCTCAAACTCCTGGCCTCAAAGGATCCTCGTGCTTTGACCTCCCACAGTACTGGGATTACAGGCGTGTGTGACAGTTCCTGGCCTCTTTTTTTTTTTTCCTTTTTAATCCTTTCCTTTTAATTTTCTTTCATTCATATGACTTGAAGTTTCAATAGTGCGTGCTTTTTACATCTGACATTCTTTCTCAATAGGGTCAGCTCTTTTTATCACTCAAGACAATTAAGACAGGCAAATAGGTTTGCTTACAGCTTTTTTTTTTTTTTTTTTTTTTTTTTTTGAGACAGAGTCTCGCTCTGTCGCCCAGGCTGGAGTGCAGTGGCGCGATCCCGGCTCACTGCAAGCTCCACCTCCCAGGTTCACACCATTCTCCTGCCTCAGCCTCCTGAGTAGCTGGGACTAGAGGCGCCCGCCACCATGCCTGGCTAATTTTTTATATTTTTAGTAGAGATGGGGTTTCACCGTGTTAGCCAGGATGGTCTCGATCTCCTGACCTCATGATCCGCCCGCCTCGGCCTCCCAAAGTGCTGGGATTACAGGCATGAGCCACCACGCCTGGCTGCTTACAGCTCTTGTATGTTTCACCACACTCATGTATTTATCGAGCAAATAGAGATGAATTTGGATCAGAGCTGAGCACAGCAAGGAACATGAAGAGCCCAGGAAACAGCTCCCCCCCAATCTATTGAGACAGGAGGATGGTGGAATTGCTGGAATACACTTCTAACAAGTCTGTTCCTCCTCCTGGGTTCTCTCCGCTTAGAAAACCACCAAGCCCAGGAGCCCAGGCATCTGCCTCTGAAAGGCTGTGTTGAGCCTGCTGCAACAGAGCTAATTTGCCAAGCATGGTTGGCTGCGTCCTCACCTACACTTCCTCCTCGGGGCCTGCTCCCCATCCCAGCACGGATGCATTACCAGGTGTTCAGATCGTGGTACAGCACTTTGCAGATACAGGGTAGAGATGGAAATGGACCTTAAGACTTCACTAGTTTACAGGTTCCCAAGTCCAGATTTCTTTAAAGAAAGAAAAGGTGAAAGTCCAGGCACGGTGGCTCATACCTGTAATCCCAGCACTTTGGGAGGCCGAGGCAGGTGGATGACCTGAGGTCGGGAGTTTGAGACCAGCCTAACCAACATGGAGAAACCCCATCTCTACTAAAAATACAAAATTAGCTGGGCTTGGTGGCACAGGCCTGTAATCCCAGCTACTCAGGAGGCTGAGGCAGAAGAATCGCTTGAACCTGGGAGGTGGAGGTTGCAGTGAGCCGAGATTGCACCTTTGCACTCCAGCCTGGGCAGCAAGAGCAAAACTCCGTCTCAAAAAAAAAAAAAAAAAAAAAGTCCAGCCATGGTGGCTCACACCTGTAATCCTAGCACTTTGGGAGGCCGAGGAGGGCGAATCACCTGAGGTCAGGAGTTCAAGACCAGCCTGACCAACATGGAGAAACCATATCTCTACTAAAAAAAAAAAAAAATACAAAACACTTAGCAGGGCGTGGTGGCGCATGCCTGTAATCCCAGCTACTCAGGAAGCTGAGGCAGGAGAAGCACTTGAACTCAGGAGGCGAAGTTAGCGGTGAGTCGAGATCATGCCATTGCACTCCAGCCTGGGCAACAAGAGCGAAACTCTGTCTCAAAAACAAAAAAAAGAAAGAAAGAAAAGGCGGCCAGGCACGATGGCTCATGCCTGTAATCCCAGCACTTTGGGAGGCCGAGGCAGCCAGATCACGAGGTCAAGAGATGGAGACCATCCTGGCCAACATGGTGGCCCCATCTCTACTAAAAATACAAAAATCAGCTGGGTGTGGAGAGGTGCGCCTATAGTCCCAGCTACTCAGGAAGCTGAGTCAGGAGAATCGCTTGAACCCGGGAAGCAGAGGTTGCAGTGAGCTGAGATCGCGCCACTGCACTCCAGCCTGGGCAACAGAGCAAGACTCAGTCTCAAAAAAAAAAGAGGCTTCATTGCTTTTTTTTTTTTTTGAGACAGGGTCTCACTGTTACCCAGGCTGGCATGCAATGATGTAATCTCAGCTCACTGCAACCTCTGCCTCCCAGGTTGAAGCAATTCTCATGCCTCAGGTTCCCGAGTAGCTGGAATTACAGGTGTCCAGCTAATTTTTGTATTTTTTTGTAGAGATAGGGTTTTGCCATGTTGGCCAGGCTGGTCTTGAACTCCTGGCCTCAAGTGATATACCTGCCTCGGCCTCCCAAAGTATTGCTTTTTAGGAATAGTGACCGCATTCCACATTCAGCAGCGGATGGGGAACGTTCCTCTGTTCACTTCACCTCCCTATGCCAACCACAGCCCGCAGCCTTACGGGCCTGGGTATGGATGGCTGAGCAAGAAAGGCCAGGCATGGTCGACTGAGCCGTGGACCTCCCCCGGACCTCTCCTGCCTCCAGTAGTCCCTGCAGCAAGGGGTCCTGGGCACCTGCCCCTGAGCAGGGAGGTTTATAAAGTGCCTGGTGTTTGGGAAATGCCCCTCGAGGCCCAGGTGGTGCAGCACAGCCCCCCCAACCCCCAGCATTCTGAATCACTGCCACATGCTTAAGGACACCCAATGCGGCCACGGAGAGGTCACACTAGTACCTTCAATTCCTATCTGTGAGTAGGTCCTCAAGGCTTCCTCTGCTCCCAGTCGGACAACCCATCGGCTGGGACAGTACTGATTCTCCAGCTCCTGCAGGGCACAAACATGAGGCTCCGTAAGACTTTCCTTCTCAACAGAGTGTGCCCCTCCCCCTCGCCCATGCCCGGCTGCTCCTCTCTGCCTTAGAAGCCCTCGCCCCAGTATCCCAGGGTCTCCAAGATGCCCTCAGATCCATGGTCTAGAGGTATACCAGCGACCGCTGTGCCTTTAGCCAGCTGGCAGCCTTAAGGGGAGATGAGGTCCCCCAAACGAATTCAGTTAATGCCATCATGGGCACCACTCCCACAGCAGTTACGACCAGGGGAGGCCAGGTGGCCCGGTGGCTCACGCCTGTAATCCTAGCACTTTGGGAGCCTGAGGCAGGTGGATCACTTGAAGTCAGAAGTTTGAGACCAGCCTGGCCAACATGGCAAAACCCCATCTCTACTGAAAACAAAAACTAGCCGAGCGTGGTGGTGTGCACCTGTAATCCCAGCTACTTGGGAGGCTGAGGCAGGAGAATTGCTTAAGCCTGGGAGGTGGAGGTTGCAGTGAGCCGAGATCGCACCACTGCACTCCAGCCTAGCGACAGAGCAAGACTCTACCTCAAAAAAATTAAAAAAGGAGGAGCTGATCTGCGCTGAGAGGGTGCGATTCTGACCACAGGAGGTCACTGCACAGTCAAAGGCACAGAGGTGAGGAGGAAGGAATGAAAGGTCAGTTTGCAAATGCTGGCAGGCCCTATGGCTGACACACAGAGGTGAGGCTGGGAGGCTGGGCTGGAGGAGGAGGGGCGGTGAATGTCGGGCTAACACCTTCACACTTTATGCAGAAAGTAACAAGGAACCATTCTGAGGCAGTTTGGAGAATTAAAAAAAGAAAAAAAAAAACAGAGGCTGGGCGCGGTGGCTCACGCCTGTAATCCCAGCACTTTGGGAGGCGGAGGCGGGATCACGAGGTCAGGAGTTCAAGATCAGCCTGACCAACATGATGAAACCCCATTTCTACTAAAAATACAAAAATTAACCAGGCATGGTGACGCGCGCCTGTAATCCCAGCTACTCAGGAGGCTGAAGCAGGAGAATAGCTTGAACCAGGGAGGCAGAGGTTGCAGTGAGCCGGGATCATGCTACTGCACTCCAGCCTGGGCGACAGAGTGAGACCCCATCTCAAAAAAAAAAAAAAAAAAACCAACAGAAAATGCTGGACACGGTGGCTCTCGCCTGTAATCCCAGCACTTTGGGAGGCCAAGATAGGCAGATCACTTGAGTCCAGGAGTTCCAGACCAGTCTGGGCAATATGGCGAAACACTATCTCTACGAAAAATATGAAAAATCAACCGGGCATGGTGGTGGACACCTGTAGTCCTAGCTATTCGGGAGGCTAAGGCAGGAGAATCGCTTGAGCCCAGGAAGCAGAGATTGTAGTGAGCCAAGATTGCGCCATTGCACTCCAGCCTGAGAGAGCAAAACCCTGTTTCAAAAAAAAAAAAACAAAACACTGGGCGTGGTGGCTCACACCTGTAATCCCAGCACTTTGGGAGGCTGAGGCGGGTGAATCACCTGAGGTCAGGAGTTCGAGACCATCCTGGCCAACATGGTGAAACTCCGTCTCTACTAAAAATACAAAAATTAGCTGGGCATGGTGGCGGGCGCCCGTAATCTCAGCTACTCGGGAGGCTGAGGCAGGAGAATCGCTGGAACTCGGGAGGTGGAGGTTGCAGCGAGCTGAGATCCCACCATTGCACTCTAGCCTGGGTGACAACAGCGAGACTCCATCTCAAAAAAAAAAAAAAAAAAAAGTAACAAGGAACCAGATTTTGAAGAAAGGGCTCAAAACCATCATGAGAAATGGGAAGTCAGGGCAGCCTCATGGCAAGGCCTGAGGTCAAATGCCATCTGACCTCCCTCACTTACTTACTGTTTTATCCTCAACAAGTTACTTAGTCTCTGAGATTCAGTTTCCTGACTGGTAGAAGGTATCTATCCAGGCCCGGCACAGTGGCTCACACCTGTAATCTCAGCACTTTGGGAGGCCGAGGCGGGTGGATCACTTGAGGCCAGGAGTTCAAGACCAGTCTGTCCAACATGGCGAAACCCCATCTCTATTAAAAATACAAAAATTGGCCAGGCGCAGTGGCTCATGCCTGTAAACCCAGCACTTTGGGAGGCCAAGGGGGGCGGATCATGAGGTCAGGAGTTGGAGACCATCCTGGCTAACACAGTGAAACCCCATCTCTACTAAAAATACAAAAAAATTAGCCGGGCATGGTTGCGGGCGCATGTAGTCCCAGCTACTCAGGAGGCTGAGGCCGGAGAATGGCGTGAACCCTGGAAGAAGAGGTTGCAGTGAGCCCAGATCGCGCCACTGCACTCCAGCCTGGGCGATAGAGCGAGACTCTGTCTCAAAAGAAAAAAAAAAAAAATTAGCCAGGCATGTAGTACCAGCTACAGTGTGCCTGTAATCCCAGCCACTCGGGAGGCTGAGGCAGGAGAATCACTTGAACCCGGGAGGTAGAGGTTGCAGTGAGCCGAGATCATGCCACTGCACTCCAGCCTGGGTGACTGAGCGAGACTGTGTCTCAAAAAAAGAAGGCATGTATCCAAATCACAAGGTTAAAAGAGATAAAGCATGCGAGTAAAATAAAGCAAGCCAGTCAGTGTGGGTTGCTTCTTCCTCCCAGTGAAGGAGCTCTTTGTCAGAGGTCCTTGGATCTGTCCAATCTGTACCTGGAAAGGTTATTACCTGTAGGATCCTTACAGCCACACCTGGCACACTCTGTGATCACTACCACCATCTTTGTTGCTATTATTTATGATCATGATTATACAATGGGTTTCTTTTCTTTCTTTCTTTTTTTTTTTGAGCCACCGCACCCGGCCTGTATGTTTCTAACCTTCACAACCCCAATGTAAATACCAGCTGTTCTGAATCCTTCAGCCTGTGCCACATAAGCACAGACCCAAAAACATTGTGTAACCTCAGATCAAGGTCCAGAACTTTGTCCCCTAACCTCCTGCGGGTCTATGGATTTTTTTTTTTTTTTTTTTTTTTTTTTTTGAGACTAAGTCTTGGTCTATCGCCCAGCCTTCCAGGCTGGAGTACAAATGGCATGATCTCGGCTCACTGCAACCTCCACCTCCTGGGTTCAAGCGATTCTCCTGTCTCAGCCTCCCCAGTAGCTGGGATTACAGAGGTACATCACCACGCCCGGCTAATTTTTGTATTTTTAGTAGAAACGGGGTTTCACCATGTTGGCCAGGCTGGTCTCGAACTCCTGACCTCGTGATCCGCCAAAAGTGCTAGGATTACAGGTGTGAGCCGCCACGCCTGGCAGGGTCTACGGATATTATTAGCATAGTCAGGACTTCAATTTTCTTTATCCTGAAAACCAGGTTAACAAAAATCCTTAGGAGAAGGTAAAATACACCATGGTGCTCAAGCACTGGGGACCTGGCACGCACTAGGCGCTCTGCATGCCCACAGGAGTGCTCTAGACGGCTTCTAAGCTTCCTTCTTGGAATTCCAATCTAATAAATGAGCTAACTCCGCCCCAGCCCCTTAGTCCCTCCCTGCAATCCACCTACCTCTGCAGACATCTTCTTCCAAGGAACCTTGCTTGGGAAACCCACACCAGACACATCCATCATGGCGTCTACAGCCGCATGGGCGTGCGTCCCTCTGTTTATATGGCCAGAGCCCCGCCTCGCTCCGCCCCTTTAAACTTGGTGGGCGGACCGAGGCGGGGCTCAGACCAGGCCCCACCCCGATCAGCCACGTCCATCGCCCTGATTTCCAGGCCCTCCCAGTCCCTGGGCGCACGTCCCGGATTCCTCCCACGAGGGGGCGGGCTGCGGCCAAATCTCCCGCCAGGTCAGCGGCCGGGCGCTGATTGGCCCCATGGCGGCGGGGCCGGCTCGTGATTGGCCAGCACGCCGTGGTTTAAAGCGGTCGGCGCGGGAACCAGGGGCTTACTGCGGGACGGCCTTGGAGAGTACTCGGGTTCGTGAACTTCCCGGAGGCGCAATGAGCTGCATTAACCTGCCCACTGTGCTGCCTGGCTCCCCCAGCAAGACCCGGGGGCAGATCCAGGTGCGGGGGCCAGCCCTGCGCGTGGCTGGGGATGAGGTGGTCGTGGTGATAGCCTGTGTCCAGGCATCCGCGCAGGGCGGGCCCTCAAATGACCTCACCTTCTCTCCTAGGTGATTCTCGGGCCGATGTTCTCAGGAAAAAGGTAATGGCTTCGCGGGGCTGGGGTGGAGCTCCTTCCTCTTCTCCGGGGACCCCTTGTCCCGTCCCTCCCCTCCCCTTCCCTCCCCTCCCCTCCCCTCCCCTTCCCTTCCCTCCCCTTCCCTTCCCCTAGAAGGACCAGCACAGCCTCCTACAGCTCCCGCCTGGGGTGCTCCTCCCTTGAATTCAGTCCAGGAGGAAGTCTCTGCCCTCTTCTGCCCAGGCCAAGCCCCTCGTCCTGTGTGGACGCCACTCCCTCCTGGAGCTGGTGACAGCTGCTTACAGCTTAGCTGTCTTCCCCA
Source organism: Homo sapiens (assembly GCF_000001405.40). NCBI lineage: Eukaryota > Metazoa > Chordata > Mammalia > Primates > Hominidae > Homo > Homo sapiens. The sequence continues at coordinate 78,186,488 of NC_000017.11, read as the reverse complement.
CCAAGTCCTCTGAGAAGGTGGCAACCAGTTGTGTCCCCTGTAGGCCAGGCCTTTTTGTACACCCCTATTCAATGTGGCTGTTTCCTTCTAAGGCCAAGGAAACGTAGTCGCTTTCTAAACCAAGGAGTCTGAAGCCGTGGAGCCTCTGCTCTCCTGAGGTGATAGAACCATTCCCTGACCCGGGTGGGGCTAGTGAGTTTCTTGAGTAAACTACCCACGCACCATTCTTTTTGTTTTGTTTTTGTTCTTCTAGAGGTAGGATCTTGCTATGTTGCCCAGGCTGGTCTCAAACTCCTGGGCTCAAGCAATTCTCTCACCTCAGCCTCCCAAGTAGCTGGGACTACAGGCGTGCACCCCCCCGCCTCCACCCAGCTAATTTTATTTTATTTTTATAGAGCTGGGGTCTTGCTATGTTGCCCAAGCTGGTCTTGAACTCCTGGTCTCAAGCAATCCTCCTACTTCAGCATCCCAAAGTGCTGGGATTACAGATGTTAGCCACCATGCCCTGCCCCAACATTCTTTTATGGCCCTGGGGATCACTTCAGCTCAAACCCCTTGCTCAGGAAGATGTGGCTCAGAGTTGGACTTCTTGGACCCAGAAGCAAGTGCTTTTGACGCTGCACACAAAGACTTTCTGAAATTAATTTAGAAAAGCTGTATGCCAGGTGTGGTGGCCCACGCCTTTAATCCCAGCGCTTTGGAAGGCTGAGGTGCGTTGATCACTTGAGGTTAGGAGTTTGAGACCACCCTGGTCAACGTGGTAAAACCCCATCTCTACTGAAAAAAAAAACCAAAAATTATCTGGGCATGGTGGCAGCCTCCTGTAATCCCAGCTACTCGGGAGGTTGAGGCAGGAGAATCTCTTGAACCCGGAAGGCAGGGGTTGCAGTGAGCTGAGATCGCTCCACTGCACTCTAACCTAGGCAACAGAGCGAGACTCCACCCCAAAAAGAAAGAAAGAAAAACTCTGAACTCTGGGAACAACTCTGGGATGAGGTTACTTTGGAATGCAGTCGCAGGTTCCCTCTACATGTAGCCTTTGCTTCTGCCTTCCCCACTACATCTTGGAGAAGGTTACTCCTCCCACACTTCCTGGGACCACCTGAGTACCATTCCTGGACCTCTTCCCCATAGAGAATTCTGACTTCCAACCCTCTTTGTAGGGATATTATACCCTGCCTGCTCTGCCCTGCTCTTTTCTGGCTGTGGTGGGCTCAGTCTGCATACCACTAGGGACAATGAGGAGCCAGGCTTGTTGGGGAGGGGTCTCCTTCTCCCACTCCTCCCGCCGTGGACCTCACCTGACCCTCTCTCCTCTTGCAGCACAGAGTTGATGAGACGCGTCCGTCGCTTCCAGATTGCTCAGTACAAGTGCCTGGTGATCAAGTATGCCAAAGACACTCGCTACAGCAGCAGCTTCTGCACACATGACCGGTCAGTCCCTGCCCCCTGCAGTCCTGTCCAGTGGAAAATCACAAGGCACAGGACACACTGTTAGGACTCTCTTTAATGGGGATGGTTAATCATTTGAACATTGAATGATTCAAATCAGCACACTTTCCAAGGTGCTTGGCAAGGTAGCGCACACTCTCCACTCCCTGGGCTGGAGCCAGTGGTTCTCCACTGAGGGTGATTTTGCCGCCAGGGTCCATTTGACAATGTTTGAAGACATTTCTAGTTGTTGCAACTGGAGGGGGGAGGGGATGCTTTTGGGCTTTAATGTGTAGAAATCAGGGACACTGCTGCTAAGGGTCCTATGGTGCAGAGGACGGCCCCCATGCAAGAACGAGCTGGCCCCAAATGTCAGGAGCCTGCCAGTGTTCAGAAACTCTGCCGTAGGGTTTCAGCTTCACACAGGCTGCAGACTGGTTTGGTTTGGCCTGCACGTTGATTTTTGTTTAATTTTTTAGTTGTCCGTTGTTGGCTGGCTCCCCCGTCACCTGGCAGCCTTCACGCTTCCCTGTTTTATGTGTAGCTGTTTGAGCTCGCTGGACATTTCCGCCTGCAACCTCAGTTTGGGAGTTAAATTCACTTCCTTGGCAGCAGATGTGGGCCTGATGTTTCTGAGCCTGAGACGCTTTGCTTGGTCCTCTGGACTTGTCCACCTGGGCACCCAGTGGCAAAGCCATGCTGTGCCACACATTATAGGGCTTCAGCCTCAGAGCCCTGGCTGGGAGCTGTATCCGAGAGTTGCTATGGCTGTGCAGAGAACAGATCCACCCGGCGTGTGGCCTTCGGTGGGAGCTGAGGGGCTCCTGAAGCCAGATGCTGGTGGAGTGGAGGGTGCTTGGGGCTTGGAGTTGCATGTGGGAATTTAACCGCACTTCGTGACCATGCTGTCTGATGTAGGTCATTTACTTTTCCAAATTTGCTTCCTCATTCCTAAGATGCGATGTCCACGGCACAGGGTGGTGTTACACCTGGTGGGGACAGGGAAAGCAGAGGAGGTCACTTCGTTCCAGCTGTTGGAAGTACAACTTCTGGAGTCAGTCAGATCCGGGATTAAATATGAGTTCTGCCCGTGTGTCACAAGTCATCTCTAACACGGGCCACAGAGGCCAAGGCTGGGCCAGCAGCATTGATGGCTCGAGAGGCTGCCCTTGCAGGGGCCACAGCTGGCCTCCCACCTGCCCTCACTTTGTCTTTCTCTGTTTAGGGAGGGAAGAGGGAATTTAAAATGCCCAAAATACTGTTTCACACATTCTTTCCAGAACTCGAAGTAGGATTATAGCAAGGTAATAACGAAACAATAGTTGTAAAGTATGTTTTTTTGTTTGTTTGTTGTTTGTTTTTGGGACAGGGTCTCTCTCTGTCACCCAGGCTGGAGTGCAGTGGCTCAATCATAGCTTACTGTTACGTGACCCCAAACCCTTGGGCTCAAGTGATCGTCCCACCTCAGCCCCCTGAGCAGGTGGGACTACAGGCGCACACCACCACACCCAGTTAATTTTTACATTTTTTTCACACAGTGTCTCGCTGTGTTACCCAGGCTGGTCTCGAACTCCTGAGTTCAAGTGATCCTCCCGTCTTGGCCTCCCCAAAGATTACGGGCATGAGCTGCTGTGTCTGGCCAGAATACAGGATTTTAAAAATTTATGTTTTGCAACATAATTAATATAAAGACAAATATAACCCAGGCCCAGTTCTAGTTATTCATTCTTCTGAATTTTAAAAGGAAACATTTGGCTGGCCCCTAATGGTATCATGGGCCCTGGTACCTGATGAAGTTGGCCTAGTCTGCCCCCAGCTCCTGAACAGTGGAAGAGTTTTTAGTCTCATTGAGCTTTGTACTGGACATTACTAATTTCTAATCCAAAGCATCAAGTGAAGTGGCTTGTATAAATAACTGGTTTTCCTCTGGGAGGCTAAGGCGGGTGGATCACTTAAAAGTTAGGAGTCTGAGACCAGCCTGGCCAACATGGTGAAACCCCATGTCTGCTAAAAATACAAAAATTAGCTGGGTGTGATGGTGTGTGCCAGTAGTCCCAGCTACTCTTGTGGCTGAGGTGGGAGAATCGCTTGAGACCCTTGAGAATTGGGAGGTAGAGATTGCAGGGAGCCGAGATGGCGCCACTGCACTCCAGCCTGGGTGACAGAGCAAGACTCTGTTTCATAAAAAATAAATAAATAACTGGTTTTCTGGACGAGGGCCTTTCCCATAGGTGCTAACTTCTCAAAGCCCGGCTGGGTGAACACTGAGCCTGCTTTGCAGGTAGCAGGTGGTCACGACAGTGCCATTCCCTGGCCCCTGCATTGTGGCTTCTGGCCTCCCTGGCCCTGCTCACGCTCTGGCTTTCTCTTCCCAGGAACACCATGGAGGCACTGCCCGCCTGCCTGCTCCGAGACGTGGCCCAGGAGGCCCTGGGCGTGGCTGTCATAGGCATCGACGAGGGGCAGTTTGTAAGTTGGCTTGTCTTGGCATCACTCTTCCTGCCAGCTTCCGCTCTGTCCTCCCGTTTTCCCTCGCTGACTTGGAAGTTATCTGATCTTTTAGTAAAATAACAAGGTTAAATAGCTACAACTAGTGTTGGAATACCCTCTGAAGGCCCCTTTCTAGTTTCCCTGTCATAGTGTCATAGTCTTGTAGGATTCGTTTTACTTTTTTTTTTTTTTTTTTGAGACGGAGTTTTGCTCTTGTTGCCCAGGCCGGAGTACGATGGCACAATCTCACCGCAAACTTTGCTTCCTGGGTTCAAGCAATTCTCTCCTGTCTCAGCCTCCCGAGTAGCTGGGATTACAGGCATGCGCCACCACGCCCAGCTAATTTTATATTTTTAGTAGAGATGGGGTTTCTCCATGTTGGTCAAGCTGGTCTCAAACTCCCAACCTCAGGTGATCCGCCCCGCCTTGAACTCCCAAAGCGCTGGGATTACAGGCATGAGCTACCACACCTGGCCATTGTACCTTTTTAAAAATACATATATCTATTTACTGGCAAGATGCAGTGACTCACACCTGTAATCTCAGCCTGTGGGAGGCCAAGGTGGACAGATCACTTGAGCCCAGGAGTTGGAGACTCACCTGGGCAACATAGTAAAACCCCATCTCTACCAAAAAAAAAAAGAAATTAGCCAGTCATAGCAGCGCACACCTGTGGTCCCTGCTACTCAGGAGGCTGAGGCAGAAGGATGGAGCCTGGGAGGTCGAGGCTGCAGTGAGTGGTGATAGCACCACTGCACTCCAGCCCGGGCGACAAGGCCAGACCCTGTCTCAAAAAAAAAAGGGGGAGGTGGGGAGTAATGTTTGGTTTGCCTCATGGTTCCTTTTGCTTGTTTCTTATACGTTTATTTTCTTGTTGTTGAAGTACCTTTTTTAGTAGTTTTTGCAGCCAGGAGGTATAGATGGGAAGCTGCCAGTCTTTGTATGGAAATCTTTCTTTTGTCATCTAGTTTAAGCTGGGCAGCAAGAGGTAGGTTGATCTTGTGTGGGTTTGGGTTTTTTTTTTTTTTTTGAGACGGAGTCTTACTCTGTCGCCCAGGCTGGAGTGCAATGGCGTGATCTCGGCTCACTGCAACCTCTGCCACCCGGATTCAAGCGATTTTCCCACCTCGCCTCCCAAGTAGGTGGGATTACAGGCACCCACCATCATGCCTGGCTAATTTTTGTAGAGACAAGGGTTCACCATGTTGGCTAGGCTGGTCTTGAACTCCTGACCTCAGGTGATCCACCCGCCTTGGCTTCCCAAAGTGTTGGAATTACAGGCATGAGCCGCCGTGCCCGGCCTTTTTAATTTTTATTTTTTTTGAGATGGAGTCTTGCTCTGTTGCCCTGGCTGGAGTGGAGTGACGTGATCTTAGCTCACAGCAACCTCCGCCTTTTGGGTTCAAGCAGTTCTGCCTCATCCTTCCGGGTAGCTGGGATCACAGGTGCGTGCCACCATGCGTAGCTCATTTATGTATTTTTAATAGAGATGGGGTTTCACCATGTTGGCCAGCTGGTCTGGAACTCCTGACCTCAGGTGATCCGCATGCCTCAGCTCCCAAAGTGCTGGGATTACAGGCGTGAGCCACCACGCCTGGTCTTGATCTTGTTGCTTTGAAAAGTAGCAGCGCTGGTCATTGTGTTTTTGCTCAGAGGAAGGCCGCCATCTCTCTAATGTTACCTCTGGTCAGGTATTCTATCTGTTCTCTCTCAGCACAATGTGTGTAGGGGAAGCTTTGTTTCATTTATCCTGCTTTATAGCTGGTGTGCCTTTTCATTTCTGGGGAAGGAATGAAGCCATTATCACTTCAGGTATTTCTCTCCTCATCCATCTCTGAGGTGTTCTGGGTTCCATCTTCCAGAGTGTGTTTTGTTTCAGTGACTATTTTTACATCTGCTGCTCTAATTCATCATGCTCCGTTTTGTTTGACAAGTTACTGTTGGGTTATTTTTAAATTTATGCTGTTCCTTCCATTATGTTCCTGAAAATCTTTTCTTAGACTTTTCCAGATTTTTCTATTTCCTCAGGAACATATTCTGTGGTTGAGTTTCTGGGTTATTTTCTGTTATCTTAGTTTTCTTTCCTCTGCTTTGGAGATTTTATTTTTGTTAGTTTATCACAAAGAATGAAACTGAAACTCTCTCCAAGGGGTTTAGCAGACTTGACCTCTTAGGTACTTTTAGGGTTGCCTCGAAGTACACAATGTGGTGGTTTGATATAAACATAACAGGAATTTATTTCTCGCTCACAGACCCCCTACGTGGTTCCAGGCCGGTTGATGGGGAGGCCGCCCACGAGGCGGCTTAGGTCGCCCTGGCTGGCTGTATACAGACACGGAGGGGAAGAGACGTGGCGGAGCCCCTGGGTGTGAGGTTTTCATGGGCCTGACCAGAAGCTGCAAACGTCACTTCTGCTGATCTTTCAAAGACTAGAACCTGGGCACAGGGCCACCTATACGTTTAGTATACTTAGTCCAGTTCGTTTTTTGTTTGTTTTTAAAAACAGTCTTGCTCTGTGGCCCAGGCTGGAGTGCAGTGGCGCAGTCTCGGCTCACTATAACCTCCATCTCCCAGGTTCAAGTGATTCTCCCGCCTCAGCCTCCTGAGTAGCTGGGATTACAGGCTTCTGCCACCATGCCCAGCTAACCTTTTGTATTTTTAGTAGAGACGGGGTTTCATCATGTTGACCGGGCTGGTCTGGAACTCCTAACCTCAGGTGATCTGCCTGCCTCAGCCTCCCAAAGTGCTGGGATTACAGGCGTGAGCCACCACGCCTGGCCACACTTAGTCTAGTTCTATACCCTGGAGGAAGAATAAATGAGTTGGTTTGGTGAGTGCTTCGAGGTCTCTACCCGCCCTGCCTCCCAGCACAGAGCCAGGCCGCTCTGGCCTGAATACCCTGCCCGGACGTCACAGGGCCTGTCCCCTCAAAAGGCCAGTCCTGCCTTCCTGGTTCTGTTCTTGCCCAACATTCTGTATGAGTCACAGCTGCAAATTCCATTCCCGTGGGGAGGCTGACGGGTCCCTTCCCCTGTGCGGGGCATCTGCCCTGTGGAGTTGAGGCTGCCAGTGTCCGCTCTGGGTTCCCGACCACCCGGCAGCTGGCATCTCCTCCCCGCTTGGGTATGGCCATTCCGTTTCTGACCTTCAGAGGTGCGCCCCTGAGCACCCCCATGCCTCTGCGTACGTGGAGACGTCGTTGTTGCTGCCCCGTGCTTGAGGGACTCCTGGCGAGAAAGTGAGCCCAGGCTGGGAATAGGGCTGCAGCTGTTCTCTTTTGCTCCCAAACTGTGGCCTCAGAATGCATCCAGGGATTTTGCATCAGCTTTGGGGACATGGCCCTCTCAGAACAAGGAAGCTTCAGCTTTGGCAAGGCTCTCCCTCCTTCAGACCTGCCGCTGTGAGTTGTTCAATAGCTCTGTTCTCCTGGCTCTGCGTAAACCTTGTTGACAGAGGCTGACCCAGACCCCCGAGGCAGAAACCTTTCCCTTCTCCTTCCTCGACATCCAAATGCCCTGAGTCAGGAGCCAGCGTATGAAGTCCTGTCCCCTGTTCAGCCTATAGGAGGGATTTCTCGGTCTACTTCCTCCCTGGCCAGCAAGTAAAACTTGAGTTCATTCAGTGAGTATTTATTACACCCTACCCAGACATCAGCATTCTGCCCTGGCCTCTGTGTGCCCTTGTTCTCTTCAAGAAGTTCCGGGTCACCAGCCTGACCAACATGGAGAAACTCCGTCTCTACTAAAAATACAAAAATTAGCCAGGCGTGGTGGCGCATGCCTGTAATCCCAGCTACTTGGGAGGCTGAGGCAGGAGAATCGCTTGAACCCGGTAGGCGAAGGTTGCAGTGAGCCAAGATCGCCCCATTGCACTCCAAGCCTGGGCAACAACAAGAGCAAAACTCAGTCTCAAAACAAAACAAAACAAAAGAAGTTCAGGGTCTTCCCATTGCAAGCAGTTCTAGATCGAGGAGAGGGGTTCCTAGCATGGGACCCAGCAGAAGGACTGTCCTTCGCTCCTTCATTGTCTACGTGGACAGTGGATGAAGCCCAGCCGAACCTGCCTTGTTCCCGTTTTCTGGGTCAGCAGGGAAAGCCTTTCACAGAGTAGCCACCGTGCCATCCTGAGGAAGGCCCTGGGTCAGAAGCTTCTGTGCTTCTTTGTACCCCGGGCGAGACACACAGGTGCTCACACTGCTCTGTAGAAACTGTTGGCATCCAAGAGAGACTCACCTGGAAATCTCTGGAAAACCTGAAGCTCCTAGCTGGGGGTGCTGTGCTTCAGATGCTGGTGGTGGGTGGGCACCCTTGCATCAACAGCTGCACAGTGTGTGGTGGGCTTGCAGGGTCGCTTGGCAATAGTAGGAGCTCTGATTTATTTTTTTAAACTTTTTTTCTGGCTGGGCACGGTGGCTCACACCTGTAATCCCAGCACTTTGGAAGGCCTAGGCGGGCGGATCACTTGAGGTCAGGAGTTTGAGACCAGCCAGGCCAACATGGTGAAACCCCATCTCTACTAAAAATACAAAAATTAGCCAAGCGTGGTGGCACACACCTGTAATTCCAGCTACTTGGGAGGCAGAGGCACAAGAATTGCTTGAACCTGGGAGGCAGAGGTTGCAGTGAGCCAAGATTATGCCACTGCACTCCAGCCTGGATGACAGAGCGAGACTCTGTCTCAAAAAAAATAGACAAAGCCAGGCGCAGTGGCTCATGCCTGTAATCCCAACACTTTGGGAGGCCGAGGTGGGTGAATCACGAGGTCAGGAGATCGAGACCATCCTGGCTAACACGGTGAAACCCCGTCTCTACTGAAAATACAAAAAAATTAGCCAGGCGTGGTGGCGGGCACCTGTAGTCTCAGCTACTCGGGAGGCTGAGGCAGGAGAGTGGCGTGAACCCAGGAGGCGGAGCTTGCAGTGAGCTGAGATCACGCCACTGCACTCCAGCCTGGGCGACAGAGCGAGACTCCGTCTCAAAAAAAAAAAAAAAATAGACCTTTTTGTGTTTTCTGTTCTACTACACAAGTAATACAGGTTGAGTATTCCTTAACCTAAATGCCTGGGACCAGAAGTGTTTCGGATTTCAGGTTTTCGAATATTTGCATGTTCATAATATAATGAGACCTTGGGAATGAGCCCCAAGTGTAAACACAAAATCCATTTATGTTTTATAGACATCTTAGGCACATAGCCTGAGAGTAATTTTATGTATTTAGTAATTTGGACGTGAGCCACAGTTTTTGACTGTGACCTGTCCCATGAGGTCAGGTGTGGAATTTTCCACTTGTGGTGGGCGCTCAAAAAGTTTCAGATTTTGGAGCCTTTCAGGTTAGAGACATGCAATCTATAATAAGTTTAATCTAGGAAAAGTTAGGGTCTGGCACAGAGGCTCACGTCTGTGATCCCAGCACTTTGGGAGGCTGAGGCAGGCAGATCACTGGAAGTGCTGGACGGGTGGGGAAGTGCCGGGTGCAAGAACCAAGCTCTTTGACTATGGACCTCAGCCTGAGGTTGGTCAAGAGGTGGAGTGAGTGGGGGCTGAGGACCTTCATCCTGAAACCCTGATGCAGGAGAGTCTGGGGTCTGCCTTCTACCCTCATGTGGCGGGTGAAGGAGCAAGGTTCTCAACTCAGGAGGGTTCTTCCCCTCTCCATTCCCACCCAGGGGACATCTCACAACAACTAGAAACAATTTTGTCGCAGCTGGGGGGTGGGAGGTGTGTTCCTGGCATCTATCTAATGGGTGGGGGCGAGGGACGCAGCCCAACACCCTACACTGCACAGGACACAGCGAGATCCGGCCTCAAATGGCAGCCATGGCAGCGTCAGCCCTCCAGGGGGCGCGCCCCTGGCGCAGGTGGTGTGCCGGCCCACAGCTCCTTGCAGGCTGGGAGCTGCATTTTCGTGACATGTCATGAGTCCTCAGAGAAAAAGAGGGAACGAGTGCATGGTGGGGAGGGGCCCTGGCGTGCTGGAGTCTCTGGGTTTCCTTCTCCAGAGACCCCTGCAGTCAGCTGAGCGCAATCAGTCACGTTGGGCTTTGCTTGGATCTCACTGGAATTTTTCGAGCCACCCCTTAGTCCTCACCTTGCTAAGCCCTCACGTCTCAATAACCTCAAACCTCAGTACCTGGGCTGAGAAAGCCTGAGTGGCCCTGGGAGAGAGACCCTGCACCCAAGGACAAGGACATCCCTGCTTCACCCAACCCAAAGGCCAGTCTGGACATATGAACTCAACCAGCTAAGAGTGATATGATTGATTGATGAGAATCACCAGAGCACTTGCCAGAGTTTCAGCTTCTCCCTGGGCCAAAGTGAAGTTTGCTTTACACAGTAAATGTGCTCTGTGCAGGTCCTGAATTTAGAAGGCTGTGCTGTGTCATCCTGCTCTGTAAATGGCCAGTAGGACCCCCGCCCCTTCTCAAGGCACATTACCCGTTTAAAACGGGGGAGGCAAGAGCACAAAGCGCCCACCTATTCACCGAAGAGCATGTATATAACTTAGGGCCTTCCATCCTTAAACAACAGGACCTTCCTTGCTCTTAAGGAAAAGGAAACAGGTTCAGAGACGTTAATTCATTGCCAAGGTCACACAGATAATGGGTCCAGCGAAGAGTGGTGTCCGAGCCCAAGGCAGCAGGCCTTTGGCCACTGCAGTGTTAAACAGCACAGCTGGTGTGGAAGTCCGGTGCTGAGTCCTGGGTACCTGGACTCGGAGGGAAGCTGGCTGCAGGGGGAAGGGGCTGCGCAGTTGTGGATGTACCTGTCGTCTGCTGGGGGGCGTGCGGGTGGACACAGTCCCCCGGCCTGGGGAGCCTCGTGGGAGAATTAAGAGTTACTCCGGGCCAAATGGCCGGAGTTGTCAGATCTGGCAGCGTCTTCGCTGGGGCTCCAGGGAGCTGCTGCTGGGGTGGAAGCTCTCACACTCTTTCTCCACGTGCCCTTTCCAGTTCCCTGACATCGTGGAGTTCTGCGAGGCCATGGCCAACGCCGGGAAGACCGTAATTGTGGCTGCACTGGATGGGACCTTCCAGAGGAAGGTAAGGCGTCTGATCCAGGTCTGGAGCTGGGATTGAGGAGGGCAAGAGGCTTCTGGATGGGCACAGAGACACCAGCTCTGGGTGACCAGGGCTCAGCCACCACAGGGTTACGGCCGAGCTGCTCAGGCCTTGGCTGAGCCAAGGGACTCCATGGTCTGTGCAGACTGCGTGCCATCTGTTGCGGCAGGTGCTTTGAATTGGCAAAGGGACAGAGCCGGGCATGGTGCTCTGGGGGTTGGGGGAAGGACTAAGGTCAGAGCAAACTCTCCTGGCTTCAGTGCTTGTGAATCAGAGGGTTTAAAAGAAAAACCCACCTGGTAAGGTGGCTGAGCGCCCTCTGTCTTTCCATGGGAGCGCAGCCATTTGGGGCCATCCTGAACCTGGTGCCGCTGGCCGAGAGCGTGGTGAAGCTGACGGCGGTGTGCATGGAGTGCTTCCGGGAAGCCGCCTATACCAAGAGGCTCGGCACAGAGAAGGAGGTAGCTCCACCTGCCTTCCCTGCAGGCCGGCGGGGTGGGGGTATGGCTCTGCCTCCTTCCTGTCCTGGCCCTTCACCCATCCCCTGTCCCTGCGGCCAGGTCGAGGTGATTGGGGGAGCAGACAAGTACCACTCCGTGTGTCGGCTCTGCTACTTCAAGAAGGCCTCAGGCCAGCCTGCCGGGCCGGACAACAAAGAGAACTGCCCAGTGCCAGGAAAGCCAGGGGAAGCCGTGGCTGCCAGGAAGCTCTTTGCCCCACAGCAGATTCTGCAATGCAGCCCTGCCAACTGAGGGACCTGCGAGGGCCGCCCGCTCCCTTCCTGCCACTGCCGCCTACTGGACGCTGCCCTGCATGCTGCCCAGCCACTCCAGGAGGAAGTCGGGAGGCGTGGAGGGTGACCACACCTTGGCCTTCTGGGAACTCTCCTTTGTGTGGCTGCCCCACCTGCCGCATGCTCCCTCCTCTCCTACCCACTGGTCTGCTTAAAGCTTCCCTCTCAGCTGCTGGGACGATCGCCCAGGCTGGAGCTGGCCCCGCTTGGTGGCCTGGGATCTGGCACACTCCCTCTCCTTGGGGTGAGGGACAGAGCCCCACGCTGTTGACATCAGCCTGCTTCTTCCCCTCTGCGGCTTTCACTGCTGAGTTTCTGTTCTCCCTGGGAAGCCTGTGCCAGCACCTTTGAGCCTTGGCCCACACTGAGGCTTAGGCCTCTCTGCCTGGGATGGGCTCCCACCCTCCCCTGAGGATGGCCTGGATTCACGCCCTCTTGTTTCCTTTTGGGCTCAAAGCCCTTCCTACCTCTGGTGATGGTTTCCACAGGAACAACAGCATCTTTCACCAAGATGGGTGGCACCAACCTTGCTGGGACTTGGATCCCAGGGGCTTATCTCTTCAAGTGTGGAGAGGGCAGGGTCCACGCCTCTGCTGTAGCTTATGAAATTAACTAATTGAAAATTCACTGGTTGGTGGACGCACATTTCTCTTTCACCTGGGTTTCCCTGGGTCTCATGGACAGCTCCAACTTGATTTGGGTGGGGATTTTCTTCCAGATCTTTTTTTCTTTTGTTTTGAGACAGGGTCTCTGTCGCCCAGGCTGGAGTGCAGTGACGCAATCCCTGCTCACTGCAGCCTCTGCTTCCCCAGTTGAAGTGATTCTCCCCCGTCAGCCTCCCAAGTAGCCGATATTACAGGCGTGTACCACCACACCTGGCTAATTTTTGTATTTTTAGTAGAGACGAGTTTTCACCATGTTGGCCAGGCTGGTCTCGAACTCCTGGCCTCAAGTGATCCACCTGCCTCGGCCTCCCAAAGTGCTGGGATTACAGGCGTGAGGCACTGCACCTGGCCCCCAGATCTTTCTGTAGTAATACTGATCTCTTAACCACAACCCTTGAACTGAGAAATGATCATGGGGTGTGTCCTAAGCAGAACATCATCTGCCTTCCTGTCTGGGCCAGTGTCAGGACAAAAATGGGTGTACAGAGGAGCCCGGGGCCCAGTTGGAAGGAAGAGGCACTGTCCTGCCCGCTGGGCCTGTGAGGTCAGGTTTTGTTTGTGAAACAAACTCTTGGTAATTCAGGAGTCAAGACATCTCTCAGCTGTGCCTCAGAGATGGGCTGTTGGCAGCTCACTTGGGGGCAAGCATCGCTGGGGTAAGGTGTGTCCTGTGCAGGCAGGGTCACCACTCCCAGGGCCTCCCCAGCCTCCCTCTCCCCTTCGCTAGTGATGTGTCCCAAGCCAAAGCCATCGGGTGAGGCTGGGAGCAGTGCCCTGTTAGTTCGTACTGGGGATTTTTAAACAATCGGGACTTGCCGATGACAGCTCCCTCTGTCATTGCTCAAAAGAAGAAGCCAGAAGTTGCTTTAGGGCCTTGACCTCTTCCAGAGATGGGCCTTATCTCCGAGGGGTGGGCTGGACGGCCAAGGCCGTGTCCCAGGAAGGCTCCAGAGGTGCTGACCCTGGAGGAAGGTAGAAACCTGGTCTTACCTATGGTACCCCTATTCAGTGCAAGAAAGGGGCATTCACCGACAACTCCCAGGTACCCCCACCCCCACTCTAGGAAGGGAGCAGCAGGACCCTGGCACTGCAGGCCAGAAAAATCATCTTGTTTACAAGCTGAGCACAGTTACTATTTTAAGATGTTGATGAAAGGCTTGTGCGGAATGCGACCCCAGACAGAGGGAAGGGGGCCAGCCAGGCAGGCTGGAGGGGGCGGATTGCCACTGCCTTGTTCAAACTACAAGTTCCATAAAGCCAGCCCCTAAGGGTGTACCCAGAGTGGAGTCTTCCTCCAACCCCTAGGCTGTGGCTCAACCAATGACTGGAGACTGAATGAGAAAACATTTATTCCGTCTCCAAACAGCATCCCAGGCCGGGCATCTCCCCCACGATTTTATAATACACTCGGCACAGACAGAGTCTGGGAGCCATGGGGCACCCCTGCCCTCCCCAGGCTTCCTAAGTAACAACTGCAGAATATTTACATAAAGCTGGGTGTTGTCAGGCAAAGCCCTTCCCTGCTGCCAGGGGTGGGAGCAAGGAGGAAGTGCCATGAGCACCAGCCCCGCCCTCACACCACGGGAGGCAGCCCAGAGGCCACCGGCACAGGGTGGTGGCCCCCAGATCATACAGCAGTGGGCACAGGGGAAGCAAACCTGAGTGAGGACACAAGAGCCTGGTCCGGCTCCGCTGCACAGGGCAGGTGTGATGGCCCCCACGAGTCTTTGGCAGAGAACGCAGATAATAGCGGCTCCCACGGCCTGACCCGGGCCGGGGGGAAGCTGAGGCACTTGTCAGTAGCACATGGGCACCTGCTGGCTTCTAGCCACTGCAGGCGGGGCTGAGGTCATTAAAAGCGAGGAAAAACACTAGCTAAAAACCCTTTCCTAAAAGTGCCCTGGAGGAGTGAGCGGCTGACTGAAGCCCTCTGGGCACAGGCACTTGGGGTGTGGCTCTGCCAGCCCCCGCCAGGCTATGAGGCTCCTTAGCTGTGTGTCAGCTGCACAGGATGGAACAGGTGAAAGAGAGGGGCTGGCAGTTCCAGGAGGCTCATGGGAAAGTCCAGGGCAGAGGGGAGGGCCCTCTCTGTCCCCCTTCCCACGCTAACCGCCGCTCAGTACACAGGGGGCGGCTGGTAGCCCTCGGTGGTCTCCGCGTTCTGGGTGAAGGGTGGCTGTTGGTAGTTGTCCACAGATGCACCTGGGTAGGAGGCGTAGGCAGTGTTGGGGTCCGGAGTGGGGTCAACGTAATTCTGGATGAAGTCGTCCACGCCAGCCTTGTAGCGCTGGTAGGCCAGGGAGGCCAGCACACCCTGCAGGGGGAGCACAGCAGGGTACAGGTGGGTGGGGGACCCCACCCTCCACCACCCTTGACCCAAGAACCGGCCCCTGGCCATCCTACCCAGGAGAAGATGGAAAAGAAGCTGAAGGTGATGGCTGCCCTCACAGAGTCGGCCCCCACCAGCACGTCCTTCGGGTTGGTGACTGCCCACTGGTTGGTGAGGAAGCAGAAACCAACAAACCACAGGAAGGTCCAGAGAGCTGGGGGAGGACGGGTGAAGCGTCAGTTCCATGGAAAGGGAGGGGCTTTCCAGGACTCTGGGAGGGGACGCGGGCAGGTAGGGCAGGGACCTCCCGGGGGAGCCTCCACACTATGGAGGGGAGGACTTGGAAGCCGGGCCGGGAGCCACCTCCAAAGTCCCCCACACTCGGGCCTTGGCAGGGTGGGCCACAGCAGACAGCCTAGGGGACAAAAGGGGCAGAGGCAAAGCCCATCTGCTCGGGTGTGCTGCAGGTCCACTCAGCTTCTAGCTACCCCAGGCAGGGCTGGTGCCATTCAAGCACGGAAAAACACTAGCTGAAAACCCTTTCCTAAAAATGCCCTGGAGGAGTGAGCTGCTCCCTGCCCCTCCCAGAGAGGCCGAGACCCTCCCAGCTGCGGAACCCTAGAGTTAATGCCTCCCCCAAGATCAAATGGAGGTGCCACAGGCAGATACCTGAGAAGAGCAGGTCACCAATGACCAGGTACTTGCGGTCAGTGGCGTTGCTGATCTGGGGGAAATACGCGTCGACCACCAAGAAGAAGGCCGAGGCCAGGAAGGCCAGCACCCCGATGGCACTGCCATAGCGGCAGGCATCCTCGTTGCGGTTGAACACGCAGTACATCTGCTTAGACTCGTGGGCATTGCTGTAGCCCTCACCATAGATGCAGGAGAACACGATCAAGGCGAAGACCTGCCGGGAGGGGAGGACCTGGTAGGGCTGGTGGCCGCCTGAGGGGCACACACAGCGGGGACCCTGATGGGGTGTACAGATGCTGGCCTCTCCCACTACTGCTGTCCCCTTTTGGGTTTTTGTTGTTGTTTGAGATGGAGTCTTGCTCTTGTTGCCCAGGCTGGAGTGCAATAGTGCGATCTCGGCTCACTGCATCCTCTGCCTCCTGGGTTCAAGCAATTCTGCCTCAGCCTCCCTAGTAGCTGGGATTACAGGTGCCCTCCACCACACCCGTATTTTTAGTAGAGATAGGGTTTCACCATGTTGGCCAGGCTGGTCTGGAACTCCTGACCTCAGGTGATCCACCCTCCTCGGCCTCCCAAAGTGCTGGGATTACAGGCATGAGCCACCTCGCCCAGCCTGCTGTCCCCTTTTGGAGGCTGACATCTTAGCCCCTCCAAACTTGTGGAGGTGAGCTGATGAGCAAAGTGCTTCCTGATGCACCCCAGGATGAGAATCTGCAGGCACCAGGGGGCCTGCCCCTGGGAATCCTGGACCGGGGAGGGGTGGGGAATGGGCAGGGACCTCCTAGGCAGGGGCTGCTCCTGCCCCATCGGCCTGCTGCAGGAATCATTCTGCTTAGGTACCTGATGGATGAAGGGCAGTCCTTCCATCCCCAGCCCAACCTCACCTTGAAAGAGGTTTAACCAAGACAGGCCAAGTCACAAAGACTACCCATCCCCCGTCACCTTCAGCCCAAGTCACTTCTACAGCACCCAGCCTCTGCCTGAACACCTTGGTGAAGGTGGACAGGCCCTCTTGGGAAGGCCATGCTGGCGCCCCTGTGTCTTCACCTCCTGGAACCCCTGGAACCCTCCCTGGTTCAGCCTGGCCAGC
This sequence comes from Homo sapiens, assembly GCF_000001405.40. Taxonomy (NCBI): domain Eukaryota; kingdom Metazoa; phylum Chordata; class Mammalia; order Primates; family Hominidae; genus Homo; species Homo sapiens. Next base: position 78,169,940 of record NC_000017.11, on the reverse strand, counting down.
TGTCTCCACACAAGGACTTGCAGCCTCTGTGGCATCCTGGTCCCTCCCAGTCTGTCTCCCACCCCACAGAGGGCCCTGCATGCACAGGGCACTACAAGGGGACTAACTCAGGCCTGTGGATACAGCTCTGAACTCAGACACCTGGAGGACCCAGGGTGGATGTAGGGGAGCTCCAGCCCCTTGGGAAGAGCCCCATACCACCTCCCTAAACTTGAAGGCCACCACCCACGCCTGCTCCACCTCAGCAGGTGTGGGACAGGTCTGTGAGCATCAGGATCCCTCTGGGATGGCCCCAGGACTCTCCCCTGCCAGTCCTGCCCTGTTGTCCCAGGGAGCTCTCCATAGGGCTCTGGAGCTGGCAGTCACAGGCCCCGCCCCCAGATGGAGATGAAGCCGGATCTCCGGGATGATGGGAGCAGGGTGCCCATCCAGGACTCCTGGCACTGCCATCCCGACCCACTGGGCACCTGATTCTTGGACACAGCCCAGGACAGAGGCGATCAGATCCCACAGCCTGGCTGGGAGCTGGTGTGGGCGCCCTGGAGGACCTCAGAAGCTCCAGGCCCAGGCATGGTCTGGGCACAGCAGGCCCACCTCTGCCTGCCCCCTCATGCCACCCCCTCCAGCTTTCAGGGCTGGCTGTCCAAGAACAGGCCCCCTCCCCGCCACACACACACACACACAAAACCTGGTTTTGGAGGTATTGCCCACCTTACAGGGAGGGGGTACATCTTGGGGTCCCTCAACTTCGGGTGGGAAGGCGGACCCGTGGCCTGCCCCGAGTGGGAAGGACACCCTGTTTCCGGGCGTTGGGTCGCCCCCCGCCCCCTCCCTTACCCCACGTGGCTTCGGAAAACCCCGTCCCGGTGAACTCCCCAATCTGGGAGTCGCGGCGTGCGGGCCACCTGTCCGGGAGCCGCCCCCAAACTCCTCCCACTGCCAGCGAGGCAGGGGCCCGCTCCCTGCGGAGATCCGGACACCCCGCGTCGGGGCGCGAGGCTGGGGGTGGGGTGGGTGGCGGGACCCGGGACCGGGAGGGGACAGCGGGACAGACTGTGGAGGGCGGGAAGGCGGGGCCCGGGACGCTGGACGCCGGCCCCGCTCGCCGCCAGGCCCCGGACGCGGCCGCCGCCACCTGTCGCGCTCGTGGGCTAGGGGCCCCGCCGGGCCTGGCGACGGAGAGGGGGTCCCCAGGGTGCCCTCGGCCCGCCCTCCCCGGGCTCACCAAGCACACGGCGCGCGCCACCACCTGCGGCTGCGTCAGGAAGCGCCGCAGGTCGAAGGAGCCGCCCGCCTTGGCCGCGCCGTAGGCCCCGCTCTCCATGTCGCCGTCGCCGCCGCTGCCGCCGCCGCGGAACGCAGAGGAACCTGCCCGGCGCCCCGCCCGACTCCACCCGCCGGGGGCGTGGCCAGGCGCCGCTAGGGACCGAGGGCAAAGTGCGGCCCTCGCGAGCGGCGGGCGAGCCGCGGGACTGCGCTTCTAGAGGCGGGGAGGGGCTGTGGCCGCGGAGCACCCGGGTCCACCCCACCTCGGGGTTGAGGGGCTAGTCTCCGGGCCACGCCGGCCGCAGCACGGACCAGAAAGGGTCAGAGAGTCCCCCGGGAAGACGGACGAACTGAGGACCGCTCACCCTCTTTGCCCCTGCCCTCCCACCGCCTCCTCTAGGAAGCCCACCACCTACCAAGAACCCACCCAGGCTCATAAGCAACCCCTCCCCCATCCCACTGAAAAACCCAGGCCACACCCTGGAGCCCCTCCCTGCCTGGCCTGCCACTCTTTCCTCCTCTCTGGGGCTAAGCCTGGGGTAGGGTCAAAGACCCCCTCCCCATTCCTCCTGGTCTGGGCAGAGCCCCAAGGCTGTGAAGGGCAGTGTGGCGTCACACTTAAGATGGTGTGCAAGGCCGGGAGCGGTGGCTCACACCTGTAATCCCAGCACTTTGGGAGGCCGAGGCGGTTGGATCACCTGAGGTCAGGAGTTCGAGACCAGCCTGACCAACATGGAGAAACCCCGTCTCTACTAAAAATACAAAAATTAGCCTGGTGTGGTGGTGCATGCCTGTAATCCCAGCTACTCGGGAGGCTGAGGCAGGAGAATCGCTTGAACCTGGGAGGTGGAGGTTGCGGTGAGCCGAGATTGTGCCATTGCACTCCAGCCTGGGCAACAAGAGCAAAACTCTGTGTCAAAAAAAAAAAAAAAAAAAAAAAAAAAGATGGTGTGCAAGGCCGGGCGCAGTGGCTCACACCTGTAATCCCAGCACTTTGGGAGGCCGAGGCGGTTGGATCACCTGAGGTCAGGAGTTTGAGACCAGCCTGGCCAACATGGTGAAACCCCGTCTCTACTAAAAATACAACAACAACAAAAAAATTAGCTGGGCGTTGTGGTAAGCGCCTGTAATCCCAGCTACTTGGGAGGCTGAGGCAGGATAATTGCTTGAAACCGGTAGGCAGAGGTGGCCGTGTGCTGAGATCGAGCCACTACACCCCAGCCTGGGCAACAGAGCAAGAGTCCATCTCAAAACAAACAAAACAAACAAACAAACAAACAAACAAACAAAACCAAAAACGAAAGTTAGCGAGGCGTGGTGGCAGCTACTAGCAGTCCCAGCTATTCCAGAGGCTGAGGTGGGAGAATTGTCTGAGCCCAGGAGGCGGAGTTTGCAGTGAACCAAGATCACGCCTTTGCACCCCAGCCTGGGTGACAGAGTAAGACCACATATCGGCCGGGCGTGGTGGCTCACGCCTGTAATTCCAGCACTTTGGGAGGCTGAAGCAGGCGGATCACGAGGTCAGGAGATCGAGAACACCCTGGCCAACATGGTGAAACCCCGTCTCCACTAAAAATACAAAAATTAGCTGGGCATGGTGGCGCGTGCCTGTAGTCCCAGCTACTTGGCAGGCTGAGGCAGGAGAATCGCTTGAACCCGGGAGGCGGAGGTTGCAGTGAGCCGAGATTGCACCATTGCGACAGAGCGAGACTCCATCTCAAAAAAAAAAAAAAAGAAAAGACCACATATAAAAAAATATATATATGGCATGCAAACAGAAATGAAGTTTTCAGGGCGACAGGCAGATGGCAAAGTTTAATCCAGTTCCAGTTCAGCCCCCTCTCGCCTCCGTCCCTCTCTACCTCCATCCCAAGAAAAACCGGTACAGAGGGTCTGGTGCAGGGTAGGCTGGGGCAGGCTCTGTGTGTGTTGGAGTGGGGAGCGGAGGTTGTACAGACAGAGGTGTGGGATCACAGGCTGACTGAACCCGGAAGAATTCCAGACCCCCCTTTGCTAGTTGCAGGTGCAGATTAACAACAGCAGGTGTGCCAGGTGGGGCTCACAGTCAACCCAGGTGAGCTGGACCACGTGAGAGTTGAACCATAGGACTGGGCCACCAGGAGGTGGGGTGCCTCTCCAGGGAAGAGGGGAGCAGGTGGGGGGGAGGGGCTGGGCCTTTTCGCAGTGTGCCCCCCTCCCTCTCCCTACACCCAGAGAGATGTGACAGCACCTGAGAGGCGAGGACAGGGCCACACAGACCCCCTTATTTCTGTGACCCTCCTGAAGCCCTCACACCAACAGTGTCTGTGTTTGCTGAAGGCCACCAGCACTCCAAGAATCCCAGCTGGCAGGCTTTTTTCTTTTTTTTAAATAAATGTTTTTGTGTATATTTAAGGTAGACAACCTGATATGATGGGATTCATATAGATAATATAGATAGCACAAAGGTTCCTATAGCGAAGCAAGTTAACATATCCACCATCTCTCATAGTTACCCTTTTTTTTTTTTTTTTTTTTTTGTGGCAAGAGCAGCTAAAACACACTCATTTTGCATGAACTCCAAATACGAACAGTGCACGCTGATGGCCTGCAGTCCTCTGCCGTGCTTGGCTCTCTGGACGGTTCATTCTACATGGCTGCTGCTTTGCGTCCTCTGACCTCCCCATTCCCTATCCTGAACCCCCCAAACTCCTCTTCACTCAGACGGCGGGTGCTCCTGTAGAGCGGCAAGGCAAGGATGGGGCTCTCCAGGGGACCCTGCCAGTCCTCCATCTTCTGGTCACCACCTTGACAAAGCAGTGGAGACTCAAGTCAGGCAGGCTCACCTCCCAGCCATCCCCTCCCGAGGCGTCTGAGAGTGTTCGTTTGTTTTGAGACGGAGTTTTGCTCTTTTTGTCCAGGCTGGAGTGCAATGGCACGATCTCGGCTCACTGCAACCTCCACCTCCTGGGTTCAAGTGATTCTCCTGCCTCAGTCTCCCGAGTAGCTGGGACTACAGGTGCGCACCACCACGCCCGGCTAATTTTGTATTTTTAGTAGAGACGGGGTTTCTTCATGTTGGCCAGGCTGGTCTCGAACTCCTGACCTCAGGTGATTCGCCTGCCTCAGCCTCCCAAAGTGCTGAGATTCCAGGCATGAGCCACTGTGCCCGGCCTGCCTCTGGGAGTTTTATGGTGCCAAGCACATCAGTGCCCCAGCAGAAGAGACATGAGGCTTACTCACCCCACTAAATGAAGGCTGTACCCCATTTTACAGAAGGAAAAACTGAGGCTCGGCGAGGTGACATGGCTCACCCACGAGTCTGGCTTCTGGAAAGAACAGACTTGGTAGAAGTGAGATGGGAAAGTGCCAAGGACAGACTCCTGGTAGAGCCACGTAAGGGCCTGGGCCACGGGCAGAGGATGAGAACCAGGACACGGCAGTGTCTCCCAAACAAAGAGAGATGAGTTCACAGAGGCAGGGCTGGCCACCACCAAAGCCAGACAGGCAGAGCACACAGGCCTGTGGTGCCTGCACTCAGACACTACAAAGGCCTTGGTCACTTTACATGTTAGTAAAGCCATGGCCTTGGAGAGGGGACCCTGGGAGGCTGGGCCCCAGGCTCTTGCCACCACCTCGGAAAGACTGCCCAAGGTGGTTCTCACAGAAGGCAGGAGCTCCTGGTCCACCTTGGTCTCCTGGAGGCATCATCCCTGCAATCCCTGCTCAGACCCCATAAAGAACTTAGGAGACTGCCCTCCCAGAGGCCAGCAGACTGTGTTACAGGGCACCTGGGAGCACTGGTCAGGGTCCGATAACGCCTTGAATGTGTAAGCCTCAGTAGGCACATGGCACACAGTAGGTCCTCATAAACACCTTCGAGTCATGCGTAAGCGGTGATGGCCGCTCTTTGCCCTGGCCACAGCCCTGCCCTGCAAGCCCCACCACCTGAGCTCTGCAGCCAGGGCCCGGTTGGACCTCTCAGGCCATCAGCAGCTCTCCCTCCTCCCTGCATCGAGCACCCATTTCCTACCTGGCCCACGTGGTCCAGCCCAGCATCCTGGAGGTGATGGCCGCAGTGGAGGCAAGGCTGCCAACCAGCACGATGGTGGGTGCCCTGGGCAACCCTCCTGGGAGGGGGCGGAGGCAGCTGGGTTGGGCTTCCTTTAGGCAGGGGCCAGGGTGGGCATGGTTGCCTCCTGTGCCCTCTCTGCTCTCAGCAGTGGCCGGGTAGAGCTGTCCCACTTCCCATCGACCTGTGTCTTGGACACTAGCACCCTCCCGGCACAGAAGCGCCAGCTGCCCCTCTGGAAATCCAAGGGCCCTCTCACCTGGGGGCACCACTGTGAGGGCGCTGTGCTGGACATTGGCGTTGTTTGCAGCCTGGCACCAGAACCAGTCCGATGTCTGGCTCGGCAGGAAGGAGAAGTTGGCAGGCTGCCTGTGGCATGGTCTCTGCTGCAGGTGGACCTGCCCATCCTTCCCGATCAGGCTGTTGGTGATAGGTGGGCTGCCCGAGGACGCCTGGCAGATCATCTCCACCCTGGGGCCTGCCCCTCTGTCCTGCAGAGTGAAGTTGGCCCGCAGCTCAGACACTGGCTCTGGCAGGGTGGGAGAAGGTAGCACAGGCATGGCTGAGCGGTTTTAAACCCCTCCTCCTCAGTAAGTTCTCCTCATTACAAAATGCCTAATGAGCTTAGCTGTGGCTGCCGCCTCCTCCAGGCCGCCTTCTAGAGTTTGCCCTCCACCTTGTGTCTGGGCTGCTGCCCTACCTGCCGTGTGTACCACACAATTTCACATTTGGTTTTTATCTTATTCTTACTTTATTTTGAGACAGGGTCTTGCTCTGTCGCCCAGGCTGGAGTGCAATGGCGCGATCTAGGCTCACTGCAACCTCCGCCTCCCCAGCTCGAGCAATTCTCCCATCTCAGCCTCCCGAGTAGCTAGGACTACAGGTGTGCACCACCACATCCAGCTAATTTTTGTATTTTTTGCAGAGATGGGGTTTCACCATGTTGGCCAGGCTGGTCTCAAACTCCTGGGCTCAAGCAATCTTCTGCCTCAGCCTCCCAAAGTGCTGGGATTTTAGGCGTGAGCCACCGTGCCCGGCCTGGTTTTATTCTTGTGTAGCGTATTTCAGATTGCCAGACTTAGCAAATAAAAATACAGTTAAATTTTCATTTCAGATAAACAATGAATAATCTTTTACTATACGTATGTCCTATGTAAAATTTATCTGGCAACTCTATCATTCAGTCTCGTCTTTTTTACTGAAAGGCAAGCTACTTCAGGACAAAAACTGTCATGTAGAAGATTCTAGAATCCCCCAGGCCTTGAGCCTAATGCTCTAGACATTCTTACTGATGAGTAATCACCACCACACTTGCCACCTACTAAAAGGCTTTCATTTAATAGGTCCCCTGAAGTAGGACCTATTATTATTTTAGAGACAGGGTCTCTGTTGCCCAGGCTAGAGTGCAATGGTGTGATCACCGCTCACTGCAGCCTCCAACTCCTGGGCTCAAATGATCCTCCCACCTCAGCCACCCAAGTAGCTGGGACGACAGGCATGCACCACCATACCTGATTAATTTTTTAAAAAATTGCTATTGGCTGGGTGCAGTGGCTCACGCCTATAATCCCAGCACTTTAGGAGGCCTAGGTAGGTGGATCACTTGAGGTCAGGAGTTTGAGACCAGCCTGGCCAACATGGTGAAACCCCGTGTCTACTAAAAATACAAAAATTAGCCGGCATGGGGGCAAGGGCCTGTAGTCCCAGCTACTCGGGAGGCTGAGGCAGGAGAATCGCTTGAATCTGGGAGGCGGAGGTTGCGGTGAGCCGAGATCGTGCCACTGCAGTTCAGCCTGGGCGACAGAGCAAGACTCCATCTCAAAAAAAGAAAATAATTTTTTTGCAGACACAGAGTATCACTCTGTGGTCCAGGCTGGTCTCAAACTCTTGGCTTCAAAGGATTCTCCCACCTTGGCCTCCCAAAATGCTGGGAATACAGGTGTGAGCCACCTCACTGGCCTCTGTTATTATTTTCCTTTTGCAGATAAAGCAGTTGAAGCTCAGCGGTCCAATGAGTTGTTCAAGACCCCAGCCAGTAAGTGTAGGGATTTGAACCTTGGACCCGTTGGGCTGCAGATCCTGGGCTCATCTCCCCTAGGCTGTCTTTTCCTGGTGTTCTTAGGGTGCGGGCCAAAGGATGAATGGGGCGATTCCTTGTCCCACCCTAAGTCGGGCAACACTTCCTGGTTCCCATACCCCATAGCTCCCACCAAGAAGGTTACCTGAGTTACTATCAGGATGGAAACAGGAAGAAGGCAGGGTTTGGAGCTGGACAGAGTGGGGTTTGAAAGCAGCCTTGGCCACTTGCCAGCCATGTGGCCTGGGGCGACTTTTTTTTTTTTTTTTTTTTGAGATAGTCTTACGCTGTCACCCAGGCTGGCATGCAGCAGCACGACCTTGGCTCACTGCAACCTTCATCTCCTGGGTTCAAGTGACTCTCTTGCCTCAGCCTCCCCAGTAGCTGGGATTATAGGTGCCCACCACCACACCCAGCTAATTTTTGTATTTTTAGTAGAGATGGGGTTTCACTACGTTGGCCAGACTGGTCTCAAACTCCTGAGCTCAAGTGATCCTCCCGCCTGGGCCTCCCAAAATGCTGGGCTTATAGGCGTGAGCCACCACACCCAGCCCCTGGGGCAACTTTCTTAACTCCCCAGAGTTTTAGCTTACATAGCTATAGACCCAGAGGCTCAGACCCCACCCCTGACACTGCTGTGAAGATCAAGCGAAGTAATGCACAAAACGTGCCTAACTTTTTTTTCGTTTCTTTTTCTTTTTTTTTTTTTTGGAGACGCTCTGTTACCCAGGCTGGAGTACAGTGGCGCAATCTTGGCTCACTGCAACCTCTGCCTCCCGGGTTCAAGCGATTCTCCTGCCTCAGCCTCCTGAGTAGCTGGAACTACAGGTGCACCCCGCCACGCCCAGCTAATCTTTGTAATTTTAGTAGGAACAGGGTTTCGCCATGTTGCCCAGGCTGGTATCGAACTCCTGGGCTCAAGCGATCAGCCTGTCTCGGCCTCCCACAGTGCTGGGATTTGCGCCCAGACAAACGTGCCTAGTTTATCACCTTGAGGTCCGAGCTGACAACTGGGGCCCAGTCATTTCTGCCACCATCGGGCTCTTTCCCTCTGTGCCCTCAGGCCCCTGCCAGGAGACTGTGCCCTCAGGGCCCCAGCCAGGGACAGCAAGTCCTGATTAAAGGCCCCAAGGGACTGAGAATGGCCTTGGAGGTGGCAGCCTGTCCTTGTCCACACCCTCACACCCTGGCTCTCTCTAACCCCAGCAAGGTTCACAATCCCCACTCCCAGAGCTCCCCATTGATCTGCACCCCACCTGCCTCCTCAGCCCTGTGCCCCCCACCGCACTCACTGGACCACAGCTCCCAGTGCATCTGTAGCCTGGCACTGTCCACATGGGCACCTGAGGTGGAGGACGCCCAGCAGAAGTAGGTGAGCAGGTCTGGACTGGACTTGAGTGTGACGTTGAGGTTGAAGGAGGCCGGCTCGTGGGTCTTCACCACCTTCTTGGCCACCTTGATGTTCTTGGTTCCACAGAGGGAATAGGTGATGGGCGGTGGTGGCTGGGGTGCACAGCAGGTTATGAGCACCCAGCGGCCTTTGGGGAAAACTTCCAGGACTTTGTAGGCAATGGAGACCACAGGGGTAATTTCTGGGAGATGAAAAGGTCCAAGGAGGAAGAAAGAAACCGACATTGATCAAGCACCTTAAGAAGGTACTGGTTTGGCCAGGCTCGGTGGCAAACACCTGTAATCCCAGTGTTTGGGAGGTCCAGGTGGACGGATCACTTGAGGTCAGGAGTTCAAAACCAGTGTAGCCAACATGGTGAAAGTCTGTCTCTACTAAAATACAAAAATTAGCCGGGCGTGGTGGTGCCCACCTGTAATCCCTGCTACTCGGGAAGCTAAGGCAGGAGAATCTCTTGAACCAGGAAGGCGGAGGTGGCAGGTGGCAGTGAGCCGAGATCACACCACTGCACTCCAGCCTGGGCGACAGAGGGAGACTCAGGAAAAAAAGAAAAAGGATGCTGGGTTTAGCATGTTCTCTCTCTCTCTCTCTTTTTTTTTTTTTTAGATGGAGTCTTGCTCTGTCACCCAGGCTGGAGTGCAGTGGCGCGATCTCTGCTCACCACAACCTTCGCCTCCTGAGTTCAAGTGATTCTCCTGCTTCAGCCTCCCGAATAGCTGGGACTGCAGGCGCGTGCCACCACGCCTGGCTAATTTTTGTATTTTTAGTAGAGACAGGGTTTCACCATGTTGGTCAGGCTGGTCTCAAACTCCTGACCTCGTGATCCACCCGCCTTGGCCTCCCAAAGTGCTGGGATTACAGGCGTGAGCCACCGCGCCCGGCTGCAATTTACTTCTATAACAAACCTGCACATGTACCCCTGAACCTAAAAATTACAAATAAATAAGTGAAACCAGTAGACCTCAGAGTAAAGAAAAAAGAAAGAAAGAAAATACTGATTTAGTGGTTCCTCAAAAAGTTAAACAGACTTACCATATGACTCAACAATTCCAGGCCTAGACATACACCAAATAATAGAAAACAGGGACTCAAACAGATACCTGTACACACACGCTCATGGCAGCGTGATTCACCACAGCCAAATGGTGGAAACGGCCCAAATATCTATCAATGGACGAATGGGTAAATAGAATGTGGTTGATCCATATAAGGAATATTACTCAGCCTTAGAAAGAAATGAGCACAGATGCAGGCTGCAACAGGGATGAGCCGTAACAACATTCCACTAAACAAAAAGGCAGACGCAAAGGGCAACGGTTGCATGATTCCATGTGTGTGCAAAGTTCAGAACAGGAGAACCCACAGAGACAGAAAGCAGATTGGTGGTTACTGGGGCCCAGGGGAGGGGGAAATGGGGAGTAACTGCCTAATAGATACGGGGTTTCCTTTTGGGGTGATGAAAATCTCTCGGAACTAGATAGCGGTGGTGGTTGAGCAACACTATGGATGCACTAAATGCTGCTGAATTATCACTTTTTTTTTTTTTTGAGACAGAGTCTTGCACTGTCGCCTCCCGTGTTCAAGAGATTCTCGTGCCTCAGCCTCCAGAGTAGCTGGGATTACAGGCACCCACCACTACGCCTGGCTAATTTTTGTATTTTTAGTAGACATGGGGTTTCATCATGTTGGCCAGACTGGTCTTGAACTCGAGACCTCAGGTGGTCTGGCCACCTCAGCCTCCCAAAGTGCTGGGATTACAGATGTGAGCCACTGCGCCCGGCCCACTTTTATTTATTTATTTAAAGACAGAGTCTTGCTCTGTCGTCCAGAATGGAGTGCAGTAGCACGATCTCAGCTCACTGCAACCTCCACCTCCTGGGTTCAAGCGATTCTCCTGTCTCAGCCTACCATGTAGTGGGGACTCCAGGCATGCACCACCATGCCCAGCTAATTTTTGTATTTTTAGTAGAGACGGGGTTTTTTCTTTTCCTTTTTTTTTTAAATCATATTAAACTTGTAGTTTTATTCAGGTTTGATTTTAACAAATGTGTCGGGGAGAGAGCCTGCAGGGAAGGGTAAAGCCCGTGGGGGCAGGGCTCTCCCAGATGCCTGAGGAGGGGGCAGGTCCCCTCCCCTCTCCTCCTCTTCCCTCCCCATCTGAAGGGGTTTGGGGAGAGACACAGGCAGGGGACGGGGCTGGTCCCCAGTCTTTTGGGGTGGTGCTCAGGGCTATGGGTAACAGGGGACCAGACCAGGGATGAGTGGGGAGGGCACAAGGACCATTTGCCAGAATCCACTGCTTTCTGATTCCAGATTGAATTAAAAAACAAAAACAAACAAACAAAAACTAAACCACAAGCAGCACCCACCCCCTTCTCCCCGAGCAGGGCTGTAGTGTGAGGGGGAAGAGGAGGGCAGCTTCCCCAAAGCCACGGCTTCGCTTGCTCCTGGCCAAGGGAGCTAGGTGAAGGGCAGGGGCTCCCCCAACAGATTGAGGTGATGCAAAAAACCAAAATAAAACATCAAATAAATTGTGTAGGAGGAGGCCGGGCGCGGTGGCTCACGCCTGTAATCCCAGCACTTTGGGAGGCCAAGGCGGGTGGATCACGAGGTCAGGAGATCGAGACCATCCTGGCTAACACGGTGAAACCCCGTCTCTACTAAAAAATACAAAAAATTAGCCGGGCGTGGCAGTGGGTGCCCGTAGTCCCAGCTACTCGGGAGGCTGAGGCAGGAGAATGGCATGAGCCCGGGAGGTGGAGCTTGTAGTGAGCCGAGATGGTGCCACTGCACTCCAGCCTGGGCGACAGGGCGAGAATCCATCTCAAAAAAAAAAAATGTGTAGGAGGAGTCCAGCAGCCTAGGACCAGGGCAGAGCCAAGCCAGCCTGGGGGAGGGGGCCTCTTGGGAGGATCACTGCTGCCACCACCGCCACCCTGGGAGCCTTGATTGCAGCAGCTGCCTCCTCGGTCATGGCAGACAGCACCATGATCAGGATCTCTTCTCCACAGCTGTACTTCTGCTCAGTCTCTTTGCCAAGGTCTCCCTCATGCAGACGAAAGTCCTCTCGCACCTCCATGCTGTCCTGGAGCAGTGATAGGTGCCCATCCTGGATGCCAATCAGCTGGAAGTCATTCCTTTTGATGCTGGGGACATCCATGTTATGAGTTGACAGGCAGATATCTCCATATTTCTTCCCAGTAAAGATGTCAGTACCAACCAGGTGGACCTTGGCATGGCCGTGCTTGCCAGTCATCGAAGTAGACATCTCGACGATCTTACGTGGCCGGCCTTTGAGTACCACAAAGCCATTCTTTTTTTTTTTTTTTTTTTTTTTTTTCCGAGACAGAGTCACGCTCTGTCGCCCAGGCTGGAGTGCAGTGGCACAATCTCGGCTCACCGCAAGCTCTGCCTCCCGGGTTTACGCCATTCTCCTGCCTCAGCCTCCAGAGTAGCTGGGACTACAGGCGCCCGCCACCACGCCCGGCTAATTTTTGTATTTTTAGTAGAGACGGGGTTTCACCATTTTAGCCAGGATGGTTTCGATCTCCTGACCTTGTGATCCGCCTGCCTCGGTCTTCCAAAGTGATGGGATTACGGGCGTGAGCCACCGCGCCCGGCCTACAAAGTCATTTTTACACAATGCTGAGGACTGCATTGGGAAGGTCGCTGAGGCCCTGCATCTCCTGTCTCGAAGTCCAAATCATCTGCCATTTTAAGAGGCTTCGATTCCAACTCGCACGAACTCACTGACTCAACCCTGTCCACTGGCTGTGAGCCTCCGAGCCCACCGCCGCCGCCGCCGCCGCTGCTGAACACAGGTCTTAGTACGCAGGCACCTGAGATGGGTTTTCACCGTGTTGGCCAGGCTGCTCTTGAACTCCAGACCTCATGATGCGCCCGCCTCGGCCTCCCAAAGTGCTGGGATTACAGGTGTGAGCCACCGTGCCCGGCCTAAGTTTTGTATTTTTAGTAGAGACGGAGTTTCACTATGTTGGTTAGGCTGGTCTTGAACTCCTGGCCTCAAGTCATCCACCCACCTCGGCCTCCCAAAGTACTGGCATTACAAGCGTGAGCCACCGTGCACGGCCAATTATCACTTTTAAATGGTTGACTTTTTGTTATGTGAATTTCACCTCTAAAAAAAGAAAATATTAGAAAAAGGGCTACCTCCTGGGTTTAGGCTGTTTCTTTCCAGAATATTTTTCTATATAAACAAAATGTGTCCAGGCACGGTGGCCACTGCGCCTGGAATCCCAGCACTTTGGGAGGCTGAGGTGGACGGATTGCTTGAGCCTCGGAGATCAGCTTCAACAACACAGTGAGAACTACTCTAAAAATAAATAAATAAACAAAATTAGCCAGGTGTGGTGGTGCTCGCCTGCGGTCCCAGCTACTCCAGAGGTTGAGGGGAGAGGATCACTTACTTGAGCTTGGGAGACTGAAGCTACAGTGAGCTATGATCGTGCCACTGCACTCCAGACTGGGTGAAAGAGTGAGACCCTGTTTCTAAAAAAATTAATTAATTAAAAGGACTTTTGAAGAATGCGAGGCTCCTGCAGGAGACCAGCCTGCTCACGGCACCCAAAGTGCTCTTCTCCCTAGACCCAGATCAAAACCAGCCCGTCAGCGCATTCCAGCAGGCCTTCACCCACCTACGCCAGGTATCTGCTTTCTGCTTGCGAGTGACTTCTCTGTTTTGGAAGCAAATCCTGGAGTCAATTTCATTGTGGAAAACATCTCTGAGATCTTCCTAGTGGGCCTGATGCTGTCTTTGCTGATTCTTTTTTTTTTTTTTTTTTTTTTCTGGAGAAGGAGTTTTGCTCTGTCACCCAGGCTGGAGTGCAGTGGTGCAATCTTGGCTCACTACAACCTCCGCCTCCCGGGTTCAAGTGATTCTCCTGCCTCAGCCTCCCAAGTAGCTGGGACTACAGGTGCCCACAACCACACCCAGCTAATTTTTGTATTTTTAGTAGAGACTGGGTTTCGCCACATTGGCCAGGCTGGTCTCGAACTCTTGACCTCAGGTGATCCGCCTGCCTGGGCCTCCCAAAGTGCTGGGATTACAGGTGTGAGCCACTGTGCCTGGCCATTACTGATTCTTTAAGACAGCAATTGGGATTAAACAAAAATGTTTCTGGAATAGGGGTTTGAGGGAGAGGGTTGTATTATACCAATGGCGGGGACCTGTTTGCATTTCAACAATAGTGTGTAGGCCGGGCATGGTGGCTCACATCTGTATTCCCAGCACTGTGAGGCCGAGGCAGGTGGATCACCTGAGGTCAGGAGTTCAAGACCAGCCTGGCCAACATGAAGAAACCCCGTCTCTACTAAAAATACAAAAATTATCTGGGCATGGTGGTACATGCCTGTAATCCCAGCTACTCAGAAGACTGAGGCCAGAGAATCACTTGAACCCAGGAGACAGAGGTTACAGTGAGCCAATATCCTGCCATTGTACTCTAGCATGGGTGACAGAGCAAGACTCCGTCTCAAAAAAAAGAAAAAGAATAGTGTGTATCAGGTGGGCACAGTAGCTCAGGCCCGTAATACCAGCACTTTGGGAGGCCAAGGCGGGAGGATTGCTTAAGCCCAGGGGTTCCAGACCAGCCTAGGCAACATAGTGAGACCCCACCTCTATTTAATCGAAAGAAAAATTAAAAAGAAAAAAAGAATACTGTGTGGTGGGGCAGTGCTTGGGGGAGGGGTAGAAAGAAGGGTCTGTGAAATCTGAATATCATCGACGTCATGAATTGCCTTTGCTCGGCTGGGCATGTCTGCTCTGGAAACCACCCTGCAATGAGGAAACTGCTGATTGAGCAGAGAACTGGAATAGACTAGAGTGTGTGACCACTAAGCATGTTTCATTCTAGACCAGTAACTCTCAACCAGGAGCAATTTTGCCTCCAGGGGAACTTTGGGTCTGGGGACATTTTTGGTTGTCAATATTGGGAGATGGACTAGCTTGGGCAACACAGCAAGACCCCATCTCCACAAAAAAAAAAAAAAAAAAATAGGGGTTGCTGCTGACATTTAGTGGGTAGAGGCCAAGGATGTCGCAAAGCATCCTACAGTGCACAGTCAGCCCCCACCGCGAAGAATGGTCTGGCCTCAAATGTCAGGAGTGCTGAGGTTGACAACTCTGGTCTAGACAACCGGCAGCAGCCTTCTAGAATCAGGATGTCTTCCCCTGCCCAGGGCTGCACAGACACCAACAATTATTTTCTCATCTGTGCCCCTTTGAAAATTTCATGATAACTCTCCTTTTTATATTTATTTATTTATTTATTTATTTTTGAGATGGAGTCTCACTCTGTTACCCAGGCTGGAGTGCAATGTCGTGATCTCGTCTCACCACAACCTCCGCTTCCCAGGTTCAAGCAATTCTTCTGCCTTAGCCTCCTGAGTAGCTGGGATTACAGGCATGCGTCACCATGCCTGGCTAATTTTGTATTTTTAGTAGAGACAGGGTTTCTCCATGTTGGTTAGGCTGGTCTCAAACGCCCAACCTCAGGTGATCCACCTGCCTCAGCCCCCCAAAGTGCTGGGATTACAGGTGTGAGCCACTGCGCCCCACCTATTTATTTTTTTGAGACGAAGTCTTACCCTGTCACCCAGGCCTCAGGGCAGTGGTGTAATCTTGGCTCACTGCAACCTCTGCCTCCCGGGTTCAAGCGATTCTCCTGCCTCAGCTGCCCGAGTAGCTGGGATTACAGACACATGCCACCACGCCTGTCTAATTTTGTATTTTTGGTAGAGATGGGGTTTTACCAAGTTGGCCAGACTGGTTTCGAACTCCTGACCTCAGGTGATCCACCCACCTTGGCCTCCCAAAGTGCTGGGATTACAGGCATGAGCCACTGCACCCAGCCAGACTCTCCTTTTTAGATGGGGAAGAATACTTTTTTTTTTCAGGCCTGGCACAGTGGCTCACGCCTGTCATTCCAGCACTTTGGGAGGCTGAGAGGGTGAATCGTTTGAGGCCAGGAGTTCAAAGCCAGCCTGGGCAACATGGTGAAACCCTGTCTCTATTAAAAATACACAAATTAGCCCGGTGTGGTGGCTCGAGCCTGTAGTCCCAGCTACTCGGGAGGCTGAGGCATGAGAATCACTTGAACCTGAGAGGTGGAGGCTGCAGTGAGCGGAGATTGTGCTGCTGTACTCCAGCCTGGGTGACAGAGTGAGACTGTGTCTCAAAAAAAAAAAAAAAAAAAAAAAAAGAAGGAATACTTTTTTTTTTTCCCTAAACAGGCTTTCATGGAAAAATCTTCGATTTGAAGAAAGTGAAGGTGTATCTGGAGGTGAAGGCACCCTCTGGGGCATCCTCTTGCAGATGCCTCTGCTGATTCTTTAGTCAATTTGACCCTCAGGGCCAAGAGGCCTTCTCTTCATGGTCCAGAAACTATCGCAGGGGCCAGAAGCCTGCCTCACGTGGGGAAGTGGGCGTCCAGGGCTGACACGCGATCACCCTTTCTTTTTGTTCCCTTTGCGAAGGGAAACGATCTTGACTTACAAAAATGGAAAGAAAAACTTCTCTCTCTTCATTTCCATTTCAGTCTTCATTAATAGAAGCTTGATTTGCATAAATTCACAGACAGGAACCATTTTGAAAGTACACTGTACCAGGGACATTCACTTTTTTTTTTCTTTTTTTGAGACGGAGTCTTGCTCTGTCGCCCAGGCTGGACTGCAGTGACACGATCTTGGTTCACTGCAACCTCCGCCTCCTGGGTTCAAGTGATTCTCCTGCCTCAGCCTCCCGAGTAGCTGGGATTACAGGCATGCACCACCACGCCCGGCTAATTTTTTGTATTTTTAGTAGAGCTGGGGTTTCTCCATGTTGGCCAGGCTGGTCTTGAACACCTGAGCTCAGGAGATCCACCCCCGTCGGCCTCCCAGAGTGCCGGGATTACAGGGTGAGCCACCGTCCCCGGCCGCACACTCACTTTATATCCTCTCAAGACTTGTGTGGTTTTTTCCTTTTGATTATTTAGTTTATGGATCAGCCTGCCAATAAAGGATGGTCTATCATTTTTTTTTTAATTTATTTTTTTCTTTGAGACAGGCTCTTGCTTTGTCTCCCAGGCCTGAGTGCAGCGGCACGATCTCAATTCACTGCAACCTCTGCCTCCCTGTTTCAAGTGATTCTCCGCCTCACCCTCCTGAGTAGCTGGTATTACAGGTGCATGCCACCATGCTTGGCTAATTTTTGTATTTTTAATAGAGATGGGGTTTCACCATGTTGGCCAGGCTGGTCTACAACTCCTGACCTCAAGTGATCCACCCACCTCAGCCTTCCAAAGTGCTGGGATTATAGGCGTGAGCCACCCGCCTGGCCTATCATTTAATTCAAAATTCTTCTGCTTGTCTGGGTGTGGTGGCTCACTCCTATAATCCCAGAGCTTTTGGAGGCCTAGGCAGGGGGATCCCTTGAGCCCAGGAGTTTGAGACCAGCCTGGGCAAAAAAGCAAGATCCTGTCTCTAAGAAAAAAAAAAAAAAAATTGGCTGGGTGCAGTGGCTCATGCCTATAATCCTAACACTTTGGGAGGTCAAGGTGGGTGAATCACTTGAACTCAGAAGTTCGAGACCAGCCGGGCCAACATGGCAAAACCCCATCTCTACTAAAAATACAAAAATTAGCTGGGCATGGTGGCATGTGCCTGTAATCCCAGCTACTCAGCAGGTTGAGGTGGGAGGATCTCTTGAACCTGGAAGGTGGAGGCTGCAGCGAGCCAAGATTGCACCACTGCACTCCAGCCTGGGTGACAAAGTGAGACCCTGTCTCAAAAAAAAAAAAAAAAATTAAGCAGGCATGGTGGTATGCACCAGCTACTCAGGAGGCTGACATGGGAGGATGTTTGAGCCCAGGAGGTTGAGGCTTTAGTGAGCTGTAATCGCGCCACTGCACTCCAGCCTGGGTGACAGAGCGAGACCCTGTCTCAAAATAAGTAAGTAAATAAATAAATAAATAAATAAAATTCATCTGCTCTGCAAGAGCATTTAAATAATGGGATGGCACACTCAAAATTTGATAAAGTGACGACAGGGCTGCCCTCGGGACAGGAAGCTAAGCCAAGCCCAGGCTGGGCACGGGGTCACTGCAGGGAAACTGTGGAGGGCTCATGTCCAGGCCCGGACATGGTGCTGGTGCTCTGAGTGACTCCAAGGCCCTTCCAGATTGTGCTACCCCTCTCCAGACTGGTCTCTGTGACAACAGGAAGCTTAGAAATTCCAGTCCCAACCCTGGAGGTTGCAACTCATTAGACCTAGGGAGGGGCTCTGAGATCTGACTTTGAATAAGCCGCCGTCCGTTAAGGGTTGAATTATGTCCTCCAAAAAGATAGGTTCCAATGGTGACTCCCAGGACCTGCCCATGGGAACATATTTGGAAATCAGGTTTTTACAGATGGCTCCCCCTCTCTCATGTTAAATATTAACTCCAGTAATTCATGCTGGATTAGGGTGGGGCCTGAGGAGAAGAGGAAAGGAGACTCAGACACACACCGGGAGAATGGCATGAGGGAGGCAACCCCCAGAAACCAGGACAGGAGCCAGGAGCAGGTGCTCCCGCGGGGCCTTGGGAGGACCCAGCCCTGCAGACTCTGAGTCTTGGAATGCAGCTTCCAGCACTGTCAGAGAATGTGTTTCCTTCCTTGTTGGTGTTGTTTTTTGGTTGTCTTTTGTCTTTTGCTTTTTTTTTTTTTTTTTTTTTTTGAGACAGAGTCTTGCTCTGTCGCTCAGGCTGGAGTGCAGTGGCACGATCTCGGCTCACTGCAACCTCCGCCTCTGGTTTCAAGCGATTCTTGTGCTTCAGCCTCCTGAGTAGCTGGGATTACAGGCACACACCACCATACCTGGCTGATTGTTGCATTTTTAGTAGAGACAGGGTTTCCGCATGTTGGCCAGGCTGGTCTGGAACATCTGACCTTAGGTGATCCGCCCACCTCGGCCTCCCAAAGTGCTGGGATTATGGGCCTGAGCCATTGTGCCTGGCCTTGTTTGTTTTTGTTTTTGTGAGACAGAGTCTCACTCTGTCGCCCAGGCTGCAGTGCAGTGGTGCCATCCAGGCTCACTGCAACCTCCGCCTCCCGGGTTCAAGCGATTCTCCTGCCTCAGCCTCCTGAGTAGCTGGGATTACAGGCGCCTGCCACCAAGCCTGGCTAATGTTTGTATTTTTAATAGAAATGGGGTTTCACCATGTTGGCCAGGCTGGTCTTAAACTCCTGACCTCAAGTGATCCGCCTACCTCGGCCTCCCAAAGTGCTCGATTACAGACGTGAGCCACTGTGTCCGGCCTCCTCTGTGCCGTTTGGAGTGTAGGCTCAGCCGGAATCAAAATCCCCTGTATCCTCAACCTTCCAACCAACACCCTCCATCCTCTACATCTAATGGAAACCAGATCCCTCCTTCCCAGAGCCCTGTCTACCCCTTCAGGTGTCCCAGGCGATGTGGATCCCGGCAGCCTTCATGTCATGGGGCTAGGACAAAGGGGGACAACACCTTCTTGACATTTCCCCTTCCCTAAACTTTTCTCCCCTCTCCTTGCTAAACAGCAGTTATGTCTTCAGATACATTCCACTCTGTCTTCTGGGTTACAATTATCTACCAACACCTATCCCTCCTTGAAGATGCCTGTCCATGGTTCCTACCATGCTTAATGCTATACTTGCCAGAATTCTTGGGGATTTCAAAACACACTGGCACAGTGGCTCATACCTGTAACCCCCGCACTTCGGGAGGCTAAAGAGGGAGGATTGCTTGAGGCCAGGAGTTCAAGACCAGCTGGGCAAAATAGGAAGACCCAATTGCTACAAAAAAATTTGAAATATTAGGCCAGGCAGGGTGGCTCATGCCTGTAATCCCAGCACTTTGGGAGGCTGAGGCGGGCAGATCACTTGAGCTTGAGTCTGAGACGAGCCTGGCAAACACAGCAAAACCCTGTCTCTACAAAAAATACAAAAATTAGCTGGGCATGGTGGTGCATGCCTATAGTCCCAGTTACTCTGGAGGCTGAGGCGGGATGATGGCTTGAGCCTGGGAGATGGAGGTTGCAGTGAGCCGAGTTTGTGCCACTGCATTCCAACCTGGGCAACATGGCAAGACCCTGTCTCAAAAAAAAAAAAATTAGCTTCCGGGCGTGGTGGCTCTCGCCTGTAATCCCAGCACTTTGGGAGGCCAAGGTGGGCAGATCACGAGGTCAAGCGATCAACACCATCCTGGCTAACATGGTGAAACCCCATCTCTAGTAAAAGTACAAAAAATTAGCTGGGCGTGGTGGCATGTGCCTGTAGTCCCAGCTACTGAGGAGGCTGAGGCAGGAGAATCCCTTGAACCTGGGAGGTGGAGGTTGCAGTGAGCCGAGATTGCACCACTGCACTCCAGCCTGGGCGACAGAGCGAGACCCCGTCTCAAAAAAAAAAAAAAATTAAATTAAATATTAGCTGGGTGTGATGGCGTGTGCCTGTAGTCCCAGGTACTTGGGAGGCTGGGGCAGGAGGATTGATTAAGCCCTGGCGGTTAAGGCTGCAGTGAGCGGTGATTGTGCCACTGCACTTTAGCCTTGGTGACAGAACGAGACCCTGTGTCTAAAAGCAAAATGGAACAAAACAAAAAGCCAACCTACGCAGAGATCATCTTTCGAATATCCTGATCCCTCAGGTCCTTCACGTGTACCCAGCTTTCCACTCCCACTGAAGCTGTTTCAGCTGCATAATATGCCATCTCCAGGCTGCACTTTATTTAGCCAGTCCTTCCAGATGGGCCAAGGACTGGCGCCTTTTTTTTTTTTTTTTTTTTTTTTTTTTTTGAGGCAGAGTCTCTCTCTGTTGCCCAGGCTGGAGTGCAGTGGTGCGATCTTGGTTCACTGCAACCTCCGCCTGCCGGGTTCAAGGGATTCTCCCACCTCAGCCTCCCGAGTAGCTGGGATTACAGACGTGCGCCACCACGCCCGGCTAATTTTTGTATTTTCATTAGAGACTGGGTTTCACCATATTGGTCAGGCTGGTCTCAAACTCCTGACCTCAGGTGATCTGCCTGCCTCGGCCTCCCAAAGTGCTGGGATTCCAGGCGTGAGCAGCTGCGCCCGGCTTGGCGCCATCTTTCATGGCTGTCCTCATCCCATCCCATCCCATGCCATCTGCCAGCAGCTGCTGCTGGCCTCCAGAATGTATGTCCACCCCATCTCCCTGCCTCTCCCGCATTGCCCAGTCTCTCCTCTGGATCCCGAGTAGCCTAATGGCTCTCTTGGATTTTGCCTTTGATCTCCATCCACACAGTGTCCAAATGACCTCGGCCAAGGGTAAATCAGATTGCGTTTTCCCCTCCAAACCTCCTATGGCTGCGCCCCACAGGGCCCTCCCCGGCCAACCCCACACCATGCCTCTGACCTCATTCAATACCCTTTGCCCCTTGCTTCCTGTGTTCTGGCCACACAGGGTCCCTGCCCAGGTACTTCCTGCTCGGTCGGCTCCTTCGGGTCCTTGCTGCACGGCCCCTTCCCAAACTCCACCCTCCCCTGCAAATGCTGCCCTCCTTCCCCTACCTACCTGGTGTTCCCTTTCCTTCTACCCTGCTTGCTTTTCTCTAGAACATTCTAACTAACATACCTTAGAATGTGCTTTTTTTGCTCTGCCACCCAGGCTGAAGTGCACTGTTAATGATTACGGTTCACTGCAGCCTCACTTCCCGGACAAGCAATCCTCCCACCTCAGCCTCCCGAGTAGCTGGGACAACAGGTGCACCGCCCACCATGCCCAGCTAATTTAAAAAAATATTTTCTTTATACAAAAAAATCAGCTGGGCATGGTGGTGCATATCTGTAATCTCAGCTACTCAGGAGGCTGGGTGGAAGAATCCCTTGACCCCAGGAGGCAGAGGTTGCAGTAAGCTGAGATCGAGCCATTTTCTTTTTTTTTTTTTAAGAGATGGGGGTCTCACTGTGTCGGTCAGGCTGGTCTTGAACTCCTGGGCTCAACTGATCCTTTGGCTACAGCCTCCCAAAGTGCGGGATAACAGGCATAAGCCACTGAATGTTCTTATTTTTATTATCATCTGTCCCCCCAACCCCCACTAGAATGTAAGATACAGGAGGGGTTTGTTTCAGTGCCTTGCCACATTCTCAGGGCCTGGAATTGTGCCTGCAACCAAACAGGTGCTCAAGTATTTGTTGAATGAATAAATGATTTATCAGTCAGTCTCTTAGGAGTTTAGTTAGCAGGACTTGGTTGGCAAGAATCAGAGAAGTCGGGAGCCAGCCAAGAGGGGGAGGCGGAACTGCCCTGCACAGGTACTTCCCGGAGCCCCAGCTGCCTGCTCTCTTTTTAGCAGCCACACCAACAATGTATCCGTTTTTAAAGCAAATGAGGAAATAATGGTTCAACCTGGGCCTCATTCAAGTGAGAATGGCGTCATCATTACCCTGTACCTGCCCTTTAGCAAAATAGAGGGGGAAGGCCCTGCTCTGTAACCTGATGGCCTAGCAACAAGGGGCAAGGGTTAGTTGGGACAATATAGGGAGGTGACTGTCCATCCTCACCTTAATGGACATGAGGGGAGGGGAGGGAAGGATGGGGCAAGAAAGTGCAGGCAGAAAGATGGAGCAGGCAAAGATGAGGAAGCAGGCCAGGCTAGGGGCTGTCAGGGACCTTCCCCAGCGTCCCCTCCTCCCTGGTCCTGTACCCAGCTGGGTCCCAGACACTCTCCACTCCCCACCTGCCTCTATAAGGAAGGCAGCCTCGTGTATGTCAGGCCCCTGGGGGAGCCTTAACTTCACCATCCTCTCACGGCCCTCCTCCTGGTCAGAGAATCCCAACCTCCCAGGCCCCACCAGAATTCCCCAGCCCTCCACGGGGCCTCGCCCACCGGGCAGAGCTGTGAGGGTCTCAGGGGGGGCTTCTGCTCCCGATCAGGGACCTGGGGCAGAGTGATGAGGATGCACCTGCCCAGGGAATCTTCCCTCCAAACAGCCCAGCCAAAGGCTGGAAGCTGAGCAACTTCCCTGCCTGTGTGCCCCGGAGGTCCCCACACTGGCCTGCTTGGCCTGCCCATCTCCATCACTCCTAGGGCCCTGCAGGGTGAAGAGAGTGTTCCAGAACTGTCCAGCCATCCTCCAGCACACACCTCCCCACTAGTAACTCCCTTCCCAGCCGAGGCGCCCTCCACCATGGGGGTTCTGACACCAGGGTCCCAGCTGGGGGACTTCTCCCTGCAGCAGGCTATGCCACTTACCTTCCTCCCGTGCCTT
The DNA here is from genome assembly GCF_000001405.40 of Homo sapiens. Lineage (NCBI taxonomy): Eukaryota > Metazoa > Chordata > Mammalia > Primates > Hominidae > Homo > Homo sapiens. The sequence goes on along the minus strand of NC_000017.11, from coordinate 78,146,895 downwards.
GGAGAAGCTGCTGGCAGCTGTAAGAGAGGTAAGGGCGATAAGGAGAGGGCCTGGTGTGGAGGGGAGACCAGAGACAGCCTCGAGACCCACCTGCTGAAGCCAGGAGGGAGGAGCAGGCTGATTCTTGGTAGTGAGGCCCCAGGACTCAGCTGGCACCATCACTCACAAAAGCTCTTTTGCGCCCCTCCCCCCACAACATCGCCTCTCATCCGCCCATTTCGCAGATGGGTAAGTAGTGAGCCCAGAATGGTGCAGAAATCCCTGGACCACATATACAGCAAGTTTAGGGGCTGGTCCGAGACTCAAGCCCAGATCTTTCCCTCTCTGTCCATGTTTCCAGAGGTGCCCTTCCTTCAGGCCTCATCTCTCCTGTGCTCCCAGTACCCCCACCTGAGCCCAAGACCTCAAGGCCCCAGCAGCAGCCCCACCATCACGTCCCTGGTGGACTCACCCAGCACGGCCAAGCAGAACAGCCCAGGGAGCCCCATGCCTCGGTGGGTGTAGGGCCTCTGCTCGGGCAGTGAGAACCTCCTAGTTCCTGGCCTCCCCCACCCTGAGGCCCCTGGGATGCTCCCTGGGTGGGTGCCTGCAGTGGGGAGATAACCTGGAGGCCGCAGCACCCCAGGGCCTCAGCTACCAGGGCGGGGCCCAGAGAGCCCCGGCAGGCCCGGTACAGCAAACTCCCCCTCAATCCCCAGAGAAGTGGAAGGAGTTTGGACCTTGAAGCCAGACCAGGGCTTAGACTCAGCAGTCACCTCTGAGCCGCAGGATCCCGGGCTCACGTGGTGGGCAGAAGGTGTCCATGCTCCGCGGGGCACAGTGGCTCACACCTGTAATCCCAGCACTTTGGGAGGCCTGGATGGGCGGATCACCTGAGGTCAGGAGTTCGAGACCAGCCTGGCCAACATGGCGAAACTCCATCTCTACTAAAAATCAGCCGGGCGTGGTGGCGTGCGCCTGTAATCCCAGCTACTCGGGAGACTGAGGCAGGAGAATTGCTTGAACCCAGGAGGCGGAGGTTGCAGTGAGCCAAGATCACGCTACTGCACTCCAGCCTGGGCAACAGAGTGAGATTCCATCTCAAAAAAAAAAAAAAAAAAAAAGATGTCCACGCTGTAACTTCTGGAGCCCGTGAGCACCATGCTACGCGGCAAGGGGAATGAAGGCTGTGAGTCTTCTCATTTTGAGAGGAGGAGCCCGTCCTACATGACCCAGGTGACCCTCATGTAATCACTGGGGCCTTTCCAAGCAGCTGGGGACCTGCTGGGCTGAGAAAAGGCAGCCCCACCCATGATGGTTCACAGCCGGGAGGCCAAGGCTGCACCCAGCCCCAGAATGAAACCCCAGACCGACGAGGCCCCTGGTCCTGGAGTGTGATGGGTCCTGGAGTCCTGGGTCCCGGAGCGTGGTGTGCCCAAGCACCGCCCTTCAGAAGTCCCTCAGGCCCCACTGAGGGTGGTGGGAGGTCACATGGATGGTCATTCCCCAGGGAACTGGCCCCAGTGCTGGCCTTGGCCAGCAGCAGACCCAGCTGCATCGCAGGCAGTGTGTGTGCAGAGTTCAGCCACAGAGCCTCCTGCACATGCAGGGAGGGTGGGGGTGAGCAGGGCCTCCCAGAGCCCCGAGGCCAGGGCTGGGGCCAGGCATTCCCCGGAACACAGAGAGATGTAAGGGCGCAAGGGATTGAGGCTGGGGCCCTGCCAGCTCCGCTGTGGGCCACTGCACCCGGCTTTGTGCCCAAGCTCAGCCTGGGGCTGCTGGACCAGCCTGTCACTTTCTGGCCCGGCTCAGTTTCCCACACTTTGTGTGGGGAATGCCTTTTCTGGCTGCCTCCTTCAGGAATATGTCCCCTGCCACCAGGTGACCATTGCCTCCTGTGGGAGCTGCTGCCACCTGTGGCTCCTGACCGGTCAATCACACTCTCTGCCCCTGGGCACCGTCCAGGAGTGAACACCTGACCAAGGGAGGCCACTCACAGCCCCGGCCCAGCTCTCCTCTCAGCCTTTCCCAGGCACTTGCTGCACCGGAGGCCTGGGTGTGTTGGGAAGCTGGTCTGAGGGAGTGGCCCTGCTGACCAGGGAGTGGCCAGAAGGATGGTGGGGAGGCAGGTGCAGGTGTCCTGGAGGTCACTGCAGACTGGCTCTGTTGACCCCTCGGTGGCCCCCTCTCCCAGCTGGCATGAGTCCGTTTCTGCACCTTGCTACCCATGGTCCCGGGGATGGAGGCTGCCTCCTGTGCACCCACCGGCCTCTCTGTTTTCGGTTTCTCCCAGCTGGGGAGCAAGAGCATTTTCTCTTAGTTTCTTAGTAAAACTCCCTTCCCTTCCCAAAGTCTGTTCTCACTTCTGCTGAAGGCGGGTGGGGAAGGGAACTGAAGACTGAAGGGAGCCAGAGGTCACTGGGGAGCTGGCTGGCTGCCCAGGCCCTGGGCTGCTGGCAGCCTCTTGCCTGGAGGCCAGGGAAACTCACTCTTTTTCTCCACGTGGTGGTGTTCAGGGGAACCTTGAGTTAAGGCAGCTCATGAGGAGCTCTTCCTCTTCCCAGTCTGTGGGGAAGCTGGGGTCAGAGAGCGAAGGCAGACTCATGGGCCATTTTCCCCAGGCCTTGGGGGACCCAAACATCTCTCCTGCACCCCTCCGCCCCCAGGAATCACTTGTGCACCGGTCTGGCTGACCAGTTCTCTGGGCTGCGCTGCCCCTCTGTCCAGACTGCAGAGTAAGCCAGGACACAGCAGCCACGCCTCCAAGGTCACCCCCAGGTCACCCTGTGTGGAGTTTGGGGGCCCCCAAAAGCTCTCTAGCCACCCGCTTCAGGCTGATGTTCTGTGATTTTTGCTCGCAGAGGCCACTGTCCTCTGTAACAAATGCTCTTCCCAGCGTCTCCGCGTTTCCTCCCCCATACTGTGTCCCCAGAAAGGTCCTGCGGGTGGGACTCTGCTCTGGGCTGCCCTGGCCAGGATAGCGGGGTTGCAGGGGCACAGAAAGACAGGGCAGTCTCTCAGGGCTGGGCAGGGGAGGGCCCAGGAGTCCCCAAGGCTGGGGGTGGCTGGGACACCCCACCTAGGTGGGCTCTCCCACCTGGTGAGACCTTTACTGCATCTATTGCAATAAGCCCCAGAGAGTCCCTCCCTGCCCGGCAGGACTTCTAAGCTCCTGGCAGAGCCCCTTGTTAGGTCATGGCCCCCAGCTCCGTCATCTACAGAAAGTCATCCTAGCCCACGGCACCCGCTGCCAGAGCACCGGTTCCGTCTTCGCACTGGCCCCGTGTGCCCTGCATCCCAGTCTAGAGGCCTCAGATTTCCAGCTTCCCAGCCTCCACCGTGGCCCCTTTACCACATCTTTGCTCAGGCCCCCTCTCTGCCCTCAGCTCCTGTCCAAAGCCTCCCTTTCTCCAAGGTCCTGCCTGTCACTGGCTCCAAGAGCCCTCCTGTGGGAAGAAGCCCATCGCTCGAGGCCCCCTGGGCTGTCTTCCTGGGTGGTCCTGATCACAGGGGGCCCCAGGTCCACTCCCCATCATCTCCCATTTGGCTCCTTCAGGCCAGTGACCACATTGTAATAGGAGCCGCCACTGCACTTCTAGGTCCCCATGGGGACACTTCAAAAGTCACTGTATGGGCCGAGTTTGGTGGATTACACATGTAATCTCAGCACCTTGGGGGGACGAGGCAGGTGGATCACCTGAGGTCAGGAGTTAGAGACCAGCCTGGCCAACATGGTGAAACCCCATCTCTACTAAAAATACAAAAAATTAGCCGGGTGTGGTGTCGGGCACCTGTAGTCCCAGCTACTCGGGAGGCTGAGGCAGGAGGATGGCTTGAACCTGTGAGGCAGAGGTTGCAGTGAGCCAAGATCTTGCCACTGCACTCCAGCCTGGGCAACAGAAAGAGACTCTGTCCCCACCCCCCAAAAAAAAAAAAAACACACACACAAAAAGTCATTGCTCATTTAATCTTGGAGGCCACTTGGAGGAGCATGGCGTCTTTGTCTCGCCCTGGGTGAGCACACCGAGGCCCAGAGTTTGATGATTCCTTCAAGGTCTCAAAGCTTGCCTTCTTCACAGCGCTTGGTGATGCACGTGGTTGTTTCTCAGTATGGTTTGCCAAAGGGATGCTCTGATTCAGGAGGCTGAGGTGGGGCCTGGGAATGTTCATTTCTAACCTTTTCCCAGGTGATGCTGAGGCCACTGGTCCAGGGGCCACCTTTGGCCCTAAGCCGCTAATTAACAACATGAGTCACTTTCATCTGGTCCAGGCTTGTCGCCCCCTCGATGGAACACAGAGCTCCCTCTTTCCCTCTTGGCCTCATCACCAGCCCCCAGAACAGGACCCAGCACTAGCAGCACTGAATCGTGTTTGTTGGTGAACTGATGCGTCGTGATGCTGGGTGAGACAAGGACGGCCGTGGGAGAGGCGGAACTGGCCAAGTCTTTGATGACCATGTGAAGAAGCCCCCAGCCCTGAGGGCGAGAGGCCAGAGCCTCCCTGATGCTGAGTCCAGACCAGGAGTCCAGCCAGGAGCTGGTCACTGGTGGAGCTAGAGGCTTTTCAAGTGCATCCTGGGACTTCTGACCTTCCCTCCTGACAGTTCTCATCCCCAGCTGCCGGTGAGTCACCTGGGAGCTTCGAAAAGTCCCGATGCCCTGGCTGCTGGCCACACCCAGCCCAACCACATCAGAGTCGCTGGGCTGTGGCCAGCTTGTAGCAGCTACTCAGGTGTTCTCCAAGGATGAGAACCACAGATTTAGTCACTGCAGCATGGCAGGGGTGGGGGTGGGAGAACAGGAGGCTTGGAAAAGGAAACTCGAACAGGCTCAAGAATATCAGACACAGCCTTGGGAGGGGGGCCGGGCCCTGCCCTTGTGGCCAGCTGCCTCACCTGCCTGGGCCCCCGCCCGCTGCTCACGATGCAGGCCCGTACATACCACTAAGGCCCAGGCGGTGCGGGTACCTTCACCCCACGGATCCGCAAGCTTGGCTCAACCAGGGAGCCATGAAGCAGGCTGGGAGAACACGGCTCTGCAGGAAGCCAGGGCTCTGCTGAGTTTCACAAGGCAGCTCTGTGGACGTGAGGCTGCTAGGTTAGAAGACTGGACGGAGAGGATTCCCGCCAGGGAGAGGCTGACCCAGCACGCTCTCACCAGGCTTCAGTCAGCCCCTCAGTCAGGGCCAGGAGCCGCCACTAAGCCCCACACTGGGGCAGTGTGGCTCTGGAGCCCGAGTGCCTGGGTTCAAATCCCAGCTCTGGCCCTGGCTGACGCTGTGGCCTCGACTGTCTCAGGTGAAGGAAGAGTAACAGGAAGGGATGATGCAGGCAGTTTGCAGCTGGAACACAGAGCAGGGCCCCAGGCAGGCTTGCTCTAACTGTGGCCAGCTCTTTCCTTCCTTAGGAAGTGGTTCCCGGACTCTTCTGAAGGCACTTCCATCAGTAAACAACTTCTGAGCATTCCCAATAGATGTATGTGTATAAATTGCACTCATGGCTCTAAAACAAATCAGCAGAACACATTCTAGAAAAAATCGCATTCAAGAGATACTATACTAATAGATTATGTATATTATAAAAAACACAATAAAAAATAGACATTTTAAAGGGATGAGATTAAAATATAGAAAGAAAATTCCCATATGTTTTTCCTGCTGCCGCTGGGGTTGTGTGTCCATCTTTGGGGACCTCTGAGGGAGGCCCTGGAGCCACTGAGAGGGGCGGTGGTCGCCAGGGGTCTGGAAGATGGAGTAAGGAGGCCTGAAGGGGCCCCAGGGAGGCTTCGGGGAGGCAGGGGTAGGGGTTACAGCTCCGCGCCGCTGGGGAAGCGGAATCTGCGGGCGGAGGCCGGGGCACCGTGCTGTCCAGGGCAAGGGGAACGCAGTCCCGCGGCATCCACGACGGAGGGGCCCGGCCGCGGGGCCTGGTGGCCCGGGGAGCCAGGGCATGGGCATCCGGGGCAGAAGGACTGCGGGCGCGAAGCTTGGGAGGCAGGGTACTTGGGGCCCGGAGAGTCGCTCGGGCCTGGCTCCGGCAGCAGTCGCGACAGGTCCTCCACCAGGTGCCACTTCTCCTGAACCTGCTGTGAGGAGAACAAGTGGCGAGTTGCGACAGGCGCTGCTTCCCACGAGCGGGTGTGAGGACAGCAGCGGCAGCAACTCTGCGGCCCATGGGCCAGCCCGCACCCAAAGTAGCCAGAGGCCACGCCCCGCCCGAGGCCACGCCCCGCTCGAGGCCACACCCTCCCAGGGCCACGCCCCACCAGGGTCCCGCCCCGATGCAGCCCTAGACCACGCCCTCAGGAGTCCCGTCCACAACGCAGCCAGATGCCACTCCTTCCACGTCCCCGCCCGAGACCACGACCTCCAAGGGCCCCGCCCCCAACGCACCCTGAGACCACGCCCCACTAGGGTCCCACCCCATGCAGATCTAGACCACGCCCGCTAAGAGTCCGTCCCCAAGCAGCCCAAGGCCACGCCCCCGGTAGAGGCCCCACCCTGAGGCCACGCCTTAGCCAGGTCACTGTTCCTCCCTCAGCTCCATTAAGCCCCTGGCCCCAAGCCTAAAGTCGTAATTTTTTTTTTTTTTTGTGGAAACTGGGTGTCTCCCTGTTGCCCAGGCAGGATTGCAGTAGCAAGACCACAGCCCACTGCAGCCTGGACCTCTCAGGCTCAAGCGATCTTCCCACCTCAGCCTCCGGAATAGCTGTGACCACAGGCACGCGCCACCACGCCCAGCTCATTTATTTGATTTTTAGTAGAGACGAGGTCTTGCTATGTTGCTCAGCCTGGTCTCAAACTCCTGAACTCAAGCACTCTTCACGCCTCGGCGTGAGCCACTGCACTCAGCCATGTTATCCTTTTTTCCTTTTTTGAGACGGAGTTTTGCTCTTGTTGCCCAGGCTGGAGTGCAATGGGGCGGTCTCAGCTCACTGCAACCTCCGCCCCTCCGCCTCCTGAGTTTAAACGATTCTCCTGCCTCAGCCTCCCTAGTAGCTGGGATTACAGGCGCCCACCATCACGCCCAGCTAATTTTTTGTATTTTTAGTACAGACGGGGTTTCACTATGTTGGCCAGGCTGGTCTTGAACCCCTGACCTCAGGCAATCCACTCACCTCGGCCTCCCAAAGTGCTGGATTACAGGCACGAACCACCGTGCCCGGTTTTTTTTTTTTTTTTTTTTTTTTTAAGTAGAGACGGGGTTTCGCTATTTTGGCCAGGCTGGTCTTGAACTCCTGACCTCAGGTGATCCACCCACCTCGGCCTCTGAAAGTGCTGGGATTACAGGCGTGAGTCACCACGCCCGGCCACATTCTCCTTTTAAAAAATTAATTACTTATTTTTGGTGGAGACCAGGGTCTTGCTTTGTTGCCCAGGCTGGTTTTAACTCATGGCTTCAAGTGATCCGATCCTCCTGCCTGGGCCTCCAAAGCGTTGGGATTACAGGCAAAGGCCCAGCCCCTAAGGTCATGTACTTACCAGGTCTGGCTCCTGGTCTCAGGAGCCCGAGCTGTTCTCTTCCTCCCCTTCCCCGTCTTCACTCTCAGCCTGAGGCCACGCCCTCCAGTGGGAAGAACCCACCTGACCCGCTCAGACGTGTTCTAGGCCCTCGGCCACACATAGGGAAGGGTTTCCACTGAAGCTGCTGTCCCCTCACCAGCCCCGAGGACACTCACCCACACCAGCTGCTTCCGGAGCCTGTGGATGGCCCTGGCATTGGCCTGGGTCTGGGAGACGCACACCGTCAGGACAAGGCTTGGGTGGGAAGGGGATTCGTGGTCAGTTGCCCCTGGGGCCACAGGCGCCTCTCCCTGACTTCCTCTCTCCCCACCTCAATCTCTACAATACGCGGTACTGGGGTCTTCTCACTGCACACTGCTGTATCTGAGGATGGGACCCTCCTCTCCTTCCTCGCAGAGCCCCTCATCCCCTCCCCTCTGGCACAGCAATACCAATAGCTCAGCAGCTGCAGCCACCCAGACACGGTGCTTCCCCAGTGATCCTGCAATCCCCATGGCAGCCCAGAGGGTGGGCCCAGGAGGTTCCTGCTTTTCAGAGGCCCCTGCTTCCCTTGGCTTTCTGCGTCTGGCTCCTGGTTGGGGGTGCACAGGCTCACCACCCCCATGGAAGGAAGGACCTCCCCCTCCAGGTGTCCCCTCCCATGGCCCCGGCTGCCCTGAGAACCTGAGCATGATGAGGAGGGGGAAGCTGAAGGCGTGGGAGCCCAGGTAGTGGAGGGCACGCTGGCCAATGGGCGGGAGCCCAAGGGCCACCAGCTCCGGGACCACTTGCCAGGGTGCTGAGTAGTTGGTGAAGAGGCCGCAGTCCCAGGAGGAGTGGATGCTGGCGAGAGATGGCCAAGTGGGGCTGGCATCAGGGTCCTGGGTGAGAAACTGCCCCTGCCAGCCTCTGGGTGCCCCCCTCCTCTTCCCCTCACCTGCTGACCACATAGCCCAGGGGCACTGCAGCCAGAAGCAGGCCCAGGAGGAGCACTAGCTGGAAGAAGAAGGTGGAGCTGGAGGCACGGAAGGGCCGCGAAGATGCCCTGGAGTTCTTCAGGAGGGTGTACTGGGGGCGCAAGCAATAGCAACCAGGAGTCAGCGAGTTATGCAGACCCCAGGGGGCTGACACCCAGGGAAGGGGGCAGGAGCAGGAGCAGGAGGCGAGCCCAGCTCAAGGCATCCACCCAGAGGCACGAACCCCATACCCCCCAGCCATGAGCCGTCACCTTCTTGATGTAGAAGGTGAGGAAGAGGAAGACGCTATTCAGCAGGGGCAGCAGGGGGCAGTAGAAGAGGCCCATCCAGGTGACCGTCTGCCCCGCCACGATGTCCAGCACATTCTTGGGGACCAGGAACTCCTCCCGTTCCAGCCAGGCCCAGAACCGGCCTGAGAACCGGTCCACCAGCAGCCTGCAGGGATGGGAGGGTCCAGGTACTCACCACTCCAGACAGATGCGTGGGCTGTATTGGTCATGGCCACAGCCTGCCACTTACTCCCGGGCTCCACACTGGACCCGCTCACCCTTGGCTGTAGCCACTGGCCACCCCCAACATGCTCGCGGCACCCCCGCCCTTCTGGAGGTGTCACCCCGGGGCTCACCTCCGAGGCAGGGTGACCAGGAAGGCGAAGGCCACGGTGAGGAGGAAGTTGAAGATACTCAGCTTGTACAGCTCCTCCCCCACGGAGTTCTCCCAGCACTGGGGTGCAGGGGAAGGGGACCCGTCACCACTCACGGCCACCCCGGCCCTTCCTTCCCTTAGCCTCCTGTGAGGGTTTCTGTGGTGCAGGTGCCT